>NC_000003.12:114311634-114614664 GCF_000001405.40 Homo sapiens | reverse complement strand
TTTGCTCTTTTCTGGGCTTGGGATTAATCTGTCTACATGCTGTTTAATACCAGATCCCAGCAGAATTATCATGGTTCAGAAAATCCCAGCAGAATTATCAGGGTTTGAAAAATCTCAGTAATAATGGGATTTTTCATTCTTCATAAGGTAACTGCATTTTACAGTCATCCTATTAACCCTTATGTCACCCCGTTGAGGAAAGGAAGCTTGAAGAGATAGACAGCCACACTTACCAGGCTGAGACTAAACTTTTTACTTTCCATATTACCTTTTCCATTGTTCCAGTGCTCCTCACAATACTCAATTTTTCCCTTAAATAGTACAATTAAAAATTAAAATCTGTAAGAGCCAAATCTCTGATATATGTTACCCCAATACTCTCATTTTATGTCTAAACAATATAATATACCATTGTGATAATTTTTAGAATGGCTACTGCTCTGGTAAGAATATCCTTAAATCATTTCTCATATATATTTCTCAATATATTCTGTAGACATCTATAAGCTCCAAGATGAGGCAGGGCAACTCTTTTGTTGGTTACCTGAATTTAGGCAGTAGAGCAGTGTGGTTAAGAGTGAAGACTACGTAGATTCTACAACACTGTAACCTTAAGAAAACTAATTCTCATGACTCAGTTTCTTTATCTGTAAATTAAGGATGAGGAGAAGGAGGTGGGGGACCATAAATTTGTTTTTATTATAAAATTACTGTGGGGAGTAAGTAATCTAATAAATGTAAAATATTTAAACCAATACCTAGTATATAATAAGCACTCAATAAACAGCTGCTGTTATCATCATTACCATTATCATCCTCCTCATCATCACTCACTCTTATGCTATAGGATCATGGTTAATACTTGTTAGGAAAAAAACCTACATGCACAGACACCATCATATGTGAACACACTCCCCCGACCTAGGAATCCTTGCTTGTCCTAGCTGTGTAAGCTTTACATACAGATTGATCTTAATATTATCCCAAGCAGAGAACATATAAGGAATCCATGCTTTGGATGAAGTGAGCTTGGTACTGAGTTTACTTTTACCACTGGTTTCAAGTAGCTGATATATGATCACTTCTTTGGTGGGCCTCACTCCTATTACCTACTCATTGTCTCTGGCTGCTCTCATCTTATTACTTAAGTCTTTCATGTCTATTTTCCCTCCAAACTGTAAATTCTGTTAAGCATGGTCTAGTCTAGGTCTGTTGATCCACTGGTTTAGGTCTATAGATCAGTCTACTACTATTATTCAATAAAAAAATGTAAGGTCAAATAATGAATGAAGGAGTTTCCTTCTATTTCCAGCTTCTTGGTTAGGTCCTAGTCCTGGCCACCTGATGTGCTAAATGCTGACCTCATTGTACACCTAGGCCATCCTATTCACTATCCCCAGTTATCATTCCCAGTCTTCCAGTCCAAACTCTTTTAATTATTTTTGTCTTCTTGCCTAATACAAAACCCTTAATACCAGTACCTAGTCCATACAGTAGGCCCACCCTCCTATCTGCTTCATCTTTTCCTTCATGGAACTGTGAACACCACACTAGAACCATGTTTGTATGCCTTTGCCAATGCTTTCTTTCCATTTGGAATTAGAGCTTTAATCTTACAGGTGATTCATTATTCATCTGCATTTTAATCTGATGCCCTTGGCTCTAATCTTGATTCTGATCTTCATATTATGTTATTCACAAACCCTTTTCTATATTTATTATATTTTAAGAAAATACACATATATCAATAACAAATGAGTAAAAGCTGATATCAAGTTCTATCTACAAAAATCAGCATTAAAAATATTCGGCATACTATATGGTGTACCATTTGTTTTGCCTTTCATTATGCTTCTTATCTTAGCTGCTTGATGAATATCAGAGATCTTATACCCTGAACTTGGTCTCAGTGGCCCTAAACCTACCCTATCCCTAGGCTAGTGCTGACAACATCCAAAGCTTAATTAATGTCAATTTTTACTGGAAAATGTTGGCATTAGTGTAGTAGTATGTCTAATAGTGAATATCACGTAAAAAAGAAAGGAGCTAATAGCAAAATGCAGCATTATTGTCACTGGAAAAGACCACTGACCATTACATGTGGATATATATTTATTGTGTTCCTGTTATTGTCATCCTCTTTTGGACTTTTTTTTAATAAAACGATGGAGAAAATTTTGTTAGAAGTGGTACAATTTAAATTTAGAAATAAGTATGATGCTAAACTTAATTCACAGTTATCACAACAGTTAATAATGTTACTATCAGAAACACAATACCTGCTCACAGAGAGCTTATGGTTTTTATACTCTTATTGCAGAGACTAGTAATTAGATCCTAAAACTAACTGGAAATTACCAATCTGCCATTATGCACCAACATGAGCAATAACGAAAGGTAGTGAGTACTACAAGAATCTGCATTATGGTGGCCTAGAAAGGAGTATAGAAGGCTTGATTAATAGTAGACGGAGAACTTTAGCTGTAGATGTAAAAGCTGGACGTTGAAAGATAATGGAATAAAAGGTCTTTTGGAAAGAAGCAAAGATGGTAGCCAATGGTTTAATATGGGAAAACAGAGAAGTAGGGAGGATGAAGAAAAATATCAACCAATGGAAATAAAGTTGGTGTATACAGGAAGTAGTGAAACTAGAAATGAGAGCCATGTTATTGAAGACTAGGATGTGAATTCCAAAAGGCAGGCAGAGTCCAGATTTATTTTTTGTGGGTGATGAGAACAATAGCTATCAGACAGTTAGAATGCAATAAGGATTTGCTGAATAACTGAAACACTTACAGAGACAAGCAAAAATAATGAAAGGCATGTTTTAGAAGTTAACCTGGCTATAGTGTGCAGAGTAGATTGAGAGGGTTGGGATTAGTCAGAGATGCCAACTGAGGGGCAATGACAATAATTTAAGTAAAGAGCAATCAAGACTCAAATACACTCATGACTGTGGGGATCAAAAAGGGACATTTCAAACAACATTTAACAGCACTTTCCATGTCTCCTTCCCCACCAACCCCAATCCTAGTCCAACCTAGGATTGGGTAATTGTAACTGTAAAATACCTCCTAAATGCCTGATTTCCTTTGCCTTTTGATTTCATGTTAGCAAAGTCCGTTGCTCCTTATGGGGTAAGTCCAGGTTGGGAAGTGAGCCCTCAGGCTCACTGAAGCCTCCAACCTGTGAGAGCTTTGTTATAGTATGTTCCTGAACAACATAAATTACTCTTGATGTTTGACAGCTTGAGCATAAACTCAGGGACACACAGACTCTTCTGTGTTCCCGTTTGTGAGTTTCTGATATGCAAGACTCTGTGAGATCTCATATACCATAGAGTGTCGATCTGCACAGGGGATTCTGGAGGAGCATTCATTCTAGGTTCTTAACTGTACCACCGGTATAGATAGGACTGCCGCCTGAAAATAGAGAGAACTCTTCTTCTATGTGTTCTCCCTTCCTTCTTCAGTTCAACCAAATCAGCACCAAAAAGAAACCTCAGGGCAGAGCATATGCTAGCAGAGATTTCAAAACCATCCCAGACTCATGTTATATGCTTGAGATAGTCCCAGAGATCCCAAGGATATTCTGGGACTTGGTTGTTAGAAACAGCGCTGGTTAACTTGCTTTCGTTGTATGCCTAATCCACCCATCATTGCCTAGCATGTATCCTGTTGGCCTTTCTTTGGACAATTCCAAAATTTTTTGAAGGATAAAAATTTGACTAATATATTACTTATATATTCAACTTCTTGGTTAACCAAGAATTGTGTGTACACGTTGCTATGTTCCTCTCTTACGGCAAGTGCCCCATTTTTATATTATGGTATTTGAGTGAGTGTCTTTCACTACTTACTTACCCATAGCTCCTTCTAGATAGGACCAAGCTTTACTTTTCCCTTCATCTTCTCGTTTCAGCAAAATGTATATGCCCCACAGTAGACCACCAGTACACATCTTTGGACTCTCCTGATTTCATGGATGTTGAATAGGGACAACCCTTTTTGAGTTTTCTATCTTGAGTTCTGAGTTTCTAATGTGGAAAATACCTCTTAAATGCCAACCTCTCCTGCCTTCCTAACCAGTCAACCCCAGTTACGTACAAGGCCTAATTTTGCCCTGCAGTTGGGATGAAAAATGTGAAATTGACAGCTCTGCTTGTCAAACCTGTCTGTCTGCACTACACAGCTCAGAGTAGCACCATTTAGAGAAAGGGTGTTTGGAAAATTAAACAAGGACTGTGTGAATAGGAGACCTATCGGCCTGCAATGGAATGACAGGTTTCTGCCCACAAACTGGGGTTAAGACCTGCATATTGATGCTTCTTTTCACCCATTTGTGAGTAATGGGTCTCACCCCATTAGTGGGTGCATTTGTTATACCACTAGAAGCTGTTATGCATTCTCTGTAAGTCTGTGTGAGGGAACTGTAGATACACATAAATATGTACTTGCCAACAGATCTCTGTATTTATCTGCCTGTCAGTGGGAGCAGACAGGGCACAGCTCTTTGATGGGCAAGAACTGCGGGTCAAAACCATGTTCTTGCTGCTGCTGTTGCTGCTTCAGCTGCTGCTGTTGCTGCTTTTGCTGCTGCTGCTGCTGCTGTGATTGCCATGGCTTTATCATTTAAGTCCTGAAGGAGGCTAGGGGCAGCTTGTTAGTTCTCGTTCTCACTTAACCTGGGAGGCTAGCTCTGGTCACTGACATAATTAAACAGACCTTGCAAATGTTGACTGCTAATTTTCTTGTGGCTAGCAGAGATAGACTCTCAAAACCATGCTCACCTACAATCTGTAATCTTTCAGTGTTCCTTGAGAGTCCACATACCTCTGCTATCTTCAAACACTGTGTTTAATGCTGTCCTGATGCTGTCTGATCCTGGTGGATTCTGCCATCAGGTGTATTTCCGGCTGTATTTCACTGTCTTTCAGGCCCTACCCCATTCAGGATATACATTGTCTCCCAGCAGGAAAAAATTATTGTGCTCCAAGCGTCTAAGGGAAATAGTCTACTAAACCAAGTGCTTATTTTAGCAGCAGTTATATCCCTACAACTCTCTACAGCATTGACTTTGGTCTTCATCATCTCAATATGCAATATGCCTTATGAGGAAAAAGAGTTTTTTTCCCCCAAAGTGAAACCATACTAATGATAATAAACTGAATTTAAGATTACTTTGTGTATAACAGAGCAAAACAAGCAGAGCAGGCTTGTGTTTTTAATCTAGGCCTGTTTACCAGTGTAATTTGATAGTGGGAATTAATTGTGCAATTTGTAATATAACTACAGTACAACCAAAATTAACGAATATTCTTTATAGTCATTGCTCCTCCATCTCATGCTTGTAAGATGGCATAGACCATTCTTTTCTTCAAAATTCAATTTTCCTCAAGATTGTGGAATTGTTGCAAAAGAAGTGACAGGAATATTTTTGTTTCTTGGTTAGTTTTCTTGTTATCCATTTAATAGAAGTCTAACTGAAAGACACCCAGAAGTGAGCTCATCTTAGATGGTGTTTCTGACTGTGCCTTTCTAAATGGTAAGTGGAAGAGCAGAAGAGTTTTGTCTCAGACCAAATTTGTAAGGAAATAGACTGATTTATCAGAGAGATGAGGCGATGTGAAAGGTCTTATTTCTGCCTGTCAAAAAGGTATAAGACAGATGTTTCACTAGGCAGGACAAAGACTGGACTCAAATATGGTGGTTTCTTTTCCTGTTTATTTATGTTTGGTTTACTTTTTAAAAATCATTATTATTGTTAATATCTCTGTAATGCAAACATGGCAGACCTGTTTTTCTAAAGATCACTTCCAGTAGAGTAGAAATTAGTAATCTGATCAACCAGATTGACAGACAATGAAATAAAAGTAAAAAAAGAAACCCTCTGTTACATGACTAAGCATATGCTTTTATTTTTGAACACATTAGAATTGATACTTGGGAATTACAGGTTGGTGCTTCTGTGGGAATGGGCTAGTTAACAGCCCTATTTGACTTTTTGCTAATCCTGAAAACTGAGTAAATGTATCTTAAGCTATTTTAAAGGAACATAGGAGTTTATGGTTTGCTATGAGAGTCTGCACCTGCTTAAGACACACCACAGAAACATTAAAATGGGATGATTCATTAGGAATGAAGAAATGTTTAGCTATTGTACAAAGTTTTCTCCAGAACAGTGTTTCCCAAACATCCCTGAACTAAGAATCATCAGGGTCACCCTTGAAATATGCACATTCCTGAGTCTACCATAAACCTAGAGAATAAGAAATTTTCACGAAGGGGCCTTGGCATTTGGATCTGAAACAAGAAACTAGTCAATTGGTATGATTAGGGAAGTTTGGGAAATATTGTTCTAAAAGATTTCTTAGAGAACATAGGGGAAATGATTTATTAATTTACTCATATAAAAGTGATCCTATAGTTACATTTCTTCCTATGCTCTTCCCAGGAATTCAGAGCCATTTCAAGTGAGTAAAGAATAGTCTTCTTTTAGACTGGTGTTTTTGTTTTTTTAAAGCATCCTTGTTTCTCTATATCAATTGCCTTATGCTTTTTACTCCCAACCCTTCCTAGTAAATGGTCATCACATAAAAGTTCCTAGATTAAAAATAATGGATCCTGAGTTCTAGTTTTGGCTAGAACACAGAGCTATGTTACCTTATATCAGTATGTACCTTCTCATCACTTCAGTTGTACTGTTAAAGAATTACGAGGTTGCACAAAATGTAATTATACTAGCTGTACATTGTTACGAATGTTAAATTCTTCTGCAGCCTTGTTTGGGGACTGTAACCATATATGATGATTTTTGTGCTTCATGAGAATGTATGTTCAGGTTTAGATATGTCCATGAGTATTTACAGAGTGTTCCCTATTTGTAAAACCAACTTGAGTCATTAGTTTAGTCTAAGATAATCAACTCTTTGGAAAAATTATTTTCTGGTTCTGGGTTGCCAGAAGCATCTTCCAGGAGAATTATTGACAAGGGTTTGTCATATTGGCAGATACAGGTTTGTCACATGATACATACTGATTTATTAAAAGAGTAAGAGAATGAGGCTGGGCGTGATGGCTCACACCTGTAATCCCAGCACTTTGGGAGGCCGAGGCGGGTGGATCACCTGAGGTCGGGAGTTCGAGACCAGCCTGACAAACATGGAGAAACGCTGTCTCTACTAAAAATACAAAATTAGCCCGGCGTTGGGGGTGCATGCCTGTAATCCCAGCTATTTGGGAGCCTGAGGCAGGAGAATCGCTTGAACCCAGGAGGCGGAGGTTGCAGTGAGCCGAGATCATGCCATTGCACTCCAACCTGGGCAACAAGAGCAAAACTCTGTCTCAAAAAAAAAAAAAAAATGAATGAACAGTTTTATGCTTTTTCTAGTTATTAACACTTTTAAATCCATAGAAATGATTATAACCTCATATTGCATATTGAGATTATTATAACCTCATATTGCATATTGTGAATTATAACCTCATATTGCAAATTGAGAATTATAAACTTCAACTAAATGTTGGGGCAAAAGAATTTATTCATTTATTTATTTATTTATTTATTTGAGATTGAGTCTCACTGTGTCACTGAGGCTGGAGTGCAGTGGCGTGATCTCGGCTCACTGCAACCTGTGCCTCCTGGGTTCAAGCTATTCTCCTGCCTCAGCCTCCCAAGTAGCTGGGACTACAGGTGCCCACCACCACGCCCAGTTAATTTTTGTATTTTTTTAGTAAAGACGGAGTTTCACCATGTTAGCAAGGCTGGCCTCGAACTCCTGACCTCAAGTGATCCACCCGCCTCAACCTCCTAAAATGCTGGGATTACAAGAGTGAGGCACAGTGCCTGGCCGCAAAAATGTTTTTTTTAAATATTCAAAAATAGCCATGGCTTGCAGTTGCTATAAAGCTATATAGTAACTCCTTCACTGGGCACAACAGAAGAAATAGGAAAGAGAGAAAGTGCTGCTCCAGAGGTTCAAAGGTGAAGATAGAGCAGTGTAGTGGTGGGGATTTATGTTTCCTAATCTCCCTTGTCAGCCCAGCATGTCTTCAGTATAAATACACACGTGGCAGTGGCCTATGCACTCATTCACACTTCAGGGAAGCCCATGGTTTCCTTTTCTCTTCCATTTTAGCAGTGGGCAGCCTGCAACCTTTTGATCAAGCTGACTTTGTATGTTACATGACTGAACTCAGCTATGCCAGACATCCTTAAGGAAGTTGACATTTGTGTACTTTGAAAGAAAAAAAAAGAAAAGTGAATCCCAACTGCTTCCTCCTGCCCTTTTGATTAAAAGAACGGTAAGTCAGCAGGAGAGGTGCTGCTTTTAACAAGCAGGGGTGTGCAGCAACTGATTGGTATCTTTCTTTGAAAAAAAGTAGAAAAGATTGATGTTAAACAACACTAATCAGAGTTGATTACAGGGACTGAATGAATTCATTGATGGGAAAGAACCATGCTTCCAGAGACAACAAAAGAGATTAGATAATTGTCAGGGGAAGAGTATTTGGAATAGTGCTGCTCATCTCTGACAACCAGGAATCAGTTCCCCTAGCTCTTTAACCATTCCTTAAAATAGGCATATATGTGCAATAAGTACAGTTCTCTGCTGGGAACGTTGTTCTCACCAAGCTCTTCATGGCTGTCTCTTTCTGTTCATTCAGATCTCCGCCTTCCCTTATCACCTTATCTAAAGTAGTGCTTCCATCACAATCTGGATGGGCCTGAAAACTCATTTCTTGGCATTCCCAACCATCACTCTATCCTCTGTCTGGAACCACCTGCAGTTCATGAATGGATCATATTCTGTCTTGCTCTGTACTTTTTTTTTTCTGTTACCTATACCTAGAATCCCTTTCTATCCTCTCAAATCTTTGCCTTGTTAACTTCTTCCATCCTTTAAGTTTCAGCTAAGGCACCCACTCCTCAAAACTTGTTATTGAGCCTCCTCATTAAAAGTCAGAGTCCCACGCCTCTGTTCTCTCACAGCTATTTATGCTTAAGTCAATTACAGCAGGTTATTCACCCTGTGTTATAATTAGTTGGTTATTTACTTTCCTTTCTCCCCACTAGATTGAAATATTTGGGGGCAAAAATTATGTCTTTTGTCTCTGCATTTCTAATGTTAGCGAAATACACAGAACATACTTGGTGTTTAATTAATACAAATGAATGATTGAATGAATACTCCCTACTTACCTACCTCCATGTTTTAAAATCATTGCCTAAAATAAGAACAGAACCCAGAGGAAGAAATTCTTACACAAAATGGGTAATTCACTGATTATCTTTTTACCAAAAAGTCATGGGACAACGGAAATAGGAAATTTAGGAGCTTTCACCCCTGCTCTTGTCTGTGGCTTCTAGATTGTTCTAGATGGCATTCTCAATACAAACATGAGAAAGCAGCTTATTGAATTGAAGCTATAATTTCTGACTAGTGGATAAATGTGTTGCTTATTTTACAAAAAAATTATACTATTACATTTATTATTAATTATAATGCACTGTCTTTATAGGCTTCTCCTTTAGGAACTTCTAAGTACTCAACATACATCATCTGCCTAATGATGTATTCTGCCTCCTGTTAAGAATGTTATGCATACTGAGTACATCGCCTAAGTATTATAGAAGATTGATAAATATTATATAATTAATAAATAGATTTTACTTATTTTTAAAAACAATTTTACACATTAAAATTCCTCAAGAAATGTGTTTTGTTCTTATTACGTAGCAACAAGCAAACATCCAGGTCTTCTCCACTCAACACATGGAAATCATCCTAGGCTTTTAAAGGGATTCATCCCAACTAGTTCACAGCTGCAACACTAATGTCATTTTATATTTTACTGGTAACTCGATTGAGCTTAGAAAGGAATAACTGTTTAATAACATCTGAAGAATGCTACAAAGTCAAAGGGAAGAACCTGAATCATTTTTTGCTCCAAAGACGCCATTTGGACCAAACTGCCAAGTTTTTTTTACCACGTTTACCCAGATATTGGCTGCACCGGTAGCTAAAAGTTGGGAGAAATTTATGGAGCTCAGGAACCATTTTTATCATTGCTATGCTGTTCTCATTTTTACTTTAATATGAGATTATCTTTCATTTAGTTTTTAAATATATTTGTTTAAATATATTTTACATATATTTTAAATATATTTGAAGAGGCAGGCTATATATTTCCAGGGTTCAAAAATCAAAACTATGTAAAAACGTCTTCACTTCTCCCCATCCACCTTTTTCTCTTTCTATTCCCATTAGTAACCACTTTTATTCATTATTTTTTTTGTGTAACTTTCCAGTGGTCTTTTTATGCAAAAAAAGTGAATATATATTCCCTCCTTCCACCTTCTTACACAAAAGTTAAACCACTTTATACACTGTTCTCAATCTTGTATTCTCCAGTATCTCTTAGAGGTCTTTTGCTATTGATACATAGAGAACTGCCTTAATCTCTTTTATAGTTTTGCAGTATTCCATTATATAAATGCATCATGGTTTATTCAGTCCCGATTGATAAACAATTTTTTTCATTTCAAACAATATTACAGTGAACAACCTTATATATAAATCATTTCATAGATGTGCAAGTTTATCTGCAGGATAAATTCTCAGAAATAAAATTATTGATCAAAGGGTTATATGCATCTTGAATTTTGAAAAGTTTTGCCAAATTGATCTCGACAGGAGTTGGATCAATTAGCAGCTCCATTGGCATATATAAAAGTACCTTTTTACCCAAGCCTCAACTATAAAATAGTGCTTGGTTAAGCTTTTGGATTTTTGCCAATTGTATTGGTAAAAGACGGTATCTCGGTATAGTTTTAGTTTGCATTTTTAAAATTATAAGTGATGTCAACCATCTTTTTTAATATGTTTAATGTCATTAGCGTTTATTTTTCCATAAGGTGTCTGTTCATCTCCTTAGCCTTTTCTTTCTATTGGGTTGTTAGTCTTTCTCTTATGTATTTCTTGCTATTTATACATTAAGATGATAATCCTTTTATCTATGTGAGCTGCATAAGTTTTTCCCACTTTTAAAAATTACTTATGGATTTTTTGGCCATACTGAAGTTTGTTTGTAAATATAATCAGATTTACTAATCTTTTCTATGTAGCTTCTAGATAATGAGTTATAGGTAAAAAGTCCTTTCTTATGCCAAGATTATAAAGAAATTTACTAATGTTTTCTTTTAGTACTTTTATAATTTCATTTTTTATATTGAAAGATGTGGTTCATTGAATGAGAATTTTAATCCAGAAGATATTTTAAGGGTAAAAGAGGATCTGAGGAAAAAGAAACCATACTGTTCTCAGAACTTGATAAGCTGTGGTGGACCTACTATAATTTGCATAGTACACTAAATCTCATCTCTTTCTGCCAGTAGAATACAATACAATTACAACGAAAATGAACAATCTGGATTTTAAAAATAAGAACAACCATGTTCACCCCTTTAAGTTATTCACCTTTCCTCTTTCTGTGTTGCTCTTTATTTATTTGTTTGCTTATATCTGTGAGAAGGCCATGTGCTAGCAGAAAGAGCATAAGTTAATAACATTATTTATTGGTACAAATTCTAGGACTCTATTCAATTCAGCACTTAAATCTCACTGGTAGTAAAATATAAACTAACATTAAATAGTGCATAGAATATAGATGGCCCTTAGAGTCAGAAGCTCTGAATTCATCTGCTGTACTCCAGAGTATCTCTCTCTCTGCCATGATTTCCCTTTGTATAAAATAGAGAGAATGAGATTGTTACTTCAGTAACAGGAAGAAAAAATACATACTTTTAATTTAAAAGTGCTTTGAGTTTTATAGAAAATTCGTCCGTGACATAATTAGCTGATGATATTTTCAAATTATATAGCATATGAGTTTTTGGGGGGAGTTTTATACAGAAGCCTTTTTTCCCCCATATACCAGTTAATATGTGCTTACCTTCCTCTATATTTTGTCTTCAGTTTCAAAAGCAGTCTTTCAATAGGTATCTCTTCTACATGCTGGAGATACAACAGTGAGCAAAACAGGCACATTCAAATAATCCTTGTTTTCAAAGACCTAACATTTGGAGAGGAGAGGCAGAAAGTAAACAAATACATACATAAAAACAAAGCATATCAGAAGTCAGTAAGTCCACTAGAGAACAATAAAGAGGGAGCATAACAGAAGGTGCTGGGAAACACCTTCTATCAAAGAATCCTAAACAGTTAGGAGTGAGCCTTAAAAGATGTGTAAGGAGATCTCAGAGTTCCACGTATACTATAATGACTTTCTGTATCATAGGGAGAACCTGAACTAGACATATATAAGTAACCAATCACTTATGAACAATTTGGCTTTATTCAAAATCAAATGACAGCTTATGTCAAACTTTCTACAGACATCTCACATGTGCTTGGGATACTCACCGCTCTCATCTCAGCCAGCCTCAGTGTCAGCCTTTAGGTAACTCTATAGAACTTGTTATTGAGAATGAAGGGCCAATGCTAGTGTGATTAGGAACTAGTGAGATTCTTGTTCAAATCATGTGAGATGATTAACTTCAATAGATGCAGCATGATAATCTCAGCTGGAGGAGGACTCATTAAATATGAGGACCTTTTCTCTACCACTGATCTAACGTATCCCCTGTGGAGCCTAAAGACCAGAGGTTTGGTGGATTATAATACTCATTACTTAAATTATGAAAGCTAGAGAGTTGTTGACTGTGCTTTCCTCAAACCTAGATTATTGACAGAGTAATATTCCTTGGTTGGCACTCGAACTCTCATGTGATCTAACCCTAATTTACCTTCTCAGTTTTATTTTTACTACTCTCTTTCACAAACCAAATAATCTGCTTTTCCCAACGTGTGATGACCTTTTTGTTCATGCAGTTTATTCTGCTCGAAATGATTTCTCCTTGCTCTCTATACTTTGAAATCCCAAGTATCCTTCAATACCTAGTTTAAAACATCCTCAATATGCAATCTTCTTCCTTAGCCATTTCTTTAGGCCATAACTCATCTCTGTTTTATCTAGCTATTTATCTATTATCTGTCTATATATTTAGCTATCTATTAATCATCTATCATCTATTTATTTGCCCTTTTCTGAGATACTTAATATTTATTGTATAATGAATACATGAATAAATTAGATTTCTTATCTTTAGAAATTCAAGAAAGATATAAGCTGAGAAATAAAGGACGGATATGGGAATATGGGCAAACAGTGAAATAGAGATAGTTTTGAGTAGATTCTATCGTCTGCTTACAGCAAAATATTAAATATAATGTAAATGCACCTTGTTTGAATTGTTCTAGAACTAGAGAGTTTTGTCTTAAGGACTCCCAGGCTGCTGCCATGTGCGAGATAATCTGGAAGAAGGTCTCTTTTTAGAATTTATGAAGAGTACTTCTGAGCTGATGTGTTCAAGCTATATCATAAGGGTGTAGACTGTGCTGACCTCTCTCACTTGATACCTGTTGGCATGCTGAGGTCGGCTCTTACTTCCTACCTGAGCTCTAAAGATAAGAAAGCTAACACAGTTAATAAGGCTTTTGTGCCCCTCATTAGTTGAATCTGGTATTTTCAAACATAACTGTTTTTCTTGAGGTCTGCGCAGCAGATGGCTTATTTTAAAAATTCCATTCTTTCTGAATATTTTCCATAAGTAAAAGGATGTCCCTAGAGAAAAAAAAAAAAACTAAGGCATTAATTTAAGAGTAAGTCCCAGTACCTCAAGAAAAGGCAAGCAACAAAATGCAGCAGGTTGTTAGTATGAAGTGAATTGTGTAAATATATAGCTTGGCCTCAGTTAGTAACATGATATACTTATATCTGATGAGACTGGAGGGAGAAAATAGCACTTTAAGCCCAGAGTTGGGTTTAGTTATGAGTTGAAGGTGAAGTTCGTACTATTTAAAGTTTCATTTTATTTATAGGCCTCACTAGTGAGTGTAGGGTTTCCAAGAAAGTAGAATACATATTTTCTAACTCAGAGCCTTTCAATGTAATGAATATGAGGAAGTTAATGCAAGTATTATTAATAATATGATGGAAACCTGTAACCAAACATCCAGAGTAAATAGAGCACAGTGAATTTATCTGATTGAGAATCTCACATTAAAGGAATTTCTAACTATTTTATATCATAATGTGTGGGATAAGGCCTTCAAGTGAAGTATCATCATTGCAAATAAATTCCACTAGACTTTGTAACCAGATAAAAGAAAAAGAAAGCAATCATCTCTGGAAACTGCTGTAGTACACTCAGGAATTTTCAGACCAAGGAGCCTGAGGAGAGAGAGGTAAGAGGATCTAGAATGTGTTACCAACCCACAGAGTGCTCCCAGTAAATCTGTAGACCCAGCCTCCACCTGAACCCCTGCCTTACATCAGGTCTTCATCTCAATCTGTTGGGAATCCTTCTCTGAGATTTTATAGTGTAATTGCTCTTTGATTTGACAACAGAAGTTAAGCCTATACCTTTTCATAATCACCTTATCCAGAACATATCCATTATGCAAAGGAAGGAAACTTGTAGAGCAATAATGGTGTTTTATTTTAGTTGTACTAGATGCTTTCACTTATATTATCTCAACTGGTCCTCAAGATAAACCTCTGTGATGGGTGCTGTCCATTTTAGAGGTGAGGAAAATGAAGTCTTAGATAAATTTTATAACATTTTATTTGGAATCTTATGTGCTCGCTCGCTCTCTTTCTCTTCCCACTCCCCTTCACCCCCCATAGTATTAGAAAAATAAGAAAGCTCTGGACATGGTTTGGACCTCTTAGTACAGTCATGTAACCCTAATCTAGATAATAATCTTAAGGAAGATTTGGAATGAGTCTGATGTAGATTTCTTCGTCTACTTCTTAGTAGATTTGTGACATTGGGCAAGTTTTTCAACATTTCTATGCCTGGGTTTTCTCATCTATAAAATGGGAATAACAGCAACAATAATAATAGAGGTATTTTTGGAATTAAATGCAAATAATGTAAGTAAACTGCCCAACCTATAGAAAGCAACCAATAAGAGTTAGCTATAAAAATTATTATTGTCATTATTATCTTCTTTTCAATAACAGCAACAACAAAGGTAGGAAAATTCTTTAATTTGCCAAAAGGCAAATAAGATACTTAAAAGATGAACAGTTATACCAAGGTATTTTGCATGAAAGAGAAGGTTCATACCCTTCTTCAGAAAATGATCCTCAGCAAAGAAAATATCAAAAGGTATTATAATTAATAGGTCAGTTGCTTAAAATATCACACCAAGTATATCACCTTTCTGTGTTTTTCCTTCAACTTTATTAGGCTTTGAAGAAGTTCTAAGACAGAGCTCCTTACAGGGAAGCATCTCTGTGCATTCAGAAGAGAAGAACATTTCTGAGTCCTCACGAAACTATTTCAGTATGTATACTATAATAATTGTGGAGCATGAGGCCACTGTTGCCTTCAACTCCATGGCTTCCATCATGAAATGCCATGTACTATTATGAAATAGCACAGAGATCATGTTTTTCAGGGGGCAATAGCAGATGAATAAAGAACCTGTGTAATTTAGGGAGGTGTCACATATAGCATGCTATTTCAACAATGTCCTGGCAACTAAAAACGGTGTGGTGGTGAAGGTGTCTAAGAAGGTATATAGCAGAACAAATGACACATAAAGCTGTTTTGGGTCCCCCCCCGTTAAGGGAATGTAAAGGATCTTTCTTACTTACACTGTACAAAGCAGAAGAGACTTTGCAAACTGGACACAACGCAGCAAAAATTCGACAGTGGTTATTGTTGGGTCAGAGAATTACAAGGCTGTTTGTTGATATACTTCATGCTTTTTTAGTGTTTTCAAGTTTCTTGTAACTAACATGAATTACTATTACATAATTATTTTGAAGATGCTTCCGTTTTGAAATATGATATATTAAATTTTCCAGTATATAAAAAAATGAAGAGAAAAAAATTCCTCATAACCTTACCACTCGGATATCCCTATTGGCATTATATTTTAAACATGTTTGAAGAATTCAAACAGAATAGAAAAATATGTAATTAGAAGTAAAATTCTCCATCTTATTTTCCCCAAATACATCAAAAGTATCTTACATATACTTCCAGAAGAAAATGTTTGTGTATATGCCTATCTATCATAAATATGTGTATATATGTATACTAATTTTCTTTATACAAGAGGGATTGAGCATATATAATGTCATATCCTGTCATATAGCACATTTAAGTCTATTTTTTTTTTTAGCAACTTTACAGTATTTTCTGTAGGGTGTATAACACAGTTTGTGTTAACCAATCACTGAATATTTGGTGAACACTATTACTTATATAATGAAGGAAATTTTAATAATCTTTATTAAGTGTCTTCTATACCTATGTCTAAAGTAAGCCAAAACCTCTCTGCTTATTATATGGTTACAGGCAAAAATCAGTATATTTATGTGTATGTATGTGAAAGTTAGAGAAGATTTCCTTGAACCTTAATTTTACAGTATAAAAATTTTACAGTCTAAAATGACAGAATGGCCACAGGCAAAGTGGATAATGTCTCTTTGTGATCCTGGCTGAATTGTGGCCTCACATGGAAGTTGGCTTCCTTCTTGAGAGTTTTAATGCAGTCACTGATTACAGTGTCTGAGATTTTACTGCAATTT
The DNA here is from genome assembly GCF_000001405.40 of Homo sapiens. Taxonomy (NCBI): domain Eukaryota; kingdom Metazoa; phylum Chordata; class Mammalia; order Primates; family Hominidae; genus Homo; species Homo sapiens. Next base: position 114,597,994 of record NC_000003.12, on the reverse strand, counting down.
CCATTTGAGTTAAAACTGATTTTGTCTTCAAAATAAAAGCCTTTAAAGACAGGGAAAATAATTATTTTTCCCATGGCAGGAAATCTAAATCCTTTCATTTTATCTCCTAACATAAAAAAGAAAAGTACTAAGAAATTACTGAAAAGTTGATGCAAAAACAAAACCTCTATTGAATATTTGAGCTATGGAACTTTATTCTCCAAGTATATACCTGCTAAAGTCCCATGTATCCAAAACAGAGAGAGCCAGATGTAGAAAAATAACTTACACCAAGGCTTTTTGTGATGCTAGTAAAAAGGCAGCTAGGGCTTTGTGAAACCATGTTGCTGCAGGTTAAAAACCAAAACAGAAAACTTACCCATGTGCTTTTGAATTGGAAGAAGAATTTTGTTTGTGTGCCTTGGCATGATCGCTTTATGTAAAACGTGGAGATTGTACAACTCTAGTATAGAACAGTAAATGCACAAACAAGCCATATTCTAACCTTGAAAGTGTGACTGCTTTCAATGGCACAGTGTATCAAGGTCAAGAGAAGCTGCCCTCAGCAGATGGAAAACTTTCAAAGTAAAAAAGCTTCCTTTACGTTTAAAATATATTGAGTTACACATGATTTCTAAGGAATACTTGGTCGTTCTAGTTATAACCATGGCTCACTTTTGTTATCATGTGTCAAGTAACTGACTCGTATATTTTCCTGGCAGATGTTTTCTGTGGAAAGGCAGGAAAAGAGAGGTGAAGGAAGAAGGCATCCCTTAATATCGTGCAATAAACCCACTAGGGGTCACTACTTTCAGTAGGACTGTGGAGAAGAAAATGTCAGAGGACACATTTGTGTCTTGGCATAAAATAGATTTCATGACACCTTGACTTTTCACCTTTTATGCATATGGAGAACTGCTTAGAAGGCTCCAATGCTTATCTGTGCCTGTGGGCCTTTATATATATATATATTTTTTTAATTTGCTTTAGGATTGAGTCGGGAAGTATTTATATTTGAACTGTATTTTGCTCAGAAATAGTTTGTTGAAGCTATTCTGTAACATGTATCTCCCTTAACTTTTAAAATACCATGCAATGAAATGATTAAAAGTGTTTGAGTGCTTTGGTAATGCAATGCATTCAGAAGGCTTGATCTCACATCCTGTGTAAGGAGTTATGATTGAGCTTTAGAGATGAGATGCCACATGCTTTCATGTCAGTGTTATGGAAGTGATTTTCTTCTTTCTTGTTTCTTTCCTGCCTCTCATTCTGTGTTCTTTCTCTCCTCTTGCTCTTCCTCTCTCTCAGTTTCATGAAAATTCATTTATCTGTGACATTTAAAGACTCTGTCTGAGAGGTGTCTGGAGCTGTGGCCGGCTGTGTACATCAATAGTTTCTTAGAATCTGGCACTCTGTCAATATTTGGGGGCCTCGATAACCGCACTTAAATGCAGAGCCTGCCAGCCATCATGCTCTTAGTGAATGAATGGATATTAGCATGTCAAATCCTTTCACAACTGGCAACACTTGGTAGACAATATATAGGCATCTTGCATTTGCCTTCTACACCTTTCTGTTTGCCTGCCTCATTTATATGATGTCATGTTTCCCATTACGTATAAAAATAGGAATCTTCAAAAAGCAGTATTATAAAAATTGAAGTAAATGACATCATTGTGCATTCTAAGTTTGGTGGGTTTTATAGTATACATGGTGATGGCATATAGGCAGTACTTTTTAAGATTATATTCTAGGTAGTTTTCGTTTGTTTGATTTTGTTTGTATTTTTGCTTAGGTTATGATATTTGGGCCAAAATTGTTGTTGCTGTTTTATAGTAGAAATATATATATGGCTCTAAGGCCATTGAGACCTTCTAGGTGAAGTCTCTATAGCTTCTGTGTGAGCCTCGTGTTAGAGAAATTTGGCTACACAAAGAAAAAATATTACTGTGTTGGAGAGATAAGGTTGTTCTCTGAAACAAAAACTATTTACATCTTCAAACGTTTCTCAGTTGTCCTCCCTACTCTATCAGTTAAATGTCCCATTTATAAATTGAATAATTGAAGCATTATTATGTCAACTTTCCCATGAACTGCCCTAGATGATAGCATATTGGACTTTCAAGGTCTACAAGGGAGACCAGTATTACAGCAACATGTTTGTTATTGGACTGCTGTGAGCTCTTAACCCATGTGTAACCTTGACCGTATCTTGTGACAAGAATACATCAGGAATATGAACTCTAAAGGAAGGAATGGGAAAGATGAGAGCTTACCAAATACCAGTCTTATCTTAGAGATCTGTGTCCAACCTAGGATAAGCATGCAAGACTTTGCCCAGTTTTTAGTCATGCTCAGATCAAGTAACCCAGGTTTCCAGATATCCAAGGGAATACCCTGGAACTCTTAATGGTCCTTGGAGGAATCATTAAATGGCCTCTTCCCTGGACTCATTGAACCAGCAGTAACTCCTAAGTTGGATGGATCTCAATCTTGATTTCAATTCAGGTCTCTAACATTTGAGTACTTGCTTTTCATGTAGGTGCTCAGGATCTGCTATATACCATAGATTTTAAGGTGACTTGTTGAGACTGAGAAAAGAAATGTCTAACGAACAGTATTAATGCAGTCTTAATACAACTCAGGACCTATGTGACCTTTAGTTTCTCATCAGAAAGGGAAATTTACATGTTATTGCCTCATAATTATGAGCCAGCCTTTTGTAGGGCTAACAGTGCATTTGACCAGCTATAAATGTGGCCTCCAGATATTATGTCATATTTATAGAAGTTATTTTTTAAGTCCAATCAGTCATTGCCTTTGGTAGAAGGAAGTTCCCTTTGGAGTGTTGTACTAAACTAGGCAGCATGGATGGACAAATGAATTTCCCAAGGGCTTCAACTACTAGAAATCATCTGGTAATATAAGGGCTGACCCCAAAGTTTTTTAAATGAAAAAAGAAGCATGAAGGTTGAAAGAATAAGAAAAAGGAAAATATTATATAAGTATAAATGGATTTATGACATGGCCTGCATCAAGAGATTTAGTATTGTTTTCCTAATTCTTATACATTAGACTAACATGCACAGCTTCTAATGAAGAAACACAAATGCTCTCCTGCCCCTATCTATAGTTAGATCCGTTTTTGTGGTCCCAGAATGAAGGCAAATAAAACATAACATACACAGCATTAACCATAATTTTTTACACGGCCAAAACTTCACCTCAAGATATAATAGAGAACATTTTTGGTATTTTCCATGGGTGGCTTAGAAACATGCCTTTATTATTGTCAATAAGACTTACCTGCTAGACTAAGACCTTACCCTCTTTTTGCTGTGGATTCAGAATTTTATGACTATACATTATCTGTTCTTTATTATATACTGTTTGTTTTATGCTAGACACTAATCCTTTCTGGAGCAGAGGAAGAAACAGGAATGAGATAAGAACATAGAATTAGCCTGCAGAATATATTTTAATAATATATTGGGAGGCCGAGGTGGGCGGATCACAAGGTCAGGAGATCGAGACCATCTTGGCCAACATAGTGAAACCCCGTCTCTACTAAAATACAAAAAATTAGCCCGGTGTAGTGACATGTGCCTGTAATCCCAGCTACATGGGAGGCTGAGGCAGGGGAATCACTTGAACCCGGGCGGCGGAGGTTGCAGTGAGCTGAGATCGCACCACTGCACTCCAGCCTGGTGACAGAGCAAGACTCTATCTCAAAAAAAAAAAAAAAAAAAGAATATGAGAAATTATGTTTGCTTGTAGATCACTATAGACACACTTTGGAACTACATTTTAATTTATGGGTTGCAATTTAACCATCTCTTTTCAATTAATACTAAAATGTTTTTTGCCTAAAGTAGGCAAGATTTGGATTCTTCTTCTTTAGAAATCCTAGCAACTTCCTCAGCTTTCTTTAGTATATACTTTGTCTACTAATCACATAGTAAAGTGAGAGAAATGAGAACAGTGGGACATATGTGTTGATGGAATATGCCTGATTCTAACTCAGCAAGGAAGGCACATGTATTGACTTTAGCCTTGACTACTCCTACTAAAAAAGAAGTAGCTGTCTGACTGTCTGGCAGGAAATCAACAGAAAACTTGAAGGAGTTGTTTAAAAGGTCTACCTTAACACAATGTAAAATCTACTATATTACGGAGATGAGTTTTGTTGATGTTGCTGTGATGCCTAATGATAGGCACCACTCAACAGAGAGACCCACACCCTTGCTCCAAAAGACACTAGAGGTAAACAGACTATCTATGACCAGTTATATGTTTTTAGTCACAGAGACACCTTTATTCCAAAATCTCCTAGGCCAGGCGCAGTGGCTCACACCTGTAATCCCAGCACTTTGGGAGGCCAAGGTGGGTGGATCACCAGAGGTCGAGAGATCGAGACCAGCCTGACCAACGTGGACAAACCCTGTCTCTACTAAAAATACAAAATTAGCCATGTGTGGTGGCGCATGCCTGTAATCCCAGCTACTCAGGAGGCTGAGGCAAGAGAATCGCTTAAACCCCAGAGGCAGAGATTGCGGTGAGCCGAGATCACGCCATTGCACTCCAGCCTGGGCCACAAGAGCGACACTCCGTCTCAAAAAAAAAAAAAAAAAGAAAAGAAAAAAGAACAAAAAAATCTCTCCCTCTCCCCTATTTTTGGGCCAATAAATTGTCATTCTTCTTTTTAGTTTATGAATTTATAGTGATTCCCACCCCGCCTTATTGAAAAATCTACTTGCCAACTTTCATCTCAAAACGACCCCAAGTAAGAGGTGTTATCACTAATAAAAGAACGCTTTTTAATACCTCAAAATATCTACTTTTTTAGAAGAGGTTGACACTGAATTTTCAATTCACATATCCCAGGGGACAGTGTCGTTGTTCCTTTTGGAAAAATAAGCCTTTGAGATAGCTGTACATGTCTCCATAATGAAAATCCTCTTTTACTCAATAATTATAAAACATACACTTTTCAGTTTTTCCCTATGTCATAGTGGCCTGGAAGCTACCTATTTAAACAGCCGTCATGGACCCAGCAACCATTTATATGCCCAGAAGTAATGAATGTTGATTTATGTATGTGAATCTGTTCAAATTATATACTAAGAGTAGAATAGATTGTGAATGTATAAGAATAGACAAGGCAGGTAGAAAATGTATAATATAGATTTTTATAGAATAAAATATTATATAAACAAAACACTGGGCAAAAATGGGGAAAAGATTGGACAAAAGAATAGATTAGAATAAGTAATCTCTTTAGTGGAAGGTTCTCTATAAACTTAATAGATAAGCCACTTATTAAAAACATTGTTATGTTTGTATTCAACGAAATTTAAAAGTAAGTTAGTATAGAAATTCAGACTCTTGCACAAATGGTGCTCTATGGCTGATCACCCAGGAAGATTGCCATTATACTTGAGTTCAGCTTACTAGTTTGTGGTTGATGATACTTTCACATTTACCTTCATTGTCTCTTTTCTGCCAAAAGGAAACTCACTATTTGGGAAAATGCACTTAAATACAACCATTTTTAATAATTCTATCCTGCAAGTTATAGACATAGAACTCTAACTTTTATTCCACGAAATATCCTAGGAGAGACCTAATGAAATCGATTTGCCCATCGTTTGATGATACCAGGACACAACGCCTTGATAATATATTATCTTCTTTCTTAGCCCAATGTAAGTTTTGCTGAACTAAGGCAAAGCTAGTATTATGATATAACTCCACGTAACCAGCAGAGCCTTTAATTCTGTCTCAAATGACCAAAAAATAAAAAATTCTAACCTATTTATTTTGTGGCCAGCACTTCAGAATTCTCAGGAAATGATTAGTAGGAGATGAGACTCAGTATTGAGAGATATAGAAGTGACATGCTATTGAGGTCGGTCCTGGATTCTGGCTTGATAATCTAGACTACATACATGTTTTCCAATATTGGCAAATTCAGTGTATTCTAAATTATTGTTAGAGGCATTTCAAAACCTCAAAATGAAATTAATTTTCATTTAAAATTATATTTTAAGGAATAGGCAAGGAAGAGTGATGCAAAAATCACATTAACAACAGGATACCAGAACTTCTAAATGGTTGCAAATCATTATTTTAGATGTTGAGGACAAGAAATGCATGCTTTCAAAGTGCAATGCTTTTACGTACAGTGTCCAAATAACAACAATTTGAGAGATAAGTATAACTAACCACTTCAGAGGGAGGACTGAAATGAACACTCAGTAAAACTGGGAATAAACAAAACGTTGTTAAATAAAAGTTATTGTTAGTTTTCTTCAGGAGAGAAAGCAGACCTCAAAAGTGGCATTTCATCCACTACTTCTTCATCACTTGTATAGAGAATTCCATATAGCTGTATTAGTTCACCTATACTAATAGCTGGTGAGCTAGCACCAAACACCTGAGCATGCTTATCCATGTTTCTTCTTTTGTGTGGGATTGTCTTCTTTTTTCCACATATTTAAGACTCTGAAATAATAGACATGTAACTTTGTTTCTTTTGAATCTTATAAGTCTTATATTTTTCATTATCCGTGATGGTTTGGTAAATGTCATTGATGGACTGAAAATAAAGAATGACTTCCTCTGTGGGAAAAATAGCATCTAGAAGTAGATTATAGAAAGTTTATCAAGAGTGTGAAATGTCAAACTGAAATTTTAAAATAGCTATAATAGTGGAATGTATAAGAAGCATGCCAAATATAGATATTTCTCTGATTTCTTATGAGCATAGATTACATACTTATTCATGCTTGTTCTGATTTCAGATAATACTGAATACAAACATCTTAGAGAGACAGAATTATCAAACCCCTCCAAACAAATTTAAATTTAACATTTTGGAAAAAAATTCTCAAGGAAGAGTCAAAAACATTGACTTTTTTTATCTTGGAAAAAGGAATGTTAAGGTAGAGCGCTAATAGTAGCTGTTAAGCAAGTGATGAGAAGTGGGAAACAAGGCTTTCTCTCTTTTCTTCACTGAGGTCTGATAATGACAAAATATGCTGCAACAGAAAATCTTAAGGTTTGATAATGAGATAGGTTATTAATAGTGAGTGCTAAACACTGAAAGGGAAGTTGTGAGATTATCCTCTATGAAGCTCTTTAACCAGTATAGAGTCATATCTTTCTGGAATGGTCTGCATGTGTCAGCGAGAAGGGAAGAAATGACTTCTCTAAGTGGTTCACATTTTCCAGGCACTTTCTCCTTACCTTTCTTTTTCTTAAAGCCACAGTTACTCAGAAGCAAAAAAACTGCCAAAAGTTACCAGGACTTCCAAATGTGCTTGACGAGGGTGAAAGCAATAGAAATGCCACCAACATTTTAATGGAGATTAAAGGATCACTCTTAAATTACCATCATTTCCTATAATAACTCATTTACTACAAACTTGAAATTGTGGATACAGCTGCTGAAATTTTTATTTATTTATTTATTTTTATTTTTGTTTATTTTTTATTTATTTTTATTTTTTATTAAATAAATTAATAAATAAATTTATTTATTTATTTTTATTTTTTGAGACGGAGTCTCAGTCTTTCGCCCAGGCTGCAGGCTGGAGTGCAGTGGCACCATCTCAGCTTCACTGCAACCTCCGCCTCCCAAGTTCAAGCGATTCACTTGCCTCAGCCTCCTGCTGGGATAACAGGTGCCCACCATCATGACTGGCTAATTTTTGTATTTTTAGTAGAGACGGGGTTTCACCATGTTGGCCGTTCTTGGTCTCAAACTCCTGACCTCAGGTGATCCGCCCGCCTCGCCCTCCCAAAATGCTGGGATTACAAGCGTGAGCCTTCGCACACGGCCTGAAACAATTTATAATACTTGTGAAGAAAGCGATTAAAGCTTATTGTTCAGTGCTTTGTTAAAAAAATATGCAGTAGACTTTTAGTGGAAAATTTATCACATTTCACTTTCTGTTTGTTGCTGTCAATATTAAAAGCAAACCCATTACCAATATACTCAGACCATTTCCTTCCTATGGCATTAAGTGAAATATTTTTGATTCATCTCCAAAAATATGAAGTTAACATGTGTTGGTGGTATTTGCTATGAAATAAGGGGAGAGGTCCACAGAATGTAATTATGGAAAAATATACCATCAATTCAAACACATACACATGCATATAGGCATATGCATGTGCGTCAGTACATATTTACCCCCAGGTCTTTATACTTACAAGCACTTTTCTAGGAACTGAAGCTGCATAGGTAAAAATATGTTTCTGTTGCTAAAGAGTGTTCACAGGTTGGTGGGAAAAATAGACATGAAAGTTTTTATGCAAAAAGATGGGTATTGAAGTAAAAGTATATGCAAGGTGTTATGTAAGTTTGCCTGGGAAAGTTCTTGTTTAAGTCTGTAGTCTTGGTATAATTATTTATAAGGCCCTTTCACTGTCAAAAGTGTCCCTGCTTGGACAATAAATTAAATGGTCAATCTATAAATAGCCATATCAATCAAAGATGCCTGAGGTTGTCAGGAAAGATTTTCCACAGAATAGGACAGAAAATCAAAGAGATTAAGAATGCTTTGCCACCAGTACTACCTGCATCCAAATGGAAATGAGAAATGGGTGTGACTGGCTTTTATTTCTCCCCGGCTTGTCAGAGGGATAGAGTGGGAATTTAAATCATGTTGGGTGAGGAGAAAGGGACAAGGCAGGACAATCTAAACCCAGTTGTTGGTATGTAATACACACAAGGGTTGTCATTAAATGAGTCATTAAACTAATAATTTTCTGAAGCTCTGAACTGAAATTTAGGGTGAGAAAGAACTAGACGCACTGGGGGGATTTTAGAAAGATAGATTATGATATGGTTTGGCTGTGTCCTCACCCAAATCTCATCTTGAATTGTAGTTCCCATAATCTTCATGTGTCGTGGGAGGGACCTGGTGAGAAGTAATTGAATCATGGAAGCAGTTACTCCCATGATTTTCTCGTGATGGTGAGTGAGTTCTCATGAGATCTGATGGTTTTATAAGGGGCTTTTCCCCCTTTGCTCAGCACTCATTCTCTCTCCTGTTGCCCGGTGAAGAGGTGCCTTCTGCTATGATTGTAAGTTTCCTGAGGCTTCCCCAGCCATGCGAAACTGAGTCATATAAACTTCTTTTCTTTATAAATTACCCAGTCTTGGGTATTTCTTCATAGCAGCATGAGAACAGACTAATATGGATTAAGATTCAGCATAAGGAAGAACAGAACAGAAAGAAGTATCCTACAGTGGAGAGTTCCGTGCCCTGGTGGTATGCAGCAGAGACTGAATGATCACTGTGAGCACCAGATTAAGACCCAGACCATGGGTTGTTTAATGTTCTTTACCATATTTTTGCCCTGGGATCTTAGGATTCTTCAGGCATGGGGATTTTTCAGTAGCTATTAAGAATTCTGTGTTTGGGAGACATCAAGAAGTTAAAAAAAATTGGAAATACTATAAGAAAAAATTTTACATAAGCTAAAACCACTCTTGTGACCCACTCTGAGCATACACTAAAAGAGACCAGGGAATATAATGCAGATCTCACTGAGTTTATTATTTGCCACCCATCAAGGAAAGGAGCCATTCCACACATAATGTTCAGGAGACATTCCTCACTCAGGTTTCCACTGGTTGGACACATATTCATTTTAAGACTGAGTAACTGCAAATGCTTGCTTACCAGCTTGATTTGCATAGCTCTGAGTTACATACGAATGGGACTCATGGCAAAGCTATCATTAAAGAGAAACAAAGCAGAAGACCGAACAAAGGATACATTCTGTGCAAAGTTTGAAGTTGAGACTGTTTCAGTGATCCTTGTCATGGTAAGAAAGCTGTCCGCCCCTTCCCCCACCTAAAACAGAATAGCAGACAAGTGACAAAAGAAGGCCCCCTGGAAGTAATATGGGAGCAAAGAGTAGGATGAACTAAAGGCTATACACATGAAGAGAGAGAAAGGAATTGTCATGGACACAAGGAGATGCCGCCAAACACCCTCCATTCATAGCACGGAGATATGTGATTAGGTTAGAATCACTTACCTCTTCCCCAGTGCATTAAAGTAGGAATAGGTCAGGCCTGGAGAAAGGAATGACATCTTGATGAAACTCAGCTTTCTCAGAGGCCTAACAAGGATGGCAATACAGATAGAGCTAGAATCTTCTCACTGGCCCTTTTGTATCAAATTAGTGAATTCCTGTATTTCCAGACTGAAATGTTTTCCAGTAAGCAAGAGAGAAAAGGCTTCTGGAGGCAGTGGAAATGACTTTCGTTCTTCTATGGTTAAGAGTACATGGGCTTTGGAACAATGGAAAACTGGTTTCAAATCTCTGCAGCTTACATATTTATGGTGTGAAGTACTTAACTCCCTACATTTTAGTTCTCACATCTGAAAAAATATTGAGCATGCATATGCCATAGAATTATTGTAATGATTAAATTACACATGTAAATTGTATAATACACATAGTGTCTGGCACAGGATCATTCACAATAAAATTTTTATTCAATGAGTACTATTATCGCTTTCTGTAACATTCTCTAGTAGCCCTTTCTAAGCTCTGCTTCACTTTACATCATTACTTTTGTCTAGTCCTTGACATTCCACCTGTTCCGGCTTTGACTTGCTTCCCCAGATAGTGTACATCTGTGTCTGCTTCAAAGCCTCATTCTGTTATGTTCTTTAAGAGTTATACCTAGAATTGGGCCAGGCACGGTGGCTCACACCTGTAATCCCAGCACTTTGAGAGGCCGAGGTGGGCAGATCACCTGTAGTCAGGAGTTCGAGACCAGCCTGTCCAACATGGTGAAACCCCGTCTCTACTAAAAATACAAAAATTAGCCGGGTGTGGTGGTGGGTGCCTGTAGTCCCAGCTGCTCAGGAGGCTGAGGCAGGAGAATCGCTTGAACCCGGGAGATGGAGGTTGCCGTGAGCCAAGATCACACCATTGCACTCCAGCCTGGGTGACAAGAGTGAGACTTCATCTCAAAAAAAAAAAAAAAAAAAAAAAAGGGAGTTATACCTAGAGTTATGTATAAATTCAGTACCAACAATGGGCAAAAATGTAAAATTGTAGAAAGAATAAATGATGTTTAGAGAGTATCATTCTTGTTCTTGAGTCTGAAGGCACTCTTCATCTTTTGTAATATTGACCCTGAGACCATTTATGTCAGATGGAAAGGAACATGTGCTGTTATTTTCTACCTTCGTCCCAGGAGGTTAAAATGACTTGAAGAAACTCAGCAACTTCAGGTGAAGGACCTAATGAGAGGATCTTGAATTCTTGATCTCAAATCTGCCAGGGTCTCCATTCACTATTAAAAAGTCAGCCTAGTGAGGATGGCCCTAGTTATTAATTTGATATTATATTACTTTATTTTACCACAGTTAAAATGTTCTCTGGATTAGTATTGACCCTATAGTTACCCACAAGGTATAGAGAGAAGTCAGTGGAAATTCTCTTCTCAACAGCTAAAGTGGTCCTTGTCACCAAAACAGTCATATGCTAAATCACATGTCAGTGTGACATCGCCAGGCCTTAGCTTCTCAGGATCTACTTGTTACAAGTGAGTTTATGTGGCTTGAAGCATATGGCCTTGATATATGATCCCAGAGCAAAAGGGCAAGGTATTTCAAGCTGGCCATAATTTTATTGTCTCTCACAGGCTTGCTTTGTAGTCATTCCAATAAACTAGATGGGAAATTTTTGATGCTCCAAGCTATCCAGTCTTCAGGACTTCATTTCATGATTCAGAGTCCAGCTAAACAACTCAAGAGTGCTTTTGTGTGACACTGACCACAGGAACAAATAATTGCTTAGTAATTCTCTTTGAGGTAGAAAATTCTAAACATGGAGGAACCATTTCCCCTTAATGGGAGCCAGAAATCCTCTAAGTGCTTGAAATGGCATTCACAAGTCTGAATGGTAAACAGATAAAAACAGGAGCGCACCAGTTGCACAAATGACTTGCTTGTCACAAACTTGTCATTGCAGTAATCTAACATTTCTTTCACAGAGCCCGATGGAAAGTATGGAACAAACAGGCCCTGCTGACGTTTTGGCTCTGCTAAGCCTTCCTCCGAGCTAAAGCATCTGCAGCATCTTCCTGTTCTAGACCCTTTATCTGCTGAAGTTAGCTGATACTGTACATGTCAGAGAAATGTTTGACTATTGCATTAACAAGTTGATGACAAGCAAGTTATTCCTGCAACTGAAATACTGCTGCTTTTAGCAGGCTGCCATTTTGACCTTCATTTTATTATGCAGAAGAACCCTAACAGAGCAGAGCACTGGGGAGAAACCAGTGTGGTTGCCCCAGGCCCATACAAAGACCACCTGCCTAGGGATTAGGTATAGTGGTACAGGGGGCATACCAGGCAGGTCCATTAGAAGTATGGAAGGGATTCCTTGTAAAACATAAATGTGAATACATTAGACGGTTTCAAAGATTGTTCTTGCAGGGGTAAAATGAACTGCACAGAAATAGATTTCTTCCTGCATCCTCTGAACCCCACACACATGTGCACATACGGCTGTGTATGCTTTATAGAATGATATGAGATGGGAAACTTAAATGAAAATTGTATATACCAGCTCTACACATAGTTTTTGTCAATTGTTGGAGTTCCTGTCATCAGTAGCTTCCCTTAACCTCCTCCTCACTCAGCATAATATCTGGAGTTATCTAAACCTAATCAGACCCATGCTCTTGTCCCCTCAAGAGCACTGTTATCTCCATTAGCCTCCTCATAGAAAATTTAAGCAGCCCTCTCTAGGACATCACCAGTTCATTTCCAACCTCAGCTGCCAGCAGGGAGTACTCCTACACTGTGTAACTTCAGCCTCTCGCCGTTCTGTTTGAGGAAACTTCCTCCCCTCAGGGACCCACACTTGGGGTTCCTCGAGTGTGTAGTCCAGAGGGTCCCAGCCTTTAACAGGAGCCTTGCCTGTAAGAGAAGCCTTGCCTATTGCCCCCTATGGTGTTTTGCCTTTGTTGATGCCATAGGTATATCAGCACTTGGAACAACAGAGAGTTTGCCCTAAGACTTTGGCCTTTTCATAAAACTGAGCTGCTCTTATTCACCAAGGTGTCAGCTGCCTTGTATTCTTTCTAGACGCTTCAGGTCTGTTAAGGGTACACTGATAGTGTTTTGTCTGATTTAAATATTGACGCAAAAAACTTGCATTCTCGTACTTATTTTCTGGCTGGTGCCCCAGGTACTTTCATTTTCAAAAGTTCTGTGTAAAAATGATAATCATTGTCCATCCATGAGAACCACATTTCTTGCCAAAGTGGTGATGAGGCTTAACTTTCTTTTAGACTTGGCAAATTGCACACATTACTGTCTCCAGGGTGAAATGTTTTACTCCCATCCCAAATATCTCTTGATGTAATCTATACCTTAGCTTTGTGGAACAACTACCTCAGAGGACAGGTGGGAAGGGTGTGAGAAGAGAGCCTTTTTTTTTTTTTAACAGAGTTAGGGATATTGTCCCTGGAAAAAGAGGTGAAGATAGTTTGAGGCAGCATTTAAAGTTTCTGCAAAAGGAAATACGTGAATGAACAATTTGAATTGTAAATGGAATTTCATCAGCTTTTTCTTTCTAAAGTTCCTAATAGGATTTCCATAATGATTTTGTGTTTTCCTTCTTAGTAGAACTTAAATGGCAAATAAATGATACACTATTTTTGATTTAGAAAAAAATAAAAATCTTTTCTGTGGGAGCTCTCTTTTTAAATACACATTAGGGGATAGATAATGGCAAACAAAAAAAAGTCTTTCTTCCTATTCAGATGGATAGCTATCAGTGTGTGTATGTCTTTTTAATATTTATTTATTTGCTTATTTGATCATTTATTTGTCTATTTATTGTAAGGAAATTAACAAAGGAAAGAAGAAAAACACCTCATGATAAATTAATCTCATTAGATACGTAGAATTTTAGGGCTAGAAAGGAGTTTGATGATCAAGCTATGACTTTATATCACACTCACTTTAGAAATGTGAATGTATGTGAATTTTGAGACCCAAAGATGTTTAATCAGATGAACCAAGATGCGCAATAGGATTGTGGCAGAGCTCGGCCTAAAACTTTCATTTCAGGCAATACTCCCTCAGAGATTACATTACATTTTTTAAAGCTTTATTTTAAACAAAGACAGTCTCATTTTAATAATTTGCACTGATGTGCTTAAATCTAATAGAACATTTGCTATTATAGTAACTGAGACCTCACATTGGTTACACCAACTAAGGAATATACATTTCAACAGTTTGAAGACATTTCTTTCTAAGCCGTTTCTTATTTGCATAGGGTAAGGAACCTTAGTTAGTTCAATTAATTTTTATCTTTTGTAAGATTTCAAAGAAACACTTGCACCGTTCCTATTTACCTAAAAACATGTTTTTTAAATGAATCTGTTTCTTTAATAAGTATTCACTTAAGTAGGTCATACTGTAACGTTCTTGGTGATAAAAAATCTTTTATCAGGATAAAAGAAATCTTATTTTTATTCCCACTTTTAGCCATGTTTGAGTTGGTCCTTGTAATTGTTGGTTTCAACAAAACACTAAGTCAAAAAATCAATGTTTGTGTTTATTTTTGTTTAATACATGAGAAAAAAGTCCATTGATCTTTTTGCAGTTATGATACATAAATACTGTATTTTTCACTTATGCGAAACTTAATTTTTGAGGGTTTCCTTTTTGTTTCATTTCTCTGTTTCACATTTTTCAAACATCTGTACCATGGTTAGTGGTTAGAGTAGCAGTGGCTGGCACTTTTCTTCCACAATGTGAGAGAAAGAAAAGTGACTGGAATAAAACTTTGCTTTTCATATGGTTGACTTGAAATGCAGCATTGAAAAGGTATCATCTCTTTCTTTTCTGAAACCAGAGGTGAAACCCGCCAGCCAATAGCAGTACTGATACCAAATCACCTGTTGATTCTGTTAATTCATGTAAGTAAAGTCTGGCAATGCATGCCTCACTTCATCAACTGAAAAACCTAAATGGATGATCTTTGTGCATTGGCAGCATCTGTCTATATCAACAATATATCCCTCTGGTCACTCACTTAAGGAAGCCTGAGATTCTATAGTCAGTCAAGAAGTGAATGAAAACTTTTGCTTTTGATTCAACAAAATAATCACTTTGTAGGCATGTTTGGCTGTGAAGTGCTTACTAATATTGGGCTCTATTATCAGAGATAGTGAAGAGAAGATGACACTAGTGCTTTCCTTTACCTCGATTAATTCTAGTTAGGAAAATCTATGGTGTTTGCCTTATACATTTTCTAATGTAAAATATTTAAAACACAGGCTGGGCATGGTGGCTCACGCCTATAATCCCGGCACTTTAGGAGGCCAAAGTGGGCAGATCACTTGAGGTTAGGAGTTCGAGACCAGCCTGGCCAACATGGCAGAACCCTGTCTCTACTAAAAATACAAAAATTAGCCAGGCATGATGGCACGTGCCTGTAAGCTACTCGGGAGGCTGAGGCAGGAGAATTGCTTGTACCCAGGAGGCGGAGGTTGTAGTGGGCTGAGATGGCACCATTGCACTCCAGCCTGGTGGACAGAGTGAGACTCTGTCTTTAAAAAAAAAAAAAAATTAAAACACATGGAAGTATAAAGGATAATATGAAATACAAGAATCCAGAACCCAGGTTAAACGAAGTTTAATAATTTGGAACATTTGTTTCTGAACCTATTTTTTATTATTTTATTATAGGTTACATACAGTGAATTAGACAAATTAAGTGTATACCTTGATGAGTATACATGTGACAACACCCAACCCAAGGTGCAGAATATTTATAATACCTAAGAAGAATCCTTTGTATGTGCCCCTTGAAGGTGAAATTTTCCAAAGTTTTAACAAAAGGTAAAGAACAAGCAAAACCACTGTAACCTCTATCATCATGAATTAGTTTTACATAAGCTATATATTTTGGTTTATATGAAATGTATTCTTCTGTATGTATTACTAAAATTTATTTATCAATTCTCTCATTGTTGGACATTATTTTAATTGTTTCCCAATCACAAACAAGACCACAGTTAACATTTTTATAGACATATATACATAGAAGTAGAAATGCTAAACTTTAAGAAATATGCATTTTGAACTTTACTAGGTATTGTAAAACCTCCCTCCAATGTATTTGTACCAATTTATATTCTCAGTAACAATCTATGAGAGCTTCTCCACATGCTTCACAACATTTGTGATGGTCAGACTTTTTAAAATTTTTGTCAGTCTGATCGGAATTGAATAATATCTCATTAACTTTTTTTTTTTTTTTAGTTGTAAGCCATTGGGATTTTCTCTTCTGTGTTGCCTAATTTGCATCTTTTGTCCATCTTTCTGTTGGGTTATTTGTTGTGCTGTTGTTATTTTGGAAGAGTTTTGTTTGGCTTGATTTGGTTTTTGGTATTAGTTGTTGCTGTTGTTGTAATATTCTGGATTTTCATATTTTGGGCCATAGAGATTACAAAGATTTTTTCCCAATTTGTAGGTGCCCTTTTAACTGTGGCTTTAGTAGTATTTGTTTTTATAAAGCTTTTAATATTAACTCAACTAGGCTTATTGATATTTTCCTTCATAATTTGTGCTTTTATGTCATTTAAGAAATCCTTTCACATGCCAAGGTCATTTACCTTTCTGTATTTTCTTCTAACAGTTTTAAAGATTTCCCATTTACATTTAGATCTCTAATCCTTCTGGAATTATTTTTGGTTCTGGTACCCTACATGCACCCTATTTTATTCTTTTTCCATATGGATAACCCAGTTATCCCAGCATTATTTAAAAAATTAGTCATTCTTTATTAACTAATTTATAATGCCATCTTTTGCCTATATCAAATCTGTTTATATGATCTTTATTTGATCCGATGGACTGTTTTTCTATCCTTGTACTAACACCATAACCCTTAATTACCATAGCTTTATAATATTCTTTTTACTTGGTAAGATAAGTCTCTCTACCTTGTTCCTTTTTAAGATTCTTTTAGCTCCCTTGGTCTTTTGCTATTCAATATGAGTTTTAGGGCTAGTTGGTCAAGTTTGGCAAAAGTCTTGCTGAATTTTATTTGTAATTACATTAACATTAGAAAATAATCTGGGGAGAATTGACATTTTTATAATGTGTCTTGCTGCCCAGTGACATACTATATCCCTCTATTTGTGATCATCTTCATATCCTATAATCATGTTTTAAAATTTCCATCATAAATTTCTTGAACCTATTTTGTAAAATTGTTCCTCATATAACTTAGATTCTTACATTATTATATTCATATCTGTTTTCCATTTCATTGTTTATTGGTTATTATTGTTATATATTCAGCAACTTTGCTGAGCTCTCTTACTACTTTGAATAACTAAACTGGTAAATTCTCTTAAGTTTTCTACAGCAACATGTATGTCAGCAGTAAATAATGACAGTCATTCTCTTAAATTCTAATTCTTAAATGTTCAATTTTTTCCTGTCATATTGCATTACTAAACCTCAGTATAGTGTGAATAGGATAGTCACATTAAGAATATCTATTCTGTTTCTTATTTTAATGGAAATGTTTTAGAAACATAACATTTGCTTGGGATTTTGAGAAATCGAAATTATTGTATTAAGGAAGTTCTTAATATGTTCCTAAACTATTTATAGTTTACTAAGTGTTTTTAATCAGAAATACTAGTTAAATTTTATCTAATGCATTTTCTGCATCAATAATATGATAAAATTTTCCACTACTATGTTAATATTTTATAAGATATTAATACATTTCCTGATATTAAACAGTTCTTATATTCTTGGAAAAAATATTCTTGCTCTTGGTGTATTTTTTAATCTACTATTGAGTTTAATTTACTGACATGTAGTATGTTTACATGGGGAGATCAATCTTTAAATTTTATTTTCTTAACTGTTACTATAGAGTTTTGCTGTGACAATACTGGCCTCACAAAATAAGCTGAGTAACATTTCATTTTTTTCTATATCTTAAACAGTTTTCACATTATTGGGATTTTTTATTCTGAGTATTTGTCATCTGAACTTGGTAATTTTCATCAGTAGGTTGTAGGTAGGCAGACTTGAATATCAGAATAAACCAATAACCACAGAGGAAATTTCTGATTCTTCTCTAGTCAATTTTGGGAAGTTATTTTTTTTAAATACAGTTCACAGTTTATACTTCAATTTATTTGTACAAAGTTATTTATATATTCTTATGATTTTTAATTTTTTGTCCTTATGTTCCCCTCTTATTCCTAATATTTATTTGACCCTTCTGCTTTTTTTTATTAGACACTAGACATTTTTCTGTTTCATTTACTTCTTTACAAAAACTGGCTTTTGATTCTGCTTATCTACTTTATTATTTATTTGTAGTCTAAATCATTACTTTCTGCTTTTATCAGCATTAGCGTTATTTCATTCCTTCTTTTTTTTTATATTTTTAGGCCATTTTTCTTTTTCTAGATTCTTGAATTGAATTATTACCCTTTTACTTTCAATAATTTTTATTATCTTTAAAAATGAATTTCAGACTCTAAATTTTTCTCCTGGTTTCTCATTAGGTGCATACCATGTTTTGATACGTAGTTTTGTTCAATTTTAAATATTTCATAATATCTGTTTTATTTTTAGCCCTTGAGGTATTTAGAAGGGTATGCTTTTACTTTGTAAACATATTTGCTCTATTTTTATTATTTATTTCTGAATTTAAACGCATTAAAATAAAATGATGTGTTTTATGTGGTTTTAATTGAAAAACTTTTTTTAGCTTATTTTGTGATTTTATCTGGTACATGGATTTTACTTCTGGCTTGAAATCTGTAGGTGGTTTATCTGTTTCTTTAGCACTAATTCTAAAATTCTTTTGTGTATACTGAACTGTGTATTTTTCTAAGAAAATATAAAATCGACCTTTTAGTATTTCTGACCTTCTTCTTAGTATAAAAAAGGTGGTTAACATAGCATCTTTTAATTACCTATTAAGTATCAATCTTGTTACTATAATTGTGTATGAAGTTTTAGTTTTACCTATTTGTTTTTAACCATATTCAAAAGTGGTGATCACTGTTGTCTATAATCAATGCTTAATTATATTTACTAATATTTTTAGATATTACTATGCCTACCATTATTCTTAGATCCTGTGGCTTCCTTTCTGGGTGCACTTTTCTTGTTACTTTTTTTTAGTAATTATTTAATGAGGACCTTGGGTAATACATATATTTCATATAACTAAAAATGTACTTATTTTGTTTTTTATCTTAAATAGCAATTTATCTGGGTATTTTTTGTTGAGTATTTTAAAGACATTACTCAATTATATCTTAGACTATTGTTCTGTCAACTATTCTTAATTAAGAGAAATCTATCAATCTGTTTTTATCTCTTTATAAATAATCTGCTTTTTCTCCTGGTAGCTTTTAAAAGTTATTCTATATCCTAAATATCTTGTAGTTTCTCTGAAATGTGTCTGGACGTGGATTTATTTTGAATTATTAGTCATGAACTCAGGATATACTTATTAATCTCAGGACTCCAGTTTTGGAAAATTCTCAGCTATTATCCTTTTCTTTATTGTTCCTTTGTCATTACTTCCATTTTCTTTTTCTGGAATTCTTATAAGATAAACATTGGTATTTTCTAATCAGCTTACTGATTAGTATCTCAATTGCTATTTCATTTTCAAAAAATTAATTCTTCTTGCTACAATTTTTTTCTGAGTGAATTCCTTAACATTACCTTCCAATACACTCAATTCTTTCCTTGAAATTCCTTTATTTCATTTATTGTACTTTTATATTAATGAACATTTTTAATTTTTTAAGATTTCTGATTAAGTTTTACTCTTATTCACCTATTCTTATTTTATTTCTATCTTTAATCATTTCTTGTTCTTTTTTAGGTATGAGTACTTTATCACTAAGCATCTCAAGCATATTCATGCTGAGGTCATTGTCAGATAATTTCATAAAATCAAATTTATCTGGAGTGAATGTTACAATTATTGATTTTCTTACCATTACTTGGTTATGCTTTAGAATTTTGTTTTACAGGTTTTGTTTTGTTTGTTTCGTTTTGTTCACATGTCCCTAACTAGGGGTTTTACAGTTGCCTTTATCTGGATCTTCTCAGTCCCAATCCAGATCTTACAATGGTAGCTTTCAGCTTCATTCTTATATGAATATTTTATCATAATGCTGTATCTTTATTCTTCCAGCTCTCAGGTCCTGCAGCCCTATATAAGCTGTTTCCCCAGGCAGTAGTTGGCCAAATTTTTGTAGCCTCGTGATAAAGTAGTAAGCCAGGTTCAGGTCCACCATTTCAAATGGAGCCTCTTTGACCTCATTACTCTAAAGAGCTGGAATTCTAGGTATCTCGATGTGATTCTAGATCCAGATTTCAGCAGGCCTATGGCTTCAGCACCATGGGCTGCTTTTAGTAGCTTTCTGTAACTAATCATCTTCTTTTTAAGTCTGACTGTGTTTCTGTGATTTTCACATTTTATATTTCACGGAATTTTTAAGGTAACAATACATCTTGGACAATACTCCTTTGATTCTTATCTCTCTTTATTATGTTTTTTATATTATTTTTATTGTGCTTTGCTTTATTGCACTTCGCAGATATTGAGTTTTTCACAAACTGAAGGCTTGTGGCAACTCTGCATTGAGAAAATCTATCAGCACCATTTTTCTATTTTTTTCTTTTTTTTTAAATTTATATGGGTACATAGTTAGATACATCATTTAAAACACATAATATTACAAATTACAGTTATTGAATGTTTAGTTGTGCTGGTCACTAAGCATTACATATTATTTTTTCCCAATCCTTTCTACGTTCAGTTATTCTTATTTCCATTTTTTAGAGCAGAAAGTTGAGGTAAATAGTCTAAATAAATACACCAGTAGGAAAGAGATTATAACAAGTAAATAGCAGAAATAATATTTGAATCCTGTTTTTGCTACCAAAGCTAGTGTCCTTAAACTGCTATCCTATGGTTAAATTATGTTTTGTTATCTTTTAACATTATTATGGTTATTATTTTTAATGTTAATTAAATTAACTAATATTCGTTTTATAAAAAATATATCTAGTACTATCTCATAAATCTTTTTTATATTTTCTATGTTTTTATGCTTGCTTGGTCTATTCTCACTCACTTTCTCACTCTCACTCTCTGTCTTTTTTGATGTGTGATTACCTTTTTAGCTTTTATCAATCTAGCAATTTGAAGTTTTAAAGTACAGTTTATTCTTTCGGTAATAATCACTGTTGTTTTTCTGAAAAACATTCAAGCCTGTTTAATTATTGTCATTAATGAAGTAGTATCCTACATGAAATGAGAAATTTAGGATGCTGTTTCATCTGTCTCCTCTTATCACTCAATTTATTATTTTTGTTATAACACCTTATATCAGGTATACATTTTTTTTTTTTTTTTTTTTTTTTTTTTTTTTTTTTTTTTTTTTTTTGAGACGGAGTCTTGCTCTGTCACCCAGGCTGGAGTGCAGCGGCGCGATCTCGACTCACTGCAAGCTCCGCCTCCCGGGTTCACGCCGTTCTCCTGCCTCAGCCTCCCGAGTAGCTGGGACTACAGGCGCCCGCCACCACGCCTGGCTAATTTCTTTTTGTATTTTTAGTAGAGACGGGGTTTCACTGTGTTAGCCAGGATGGTCTCGATCTCCTGACCTCATGATCTGCCCGCCTTGGCCTCCCAAAGTGCTGGGATTACAGGCGTGAGCCACCACGCCCGGCTAAATTATTATTAATTTTTATTTTACAGCAGTCCAGAGTAGTCGAGTATTCTGTAACAAAATAACAGGGTTACTTATTTTGGATAGTAGAGGGTTTCTAGCACAAAGTAGGTGCTTAATAAATATTGGTTGAGTGTTAAGTGAATGGTGGACCTGTTTGGTTACACACATGCACACACGGAGAAAGAAAACATAGCTGAGCTCTCATTGCTGCTGATGAACTACCATTTTGTTTAAACCTTGTATTTTATAAACAGTTGAATCACCTTATGATTTAATAAATACCTTTTCTGTCAATTATTTTGTTAGGCAAACACATGCTTTGTTAATCAGCCCTTTGAAATCAGTGAGCTTCTATCAAAGTTAGGTCCATTCATGGCTATTTCCACATTTACCTCTTATGCCCTACCCCTCTTCCACAAATAATAAATATATTTGGTAACTCTCGTTTCTAAACCAGTGACTACCGTTAAGTTTTCATTTGGCAAATACAGTGGGATTCTTGAATATATATAGCAATCATCATATCATATTAAATGGATGACAGCCCACATTCTTCCACAATAGTTCGTGTTGTTTACTATTTAAATAGAGGCATTTTGAAGTAGTTCCTATTTTTTTTTTTTTTATTTTTTAAAGGTAGTTCTTCAAATCCCTAACTATAGTCAAAAGAAATCTTTTATATGAATTTGCTGGGAAAATTGGATTTTTTATTGATATGATTAAGAAACTTAGTGAAAATCTGCAATATGCTAGGATAAAAAATACTGTGCTTTTATTGTGGCAAAGCAGATTAAATAAAACAATATAGATTAGCAAGGGAAAAAGCAAAGTATAAATAAACTAGGTCATTTGCAGATGTGCAAATTTTATGGAAATTCTAATGATACATTTGATTGATTTATAAGAAGTACATATTATTCATGTTAAAAGAACACTCAAGCCTTCTATGTGGCATGATTTTAACAATCTTTTATACATAACAACAGATTGAAATTAAACTGCCTTCCTAGCTGTTTCTATTTTTTAAATTGTAAAAATGACTTTTATTATTCTCTATCTAAAAGTCACTAAAAGAGAATAATGCAACTTAGTTTCTAGTCCTAGTTCTGTCATTTAATTGGCTCCATGACCATGGGTAGTTCATTAAACTCTGTAGGCCACTTTTTTTTATTTATAAATGTAGACAGTTGGTTTTGATGTACTTTAAAGCCCTTTCCAGTTCTTGTATTCTAGTACTCCACATTGTGTCTCCCTGTCTTTATATAGAAATACCCACTTATAAAAACGTAAGTGCATATAGGGTCCATATAGCAATAACCTAAATTATTCAACAGAACTCATAAGGGAATATCCAAGAATGGGATGAATTTTCCCCTGAATGAGGCAGTTGAATGTAGCTGATAGATAAATAACCAGGAGCTGTCATAGGTTCTTGATCAGGACTGACATGATGAAAGCATATTTTCAAAATAACTGTTCGGCATCAGTGTGCAGAATAAATCAGAATCAAAGAAACCTGGAATACAGACCAGGCAGACATGATGCCATCATTCAGAGCAAGGTAAGGAGAGCTCAGACTATGGTGTTACAATCAGAAATGAAGTTGAAGCAACAGATATGAAGATATTGAGATATATGTTCAGTCAAATAGAATGGCTAAAAAGAATATAAAGAGAAAAATTATGAAAGGAAATACAAATATCTAATAAACATGAAAAAGTATAATTCACTAGGATTCAAAGTCATGATTTATGAAAAATAGTAATTTTCAGTGCTGGTAATGGTACAGTGAAATAGACACTCATAGTGATAGTGGATATCTATATATTGACACAAAATTCTGCAAAGTAATGTAGCATTATGTTATCCAGAACCTTGCTTTAAAAATATGTCCTCTGACCCATTAATTTTACTTCTAGGCATCTGTCTAGAGGAAATAGAATCTCAGACAAAGATTTAGGTACAGAGGTGTTTATCACAATGTCATTTATAAAAGAGAAAAAAGATTTTAAAATCTTAAATTACAAAATTCGAGAAATTATTAAATTATTGAATATCCATATGTATCACCACATATCATATATGCAAATTAGATAGTTCTTAAAGTTATTTTAAACAATATTTTATTAGGAAAAGTTTATAAAATAACACAACTAAAAATTCCTGGTCCAAAAGATACAAATAAATATATATACCTAAAACAATCCCAAATATAAAAATGAAAGTATTCGATAATGATGTAAGAGAATACATTCAAATGTAAAGAGGAGTTATCTCTGTATGGTGGAATTACTTGATATTTCTATTGCCTTTTTATTGAACTTTCTTAATGCTTGAAAAATACTCTGATAATTTGAAAAATAAAAGTTTTAAGCAAGCAGTAAATAATCTAAACACTGAATCTCAAATTTGGTAATAATTCAACTTAGAAAAGAATACATGTATGATTCCAATTTATTCAGTTACTAAAATATGGGATACATAGATTTTCAGTTTCCCCAAACTGAATCATATCATATTTCATAATTTCTTTTTCTTTTTTGGATCCTTGTACCTTTGCCTTAAGTGATTAGCCTGAACTTCGATGTTCCAGAACCTCATTTTTTTCTTTTCTTTTCTTTTCTTTTTTCTTTTTCCTTTTTCTCTTTTTTCTTTTTTTCCTCTTTCTTTTCCCTTTCTCTCTTTCTCTCTCTCTGTTTCTTTCTTTTCTTTCTTTCATCTTTCTTTCTGTCTTTCTTTCTTTTTTTTTTTTTCTTTTTTGTTGGAGTCTCACTCTGTAGCCCAAGCTGGAATGAAGTGTCAGATCTTGGCTCACTGCAACCTACACCTCCCAGGCTCAAGCAATTCTTGTGCCACAGCCTCCCGAGTAGCTGGGACTACAGGGGCGTGCCACCAAGCCCAGCTACTTTTTTGTATTTTAGTAGAGACAGGGTTTCACCATGTTGCCTAGGGTGGTCTCGAACTCCTGAGCTCAGGGGATCCACCTGCCTCAACCTCCCAAAGTGCTGGAATTACAGGCGTGAGCCACTATGCCTGGCCCTCATTTTCTTTAGAATGTCATTTTCTTCAGTCATTTCTAAGATTAACATACTCAAAGCACATTTACATGTATATGGGATCATCCTCTCTTATCACAAAGGAAAGAATCTAGATTGTTCTTTGTTTTCAATCATTTGTAATTTCTAAATTTCTCTTATGAAAATATGCAAATCTAATAATAGCATTCTGAGTAATTGAAACAAGTGAAAATAAAGGACACAGTATGTCAAGGAAGAACCACTTTTATTGGGTGGAATAAAGTACTACTGATAAAATTTATTAGGCACTCATTTCAAGAATAGAATCTCGGTTGCTCTGTGTAAGAATGAATAAACATAACAACTTACTTGGCTCTGTACCCAGAAATTTACCCAAAAAAGAAAACCAGTTTGATGCCAGAGAGAATGAACCAGATAAAGTTTTATTGGCTCGAAATATACAAGTAACTTAGTCTGCCCCTTTAGTAACAAAACTGTACAAGTAAAAATATAATCTTTAAAATCTAAGTTCCTTACATTAGCCAATGGCATAGTGCTGGAGTAACTAAAACTTTACAGACCTCACCCTCTTTTCCTTCTGCCAGGAGAATGAACTACTCTCTCTCCCTCAGGCCTCCACTGACTGTATAAGTTAACCCAGAACCATTTGTACACAAGCTTGTCTCTTTTTCAGAACTGTAAGTCTAGTGAAGGCAGAGACTATGTCCTGTTTATCTTTGTATACCTCAGGTTCTGGCAAAGTGCATAATTGTTGAACGAACTAATGAAGGATTCTTAGCCTAGTTTTTGAGAGTTTAAGTCTCTATGAAATAATCTAAGGAAAAGTTCCTTGGGTAGAAATGCTTACACTTTGTGTGTTATTCCATAATCTATCTTACTAGCATCTAGGCAAGTTTCTTTGGAATAATGATATCACCAAGTTATGAACACCTTTAGAAGTAAACATCTTTCAAGATATTTTTCTGCAGGGCTGAGTTAAAGTACAGTAGTATAGTTCTTCAGAGCTCTTTCAGTTATTATTGTGGCACCCAGAACAAGTTACTAAGTCTCTCTGAATTTCAGTTTTCTCATCTGAAAGATGAGAATAGTAATCATCTTTGTCTCGTAGTTTGCTGTGGGGATTGGATGAGATACTGCATGTCAAATAACATCATGCCTAGCTAAGCCCTTGGGCCATTATTATTAGCATTAATGCCTCCCAGGACAAGTAGTTGGACTTGCACATATGTCTTGAAGACTGGGACAGAGTATACAGGTGTAGCAGCAGGGCTGTCGCTGGATATAGAATTAGAGAGCTTAAGTGCATATGCCAGTGCTTTCAGGCTTAAGTAGCATAAGAATTACTTGGGGAGCCTGTTTAAAATGGAGATCTGAGTTCCACCTCAAGAGATACTAATTCTGTTGGTTTGCTCTGGAGTGAGACCCTGAAATGTGTCTTTTTAACATGCTCAGCAGGTGGTTCTGATGCAGCTGGTCCTAGACCAGGTACTAAGTTACCCTGCCATCATGACTCCATCTCAGCCTTGATCACAAACCACTCTAACCCCATGGCATTATTCCTTAAGATTGGCCCTGCTTAATGCTGTGTGGCTTGACTACCAAAAGCCTTGCTGCTTCCACTCTGTGGCTTTGTTAACAGAAGCTTTCCTTCCTCCACGTCCTCACCCCACCCCGCTGAAGGCAGAAAAAAAGAATAGGGAAGGCAGAGTCAATTGGGAAAACCTGAGTAGTTACAGTAAATTATGTTATTTTGAGTTCTTTGACCTAATGATCTGCGTTAGTCCAAAAGTGGGCTGACTTGAGAGGTAAGCTTGAATTTTAGAACAATAGTTTTCCCCCAATAACTATGGAATGGCTGGCTATATCTCTTGTTTTTTATAGAATTGCTATCTATAGAACTTAGATGAATAAGCACAATTGAAGTGCAAAGTGTTAAACGCATGCTTCGATTTAGTCAATGCATTTGCACATTGAAGTAATTAGGATTATTTAAAAGCATTCTGCTTCTAATACTTTGTTCTCCATTTCCTACAAATCAAATTAGTGAGGGGTAGATTTGATTTTGACATCATTTTGAAAATATTTTCTTTCTTTTTTTAATTTCCTTAGTATTACATTTTTACAAAGTTCAACACACAACCAACTGTGACTAAATTCATAAAAACAAAACAAAAAGTCCAAAGTGCAAGAAAATGAAAAACAGCACAGAGTAATATGCAGTAGAACAACATAAATCATACCTTACAAATATAGTTGTAATAACACACCTTATCCATGTCTGATCAATTAATAAGAAATACTTATTCAGATAGCAAATAGCTTATTCTTTCACTTTGATTGAGAGCCCAAATTTAATTATCTCAGTCCAAATCAATATGAAAAGGCAACCAGATCTGCATTGAAAAAATCTTAACCATCTCCTGTTTTCATTGTACTATATGTAATGCAATGAATGAATGTGAAGGAAGAGTAAAAAGGGTGCTTTCCTTATTTGCTAACAAAGCATTCAAGCAAGATTATTCATTTTTAAAATAAAGTTAGATTCAGCAGAACCAAGAAATGGTTATGGAGCCATATTGCATAGACAAATACAGACCTGAGTTTAAATTCTAACTCTGCACACTGTCTGAATTATCTTTGACAAGTTACTTCAGCTCTCTGACCCACAGTTTTCATGTCTGTTAGAGTAATAATATCTATCTAGCAGAGTTGCTTTAATAATATATTGAATTTAATATTTACAATGTATTATAATATATCATATTGTATTATACAATATATTAATATATTGTATTTCATACTGTATTTATAAAAATAATGTATTTGAAGTGCATGGAATTTAATATTTACTCAATAAGTGGCAGTTATTATTTTTAAGTCAGGAAATAAAATTTGGAGGGATATGAACCCAAAATCCTTAGAGGAAAAACAAAAACTTAAAAAAAAAATTCTATGATCTCACTTTCCCAGAGGTTATTTACACAAGTCACAGATTTTATCCTAGGACTTTATCAGGATTCTACAGAAGGGAATGTTTTACCTTTATAATCTTCTTTCCCCCAAATTGTTATCCTTATTGCAAATTACTGACCTCAAAATACATGTTGAGAAATACCCTTTATACTATTGAAGTGCGTAATTGAATGCATATATTTTGCCAACACAAATTATTATCATATTCTTTTGTTTAAAATAAACAGTATTTCAGACTGGCTCAGATAAGTCTAATTCCTCTTATTTTTTCTATACTACTTTTATAGTTCTAGAAGTATGTGTTTATGCATAAAAGTGAAGGTGGGGAGAGAGAGAGAGAATGGACAAGAATAATAAAATCATCTGTGCAACAGAGATGGTGCCCTGTTCAGTCCTGTCCTTAGTGATCGACTCTGTGTTTCATGTATAGAAAGTGCTCATTAAATGTTTGCTGAATTAAGTAAATGAGGGAAAACAAAATGCTAAGAAATATCTGTATAGCATAAAGGAGCCAACTCAAAAGTAGTGTATGCAGGTTGTAGGCAGACAGGTAAAACTCACCTATGGACATCAACACCTCTTTAGTTAGGTTGGCTCAGTGTGGAATGACCGCCATCTTTATTCAGAACTATTAGTTCTTAACTGGAGGTGGTAGCTAATCCAGGAGACCTGACTGATCTGCGGTCAGAGAGTCATAGAATGTAAGAGCCAGAGAGGATCATGGAGAGTTTCTGATCCCAGGGCCTGCCTCATTTCTCAGGTTAAGAAACTGAATGTCTGCCAAACACTTCGTGGCAAAGTTTGTTGGTCCTAAAACTTGAGTTTCCTGATTCTGTTCAAATTCATTTTGTATTGTGTCATGCTGCCTTTGTGACCCCAAACTTCCTGTCCACCTGGGAATTCCCATCTATCCACTGGCTCCTATGGCTAAAAAATGTGCAATGGAGCATCCATCAATGCTTCTGATTAGAATCATCTCACCTATTATGGCATTTTCCATAGAGCCTAAAAGACCACAATAAAGAGGTTCTTCATTTGACTCTTAAAATCAATGTTTTCATCAAGAAATAAACTTTATTAAATTATTATTAACCATTAACAACTCACCCAAATCAGTTTCTTTTCAAGTGATGTAGCTGGAACTAAAGGGAATGGAGAACAAATACCTGTTATAACTTGATTGGGGGAAAATGTAAACGAAGAGCTCTGTCTTCAGGGTGTTACTCAGGGGAAGGCAAGGCCAGGTGGGCTATGGCAGGGGAGTCCAGAGTACCCAGGAACTCACCCGAGGATTTGAATCTTAGAGAAATGAAGAGAGATAAGAATATGTGAAGATATAGCAAAAAGCGGAGGTTAAAAAGGGAAGATACAAGTAGATTTAATGATTTGGTCTTCTGGTTCATTACTTACTACTATCATTGTAACTTCTTCACTCAGTGGAGAAGGCTTGCATTCAGGTCATTCATGTCCTGTTAACAGCTTATATTTATACTCTCTAAGTAATAACTCAAATTCCTTGAATCAAGTATTGATAACATCCATGAGAGAAGAAATAAAGCATTTGGTAGGTAAATATCTTCCCTATCCACTTAAAGAATGAAGTGTTGATAGGCTGTTGATGGTGAGTTAAACTGGCATACCAGGAATTTTTATAAATGGTTTTCCCATGCTCCATTGAATATGTGGCTGAGACTCTAGTTGTATACCAGCTGTGCATGCAAAATCTCATAATTACTCTTACTGTATTAAGCATTTTATAGCAATTTTAGCTCTAAAATGCTATGCGATAGTTTTTATGCAAGTGTACCAGACATGTAAGCTGTTCCAATGAAAACATTTTCTTTCTTTTAGACACATGGTTTTAGGTTTCCAAACTTAGCTCTTTGCATTGATGGAAGAATCTTTAGGACAAACATCAGGTTTTTCGTGGGGGGAGAGGGACAGTGGATTTTCTTGCGCATACTTCAAGCAGCCTTATCAGTAGAGGGGAATTTTACTAATTAGTTGTATAGTACTCATACTAGCAAGTACTGCTGCTGAGCACTAGTTCCTCCTCAGCCTGTTCTATTGAGAAAGGCAGCGAAGAGAAAGCTAGGGTTATCTCTCCGTCTCTCTGGGGTGTAATGACAAACAGGCAGAAGGACTTGGACTTAACCTCTCTGCAGAAGGCTGACACCTTTAACACTGCTGCACATGCTGCTGCACCCTGCAGTAGCAAGTCTTGGGCCTGAGCCCAAAGCTGGTGTGGAGTTTGAACCCTTGGCATTCTGGCCCAGAGCCAAGTGCTATCAATGGAACCCCACTGACACCTTTAGTTATTCTTCCTAGATTAGGATAGTAATTTACTTGTCTCTTTGATTTCAAGTGTCTGGTTTTGTTTCCAGATGCCTCCCAGCTCATCTGTATTCCAGGGGTTTCAAAAGATTTTAACCTCATTGGTTGTTTCCTTTGTCAGTTCCGTTTGGTGAACACAGGAGGGATACGGAGAAACTAGAGAGAGGGAGGCAAGCGAGGGGGTTTTGTATGTGTGATGTAGGGGTTATATGGGGGAGGGCTTGGTGAGACTGAAGGAATAAATGAAAGGCATATTCACTTTTAGAATATCAGCTATTATGCCAGGATAAGTCAGAATGGAGTATAAGAGATGATGTGTAGGACAATGTAGCAAAAAGTAGTATTACATAGATGCATGTGTAAAAGCCCTCCAACCAGCAGTAATCTCAACTTCCCCCAAAAGATTGCAATATATGAAGGAGATGGAGGGACCATAGAAATTTTATCCCAATGCCAATAACATAACAGAATTTGGATTTTAACATGCTATAGTAGGAAACGGCATTTATGCATGGTGTCATTTCATATTTACAAGGGCCTGTCTAGCACTGTTTATTGATTTCACTGCAATTTTTTTCCCGAGGACCCTGTAGATAGATAATTGCTAGAAATGTCCATCATTAGCACAGCATTGAGTGCAACCATCACACTAAGAAAAAGATACACATAGGACCCTGCGAGCAAGCATCAAATAGAGAGAAAAGTCACACAATAACATGTGCAGCTATAACTCCAGGCAAACACACACATAACACCCTGTGTGGCCATTGCACTGAGAAAATACACACAGCCCCCTGTGCAGCCATCACACATCAGGAAAATACACACATGACACCCCTATGCAACCATCACACCAGGCAAAAGCACAGACATAAAATGCTAAGTCAATAGGAATGAACAGCTCATAAAAGCCTACTGGAATAGATCACATCACAGCCAGGTACATCTGTTCTCAGCACTAACCATTATCATTAGCTTAAAATGCTTGAAATCACTGTGCATCCTCAGGTCTAGGGACAGATTATTCCAAGAAGATTCTGCTAAATAGATTTGGCAATGCAGTGAAGGGGACCTCTACTACATTAAAGTGATACATTTTGCATCTCAAAGGCTGTCAACTGTATTTAGAGGAACTGTGTGATTGAAGAACAATGTGCTAGGATAGGATAGCAATTTTTCTGGCCCTTCTAAATCTGGAGGTGCTTTTTACCCCGACATGAGTTAAGTGTACAATTGAATGGGCAGCTCTTAGATTGGGAGGTGACTAATAAAAGCAGAATTGGAAATAGCTTTCAACTTGTGCTGCAAAGGAAGCTGCTACATCCTGTTTTAAACTGGAACTCTCAGGTGGTATGTCACATCTAAAGGTCTTAGTGAGGTCAGACTTCAAGCCATCAACTTGAGATAAATAAGTAGCAACTACAGTCCTTGCTTCATAGGGTTGACTGCCCAACTGGGGGGAATAAAGGAACCACCCACCTCTTCTTTAGCCAGTGCCTTCTCTTTATCCTCTTGCCTTGGTCTGTGATGTTATCCTCGCTGTGTGACCCAGGGGTTACCGCACTGTGAGGGAAACTCGGCATGCCCTTCTGAAGAGTGGCCCAAAAGAACTGGTTAGAAAGAGTTTCAAGCTTCCGTGTTTCAATTACAGTGGCATTTTGTGTTTCTACTGAGTGAGAGAAGTTTCAAGTTAGCTTGTTAAGAATGATTTACACCATAATTCTAGGAAAAACAAATGTGAGTGACTGAAATTTGAAAGGAAAGAGTATAGGGGGGAAGTGCCAGACTAAACGAATCCTAAGTAAATAGGGTGTTTCTTTCGGGGGTCGGTAGGGGGATTGGTTTCTTTTAAAAAAAGAAAAAAAAAGAAAAAATGTATGTATTGTTGGTAATTACTTCTTTTACCTGGAAAGAGTGAAGCAGGAAAAAATAATAATAATAATTGCTCCATTTGCTCCCTGTAAGAGCAAATTTTCAGGAGAGGGCAGGTGTTTCCCTTACATTTGCATGACAACATCTTACTGGGAATGAGCAGTACTGGATATGAGAACTAAGAATTTCACTTCTTTTTTTTTCTCTAAATGTGGCAGAAAAGGTTTTGTTGGGGTGAGATAAGCATTTTCCATGAAACAATGCAGTAGTGACATTAGGTAATTACGTGGTGACTGGGACACACCGCATGGTATACTGGAGAAATTGCATGATACCTACATGATAACTGTAGTAACTTTAGTTATCGCTACCGTATTATCTCCTGATAACTATATAATTAGTTTGTGTCATCAAAGCACCCTAAACGTATGCCTGTTCCAGCTACTCTGGTAGAAAAAAGAAAATAAACTTTTTGCAAGGGGGGAGAAAAAGCTAATGAAGAAAGTTGCCAAGAACAGATATTTTGTAATCTGTGCTAAATCTCTGCTGGAAAACATGAACAGTAATGAAGCTGAGAAGACAGTAAAAGAAATTCGGGGCAAGGTGCCAGACGCCCAGACGGAAGGAGAATGTGGACCAAAAGATTGCGACAATCGGGTAATTATGGTTTATGAATTTCAGCTTTAATCTGTAGTTCAGTGAGTCCTGATTAAATATCTGTTAAACACAATTAAAGTTTGTTTTTGTATTTCACCGTCTTGATCAGAATAATTAGAGACTGCGTGTTTCATGTCAAAAGTAGCAAGAGGAATTTTAGTGAATGAACATCGTTTTTAAAAGCCATTTGTAGCACCAGCTGTTGGCATTATTTTATATTTTAGTGTTATCAGCATAAAGATGGTCCTCTGGATGCTGAATAGTTTCCAGCAGGACAAGGATGTTATGCTGTTATGATGGGCATGTGCTGATGAGGCTTAAATGTTTAAGGGTTAGTGTTCATTGGAAACAATGGACAAGGGAGATGTAGGTCAGGCAAGCAGATATTTTAGGTAAGAGAAGGAAGACATTTGAGTTAACTTTACCCATGCAAGGCGTGACATAAGGGAATTTCTCATGGTATAGTCATTGGTGTTAACACCTGCAACGCTGGTGTTATTTGCTTATTGAGATGTCAATGTAGTGCCTGAAGGAAGAGCACAAGAAAGATGTAATGAGAAGTGCTAGAATTCTGTCCTGGTTGGTTCTCAGCTAAACACGTGTGCCTTTTATTCCTAGAGTTAGGAGAAGGAAGTGCAGAAAGCACTTACTGTACTAATAATTCTTTGGCTAAGGATAGCAGTATGAATGCTCAAAAAGGACAAATTTAAATATAAATGGGATTGACTAAAACTGGGTAAAGGAGTAAAATCTGGTTCTACAAACCAAAGCTAAGACCATGATTTCCACACACTTGTGCCAGAAGAGAAACTGGAGAGTTGTACATCACAATCTCCTTAAAAATTATGAGGGTATATGTAAAAATGTCTGTGCAGCTTACCATGCTATGAGGTTTAAAGAAATAAGATACCATCTTGCTTGCTATTTGAAATTTGGGTACCTAGAATATTTCGGTCTCTGTGACAGACAGATTAATGCCCCCCTCCCCACCCCACCGAAGATGTTCACATCCTAATCCTCAGAACCTGTGAGTATGTTGCCTTAGATGGCAAAGAGACTTTACAGATGTGACTAAATTAAGGATTTTTGAGATGGGAAGATTATGCCAGATTATCTGGTTAGGCCTAATATGATTATAAGGGCCGTTTAAAGGAAAGAGGCAGGCAGGAGGATCACAGAGGAGATGTGGTGATGGAAGCAGAGGTCAGAGAGAGAGAGAGATTGAAAGATGCTGCGTTGCTGGTTTTGAAGAGGGAGGAATAGATCATGAGCCAATGAATACAGGTGGCCTCTAATAACTGGAAAACTCAAGGAAAGGGATTTTCTCTTAAAGACTCCAGAAAAAAACATAACTCTGCTGATACCATGATTTTAGGACTTTCTGACCTCCAGAACTATAAGTTTGTGCTAATTTGTTACAGCAGCGATAGGAAACTAATACAGTTCCCATGAACCTGCTTCATGAACTTGATTTCTATTGAAAGTTATCTAGTTAAGAGTACATCCAGCTATAGGAAAAATAATAAGCCTTTATTAACTTAATCTTCTAAGGCCCATTTTCTAGGCTGTCTTTGTGGCATCATTTGGAGGTATACCTGCTATGATATGAATTTTAAAAGCCTATGTATTACAAATTAAAATCATGGGCAAGTTCAACCCTATGTCCCTAGCACTAGTTATCAGCAGTACATTCCAGACTAGAAAAGTTTTCAGGGAGGGAGGATTGTAGAGTGAGAATAATTTATCTTACAACAATAGCAGTTAACTTAATAAGGTAAGTTGATTACTTACCTTAGGTTTAATCACTTGACTGTGGCAACAATTGACCATTTTTAAGCTACAGAAATGGCAATTTCATAATGTTTAATATACCCAGTGTTATCTCATTTAAACATTCTAAGTACTTCATGAGGATTCTAAAACTAAGATTAAAATTTTTACCGAAGATTAATACATTTTAGAGTTATGCAAAGTTCAGGCTAATAATGTACCTTATTTTCATCATTTTCAGTTAAAAATGGGATTCGGTTCAAACTGGCCCAAGGTGTCTTTGCAGATTTGAGGATGCAAGTATGTGTCTCATCTGCTATTCAAAAAAGTTAACAGTATAAAAGTCATGGGAAAGTTTTGTCAAATAGACAAAGACAGTGGTAGAAATTGGCTACCCAGCATCTTTGTATTGAAAATAGGATATAGAAGCATACCTCTTTCTATTGCACTTTACTTTATTGCACTTTCCAGACATTACATTTTTTGCAAATTGAAAGTTTGTGGCAACCCTGTATTGAGTCTGTTGGCACCATTTTTTCCAACAGCATGTGCTCACTTCATGTCTCTGTGTCACATTTTGGTGGTTCTTGGCAATATTTTAAACTTTTTAATCATTATTATATTTGTTTGAGTGATTTGTGATTAGTGATCTTTGATGTTTCTATTCTGATTGTTTTGAGGTGCCACAAACCACACCCATATAAGATGACAAATTTAATCAATAAATGTTTTATATGTTCTGACTGCCTTACCAACTAGCTGTTCCTTCATCTCTCTCCCTCTCCTGGGACTTCCCTGTTCCCTGAGACATAATTTTGAAATAAGGCCAGTTAATAACCCGGCAATGACCTCTAAGTGTTCAAGTGAAAGGAACAGTCACGTTATCTCTCACTTTAAATAAAAAGCTAAAAATGATTAAGCTTAGTGAGGAAGGCCCAGAAAGGCTGAAAGCTAAGCCCCTTGCACTAAACAGTAATGAAGTTGTAAATGCAAAGAAAATGTTCTTTAAGGAAATTAAAAGTGCTACTCTAGTGAAAACACTAATGAAAAGAAGGCAAAGCAACCTTATTGTTGATATGGAGAAAGTTTTAGTGGTGCAGATAAAAGATCAAACAGGAGCGGTGGCTCACTCCTGTAATCCCAGCACTTTTGGAGGCCAAGGCAGGTGGATCATGAGGTCAAGAGATCGAGACCATCCTGGCCAACATGGTGAAACCCCGTCTCTACTAAAAATACAAAAATTAGCTGAGTGTGGTGGCACGTGTCTGTAGTTCCAGCTACTCAGGAGGCTGAGGCAGGAGAATCGCTTGAACCTGGGAGGCGGAGGTTGCAGTGAGCCGAGATGGCACCACTGCACTCCAGCCTAGTGACACCGTCTCAAAAAAAAAAAAAAAATCAAACCAGCCACAACATTCCCTTAAGACAAAGCCTAATCCAGAGCAAGGCACTGACTCCTCAATTCTATGAAGACCAAGAGAGGTGAGGAAGCTTTAGAAGAAAAGTTTGAAGCCAGTGGAGATTGATTCATGAAGATGAATTAAAGAAGCCATCTCTATAATATAAAAGTGCAAAGTGAAGTATCAAGTGCTGATAGAGAAGCAAGTTATCTGGATGATCTAGCTAAGATAATTGATGAGGGTGGCTGACCTAAACAACAGATTCTCAATATAGATGAAATAGTCTTCTACTTGGAAGGAAATGCCATTTAGGGTTTTTATAGCTATTGAGGAGAAGTCAATGCCTGGTTTCAAAGCATCAAAGGATAGGCTTACTGTCTTGTTAGGAGCTGGTGCAGCAGGTAACTTTAACTGGGAGCCAATGTTTATTTACCATTTAGAAAATCCTAGGGCTCTTAGGAATTATGTTAAATCTACCCTGCCTGAGCTCTATAAATGGAATAATAAAGCCAGGACAAGAGCATATCTGTTTATAGCATGATTTACTGAATATTTTAAGCCCACTCTTGAGACCTACCACTCAGAAAAAAGAGATTTCTTTCAACATACTACTGCTCATTGACAATACCTGGTCACCGAAAAACTCTGATGGAGATGTACAAAGAGGCTAATGTTGTTTTCATGCCTGCTAACACGACATCTATTAGCAGCCCATGGATCAAGGGGTAATTTTGATTTACAAGTCTTATATTTAAAAAATAAATTTCATAAGGCTATAGCTACCGTAGATAGTGATTTCTATCATCGACATAGGCAAAGTAAATTGAAAACCTTCTGGAAAGTATCCACCATTCTCGATGTCATAAAGAACATTTGTGATTCATGGGACAAGGTCAAAATATAAATATTAACAGGCATTTGGAAGAAGTTGATTCCAACCCTCATGGATGACTTTCAGGCACTTAAGACTTTAGTAGAAGAAGTAACTGTACATAATGTGATGAAAATAACAAGAGAACTAGAATTAGAAGTGAAGCCTGAAGATGTAACTGAATTGTTGTACTTTCATACTTTCATTATCAAACTTGAACAGGTAAAGAGTAGTTTCTTATGGGTGAGCAAAGCAGTGAGTTTCTTGAGATGGAATCTACTCCTGGTAAAGATTCTGTGAACATTTTTTGAAATGACAACCAAAATATTTAGAATGTTTTATAAACTCATTTGATAATGCGATGGCAGAGTTTGAGAGGATTGGCTCCAATTTTGAAAGAAGTTCTACTGTGGGTAAAATGCTATCAAACAGCATCACCTGCTGCAGAGAAATCCTTTGTGAAAAGAAGAGTCAATCATGTGGCAAACTTCATTGTTGTCTTATTTTAAGAAATTACCACAGCCACCCCAAGCTTCAGAAACCACCACCCTGATCAGTCAGCAACCATCAACATCAAAGCAAGACCCTCCACCAGCAAAAAGATTACCACTCAGATGGTAATCTTGAAAGCTCAGAGGGTGGTGAGCACTTTTCAGCAATAAAGTATTTTTAATTAAGATGTGTTACATCTCCAAAGTATCCCTGCACTACCACAGAGGGAGACAGGAAAGTGTAGTGGTGAAAGGCTTGGACATGGCATCAGACAGGTGGGATATGAATCTTGGTTTTACCCCTCATTACCAAGTTAAATAACCCCTCATCTGACTTTCCTGATCTCTAAGAATAGATAATAATAATACCTAATTCATGGACATAGTTGCTGGGAGGATTAAGTGAAGTAATAAATGTAAAGCACTTAGAGCAGGACCTGGTACATAATAAGCAACAAATGTTAGCTGCTGTTGCTGTCATCATCATCATCTACTGAAAAGTAACAGACTCAAGAGAAACCTTACAGGGAAGATGTGCCTTATTTATTGTTAAGTCTTCAGTCTAGAAAAACTTGGTAAACTTAATATTCTTACTTACTGTAGCAATACACTATTTCCCATGGCAAAATTCACTCTTTACTCTGCTTTGATAGTATGTGGAAAAATATACACTGTTTCTTAATCACTGTATTAGAAGATTATTGCATTCATTGTTTTTCATAAAACAAAAATTTAAGAACAGACCAAAACAACACTGCATCAATGCTGATAAATATAAAATTTGACCTACATTTAGAATTATATATTTTTTTCATATTGTCTGTCTGGTGCCTAAGAATTAGTTTTTCTTATTATTATCTAATCTTCACAGCTACAATAACATCCCTGAAATTAAGCTAAGAATGCTACAAACACAAACTAAAAGCACAGTGGGCTTTCCACATGATTAGAATGATACCTCCCTTCTCATCGTCTTTGAACTAGACATCTTTTTCCCGTGAACTCCAAGAAGGGTTAGCCAGCCTGTGAGGCCCACCATTCCCCAGAGTTGGTGCTGGAAAGGAAAATATGTCTACTCAGCCAGTGATAGGATTTTCATAGGTGTTCCTTCTCTACAGAAAATGTTGAAGCCAGCAGCCTTCCAATCTACCTAGGGAGGTTAAGAATAATTTGTTTCAGAATGGTATTGCTTAAAGAGATTCCCAGCCTCTTTTAGTTTATGGCTTCCATTGATAATATGATGAAAGCTATGGACCCTCTTCCCAAAAGAGGGTGCAATACCTTTTCAAAGGATTCACAAACCCCCTCAAGCCTATTGGTGGACCTCAGATTAATTATACCTGGTTCACAATTGTGTTCTAAGTAAATCACTGTAGGACTGACTGGGCTAACAAGATTTCAGACCAGAATTGTGCAATACGTATTTACCATATGATCTTGGACCAGTCATTAATGTAAATTGAGGTCCTGGCTTTTAATTAGTAAAATGAGTACTTTTAATCCTAATGTGCAGGGAAAGCACATATTTATTTTTAGAGCATTTTGAGGTACATTTAAATAACTACTGTAATAAAGAGCATTGATATTGGCCTTGTTTACTATTTATTTACTGTTTGGTCATTAATTTATTCATTCACTCAGCAAGTATTTGTTGAGCACCTACTATTCCAGACACTGGAAATACAATAGTGATCAGAACTCACAAAGTCCTCCTTCCTTCTGGAACATTCTAGTTAAGGGAGATAGTTAATAAACATGTAAACTCACTAACACACAATGAAGAATGAAATGAAGAAAGTAAGAGTAAAATCTCACACGGATGGCATGTAAGGAGATGGCATTTGGTTGAGACCTGAATGATGTTAGAAACTAGCCATATGAAGATGTGAAGGAAAATCATTTCAGGCAAATTGGAATAGCAACTTCAAAGGCCTTGAGGCTCAAGTGAGCTAGGCATGTGAATTATGACAGGTCAGTGAATAAGGAAAAGTATACTGGTGATGTGTTCAGAGAAGGAATCAGGAACCAGACTATATAGGCTGTAGAGTGAGAAGTTTGAATTTTATTCTAGTTACAGTAAGCAGCCATTGGTGATTTTTGTAGTAGAATCTAATGTCACATTGAAAGAAATCACTACAGTTTCTGTGTAGAGAATGGGTTGTAGAGGAGCAAAAAGGAAGTAATCCCAGTTAATAGTTAAGAAATGTCCAAAGTTGAAGACAGAAATTAATCTCATGGCAGTGTAATACATTGCCTCGTGGAGAATTTGAAATGTCTTTTGTTGAACAGCCAAGAGAACAGAAACTGATTCATGAGATGAATCATGTAGCATGTCCTATGTCTTTGGCCATTTATAGGACTATTTAGGGGCGTAAAAGTGTTCTTTCTGAAAGGAAGGGGAAAAGGAATTGTGAGTACAGTCCAGTATTGTTCGCAAATGAGGTACTGTTATTAGCGGGGAGGGAGGATTGTTGAAGTAACTGATAAAGTCCTTAGCAACCAGGAATCTCAATAGGTAAGGGAATTATTGGGAATATGGGCCAATTTTATGAAGGTTCATCACAAGTGTGCTTCCTCTGTTTCCTGAAAGCTGCCTAAGATCACAGGTGACCTAAAGTCTTCTTCTGTCCCTTTTTAATAGAAGTTTAAATGTCCTGATTCTTTACCACCATCCACCCCTCAAGGTAGTTCCCAGAAATTACTACACTGAATGGTGGAAATAGGTAATGTAATTTGAATGAACATCAGAAAAGGAAAAAATTCTGTTGTGTTTATAGGTGTTTCCCAATAGAATTAAAAGATTAAGTCTGAGGGAATGTATTAACATTAGGGCTGTAGTGAGTCACCAGTATTGCTTGAAGGAAGTTTAGTGCTATTATTCCTTGTCAACCAACTGAAATACTTTAGTAAATGGTAAATCATAATAAATACAACTAGGAATAATGCCATGTGTAAAAATAATAATTTATTTTAGCTTATATACCACTTATTTTCACTAATAAACTAAACAATTATCTTAATCATTTCTCAATCACATTCATATATAATGCAAATTTGGTGTAGTATGCAATTACAGGTGAAAATATATCTAGACAGTCATTCAGAAGGCAAGGAGTGGGAGCCTTTTTGAAAAGGGCACTTCTATAAGACTATAGGTTATAGCTCCAGGGTAAGTATGAAGAGACAAGAAACTGCATTAGAGTTCAGGGTAACTGACTTAAAGTGATGTTGAATTTCATAATCAGAGTTCCTAGAATGACCTTGCAAATTATATTTCCAGGAAAACATGAACATAATAACATAGTATCATAGAATAGCCTTATTCTGTGGACCAAAAACAATTAGGTACTATATATGAAAAACATACTGCAAATACTAAATGTACTGAGCTTATTCAAATAAAGGCTTAAGAACTGGTTATTGTTGGTTGTATTTTTGTAAATGGGAGTTGAAAAATTCTATAATAGAATTTCTGACCCTTCTGTTATCCCAGGTTCTTGTGCTGTTTTAAACACTTCCCCTCCCTTTCATTCCCAAACTGTCTTTTCTCTGGGGAAAAGAATATAAATTATCCTATCTAAATTTCAAGGATGACTATTCCCACATGAGAGCATATCAAAGCTGAAAAGAGAATACAGAACTCATAACAACCAGTACCATTCACACCAGCTCATCTGCTACTTCCTAATAAAACTGGTTGTTAATCTTCCCTAATTTGTCTACATCTTTCAGGTAATAAAAGTGTCTAAACCATAATGCATTCTTCCAGAGAAGATAATCAGGTAACATAATACCTCTCAGCTCAAAGACACAGTGCCCCTTTGTATGCAGTCTTGAATTGGATTGACATTTCTGGCTGACACTTCACATCAAAGGTTGTTTTGCTCAGTTCACAATCTGATCTTTTTTATTGTCTTCTAGAACATTCCTAATTCTCAAAAAGATTTCTGCATCCTCAGCAGTATACTGAGAGCTTCTTATTTCATTATCTCATTAATTTTATTAATTGTTAAGATGTATCTAATTGTAAATTTCTCTTCTCAGGAAAGTGTCTTAAGTCCCATCTTTGGAGATACTAATAATCAGAATATTGTGAATACCAAAAGTATAGTTAGGTTGGCATAACTCATCTGCGAGGGGAACAGAGATCTGTCAAGTAGAAAAGATGCTCATAACTGTAATGATTTCATAGGGGCCATTCATTACTTAGTGTATTTTCTTAATATGGAATGAATCACTGTGAGTAAAATATTTCATTTTCTTCATTTATTTAGTTGAGCCATTCAATTCATACAGATTGGAAAACAATTTCCACGGGAAGATCAACTGGTATTTTGTGACTTCATATGGATGCTACATCCTGAAGGGTATCTTCAGGGTGTCTGAGCACTGAGGAATAGATATGTTTTAGATGAAACTTTCATAGTGATAGAGCATTTACTGAGATGTAAACAGTCTTAGAGTGCAAGTGATCCTATTATCTAAGGTGACTTCATAGAAAATGTAGATAAGATTGGGAAGGTACAGGGGACTTCAAGGAAATCGTCAATGAGGAAATGGACCCATTGGGAGGGACCTGAAAATCATGAGTTCATACCACATAACTGTTCACCTTTGTTCTGCTTTGTAGAAACAATATATGAACAGATCCAGATCCAGATTTTCTTCTGGATGAAGGGAAGCTTACAAGAAGGAAACAAATAGTTAACTTTTCACTGGCATGCTTACCCTGTTTAGTTTTTAATTGCTAATAGTGGATAGTGAGATGTTGTTATCCTCCATTGATAGAGAGGATTTTTTAAAAAGGCAAAAAAGTGGAAGGCAATGACACCTATGTTATCTCCCAATGTATTTTTGAATGACTGTGATCCAACTTCCAGTTTCAAGCTGCTTAAGTCCATTTCAAAGGCAGGTCCAAATCTAGTACTCACATGTTTGGGACAATTGAAGTCAGCAGGGTCTGTGGCTTCCCAACCTAGACTTTATTGTATAAAGGGTAAACAGCCACTTGTAATTTAGTGAGTAAGTGCAGATCTTTCATGATGCACATACCAGCCCAACTGAAAACTGGTCAATTTCTGTGTTTCACAGTGGCATTCATAAGGCCTCTATGGAGCATTATCCCATGCCTGAGGGTCATTACTCTTCCACAGGGGCACTGACAGTTGTGATAAATGGTGATACCTTGGAAGAGGAGTGTTTGGATGTTTAAACAGATTACATTTTCCATTAGATCACATCTTAGAATGTCTACTCATGTGGACAGTGAGGATGGAATCAGGACAAATGACATGTGAACTAGTGAGATTCAGGTGTACCAATCATCGTTTCTATGGGGGAAATATTGTGCATCCTGTCACAATATTATATGTGCTTCAAAGCAATGGATGATAACCATATATAGCTGCTGAGATGCTGGGATGTCGACAGGCGTGAGATTCTGTCCATCACTATTATCTACAACAAGACTCATTACCTGCCAACCAGTAAACATCCCATTTACACCATCTGCAATAAATTAAAAAGTGACGAAAAGAATCAAGATCAGTTTGAGTTGCAACGTGATTGTCAAGTTCATTTTCATCTCTAGAAGCCCTTTACTTCTCTGAGAGACTTTAGGGAAAAATATATGATGAAGAAATTGAGGAATAGCCTTGCAGTGGCAGATCTGATAATTGTCAGGTTTTTAACCAGAAATTTACAAATACAATTAGCTTCTTCAAGTATAAGAAAAGTCCAGGCCTTTGTCAATTCCCTTTGTCTGCACTTCTCTGTCTCTAGTTTTCTGGTATGCTGGAGCTGGGAATTAGTGTTTGATACTCCTAAATTGATGCTGACTACAGTGAGAAATATTTCATAAAAATGTATATTTCAACATAAACTATGAGGCAAAGCTGCCACTGTAACCAGAGAGGAAGTGATGATTAGTTTCTAATTTACACGTGCAGTGATTTCTTTGGCAAGTGTGAATTCCATGTCCTTTGGTAAGGTTCTTTGTAGCTGTTCCTACTTGAAGCAGTTTGGGGGATATTAAAAAGATACAGAGATCTGCTGACACTTGAGGCTATTTAATTTATATGTAAGCAAACTAGCTGCCTATCCAGATTACACATGTGGGTCATCTAGTGGTAGAAACTGCAGAGCCAAAGATCAAATAGAAGTCTTGTGTACAAGCCACATGAGAAATACTAGAAGGATTTGACATTTATTCATATGCATCACCTTTTATGAGAATAATTTATTGTTTTTTGTCTTCCTTTTTCTTCATCAGATATTCCATCAATGAGGAAATAACTTTTATTCTTACCTTAG
Organism: Homo sapiens; assembly: GCF_000001405.40. Classification (NCBI taxonomy): domain Eukaryota; kingdom Metazoa; phylum Chordata; class Mammalia; order Primates; family Hominidae; genus Homo; species Homo sapiens. Next base: position 114,554,501 of record NC_000003.12, on the reverse strand, counting down.
AGATGGGAGTTCTCAGTGTTGCCCAAGGTATTGCTCTGAGCAAAGAGACCAATTCTGAAATGAGGATATTGAAGATAAGCCCTTCTGAAAATAGCCCTTGCTTTGCAGTTGGATTTCACTCCCAGAAATCCATCTCTCCCTGCCACAAAATGCCCTTGTGGTAGTAACGTGGGAAGATTATATATTACCTCATCTCCTTACAAAGAAAAGGACACGTGCTATGGGAAAGCTTTGTTTCTTTTAATCATTTAGGGCCTCCCCTGCCTTCAATATTTCACTGAAGTGGTCCTTGGTTTCCTTTAGAAAGACACTCTAGTGAGAGAGGAAGAAACAGAGTAATGAAAATGATGACCTCATCTGGAAAGACTTTCTAACCAAAAAGAATAAAGGGATAAGCTGTGACCCCATCCATGAATACGTGAGGCTGACAAGGATAGATAGGTATATGAAGTTTTGACTGCTTCTTCAATACTTTGCCTGGAACTGGTCTATATGATATTACAATTTGGCAGGAGACATCATCTCTTTATCACAAGCTCATCTGTACATTTTTAAGGGGAAAGATGCAAACCTTTATGTAGGAGATTTTTAGGGTTACTGACTTTAAATGTGCTATTATAAGGAAGATAAATATCACATTATGGGAATATGGAAGCTATTTTGCAGAACCTAGCATGGGAGTGAATGAGTTTTATTGTTCCTTCCTCTTCTCATCTACTCAATCCTGAACTTGAACACTATATTAATTCTACTGGGACAAAGTTAATTGCTGATGGGTTCACAGAATTATAGAAGTATAGACTTTACTTCTCTAGAAATAAAATCTGATTATGTTTAAGTCATTTCAGTCCTGAATGGCACATTTTCAAACTACAATAGAAGGAATGTACCAGATAAGTTATACTGTAAATTTATGATGTTCATTTTAACTAATATAAACTGGACCTGGCTAATAATAAGACTGAGTTAGGAAAGCTATAGTTCATCTCTATAGCATCAGAAAAGGAAAGCCCAGTATACTTGTAGTAAATGTACATATAATCAAACACAAAATCCCAATTTTTCAGATTTTTCACTGATTTTCCAAGGACCAAAGAAATGCTTGGAAGAGGATGGTATGAAGAGGCTAAGTGTTCATGGAGTGGAAGTTAAATTATACTTTCAATTATTATATTTTTTCTACAAAATTGCCTAATGTACATTGCTAGAAATTGGTATAAACAGAGCTACTATGCTCATGAAGTATTGATTAATACTTTGTGTACCACATCATACATTTATATAGAGTATAAAATGGTGGAGTTCTTAAGGTCCTTATATGTCACTAATATCCAATTGCTGTGGAAGTCTTATCATGAAGTCTTGGATTGGATTGCTTCTCAAATCTAAAAGCCCAGTTAAACATAAGGCATTGCTCCCAGTTGCTTTCTTGGCAAAACATCATATAACTGTCTCAAGAAATAAACGTGGATTTGGAGAGAAAAGGGTAAATTTGTGAAGCTATATTGAGGACACTTCTTGGAGTGACCCAGCATCACTAGTTTAGCTTGGACTTATTTTTTGTGCATTTATATAAAATAGAATGATTGAAAACAATAATTCTGAAGGCAAAAATGTAACACGAAGTAACAGACACCTTCTTCACATGTATCACAAATTTGAAGCTTCCACCTTTGTCATGAATGAGCAAATAGAGAGAGACCTGGCCTTTCTGTCTAGCTTCCTCTTAAAAGCCTCTTAATCCAACATAAGAGAGTTTTATATATTTTTTTAACAACAACAAACATGAATCAAATTGCCTGGTATAGCAGCCAGTGGCCACATCTGCAGCAAAGACTTTTTTGTGGGAGCTCCCAAAGCTCATAACCATGGAGTGAACCATAATTATATTGTTTAGAAATCCATGTCAGAGAAAAAGCTTTTTTGACTTTAACCATTTCCCATTAATTTTGGGCGGTTTGGAAATAGGCCAGAGAAACATTTTACCAAGTTTCTGTAACTTTTCTATTATTTTAATGGTTCTAAAGCAGAACTGATTAGTGAATGACTAAGGGAAGTGGAAAAAAAAAAAAACAGGAAGAGTCAAGTAAAAAGCTCAAAAAGGTGTCACTGTCCTTGATTTTGTGATCTTTTTGGGATAGATTTCCTAATCTTTGATGTTTTCTCTCTTCATGACCATTCCAGAGAACTTCAGCTAGAGACAAAATAATAAGGAAATACAGTTAAGCTATGTGGTAGTGAATAAATACCTGGATATCTAGAATTTCCAAGTTTTGTTTTGTTTTGTTTAGAGACAAGGTCTCGCTCCGTCACCCAGGCTGGAGTGCAATGACAAATCATGACTCACTGCAGCCTCCACCTTCTGGGCTAAATGATCCTCCCACCTCACCCCCTGAGTAGCTGAGATTATAGACATGAGCAACCATGCCCAAATAATGTTTTAAAATAATATTTTGTAGAGAAGGAGTCTTACTATGCTGTCCAGGCTGGTCTCACACTCCTGGCCTCAAGTGATCCCCCCACATGGGCTTCCCAGAGTGCTGGGATTATAGATGTGAGCCGCCACTATATTTTTAGCTGAAGATGAGTTTCCATTTATTTATAGAAATAAAAGTGTTCTTAATAAAAGTTCTGTGAGCTTTATTTCTTTGGAAACCATACCTAGAAGTTTACAAACACATCTGGGGTACAATTGGGACACGTCTACTCTATGTTTCACCTCTACTCACATCCTTGTAGTGTTTCTTATAGGCAAGGAAAATACTTCATATTGAACATATGATAAGTGGCAACTTTGCTGAGACTAATTTATAAGAATAGAAGCTGAAATATTATCCATGGTTTCCAAAGAAAAGCATTTTTTCCTGAATAGCCCACTTCCAATCTATCATTCTTCACTTTGTTGCTTATGTATATCTCTATCTTCATTTCCATATATCAAATATTACCTATCCTCAAAGGCTCATCCCAAATGCCTCTAACTTTCTGAGGCCCTTATTGCTTACTTCTCTTTAGCTCTCCCATGCAACGAAAGTCATTGACTTGTATATACCACCCGCCCACAATAAATTTTTGTGCACTTCTTTTGTAAAGCTTATTACTTAATTTGCATAATTGTCTATAAATTTGTCTAATCCCTCTGCTAGGTATGAACTCTTTAAGTGAAAGAACTTTAATACTGTGTCTTAGGACAGGACACAGTAGGCACACAGTAAATATCGTTACGCAAATTGAATCTCTTTTATTGTGAACAGGAATTTTTTTCCAGAATTTTCCATACTATTTACAGAATGATAGACTGATAAATGCATCACTATATTCAATCGAATATATTTTTAATCGATTAAAAAACAATCGATTTAAAGACAATCGAAATAATTTTTAATCCTTGTGAGTCTACAAACCCCCCTTGTTTCAGATGCTCAGTATCCTCTTTAAAAAAATTTATTTTGGCCAGTTGTGGTGGCTTATGTGTATAATTCCAGCACTTTGGGAGGCTGAGCTGGGCCGATCCTTTGTGGCCAGGAGTTCAACACAAGCCTGGCCAACATGGCAAAACCCCGTCTCTGCTAAAAATACAAAAATTAGATGGACATGGTGGCACATACCTGTAATCACAGCTACTCGGGACGCTGAGGCACGAGAATCGCTTGAACCCAGGAGGCAGAGGTTGCAGTGAGCAGAGATCACGCCACTGCACTCCAGCGTGGGTGACAGAGTGAGACCCTGTCTCAAAAAACAAACAAACTATATCTTGGGATCTGTAAAATTACTCATAAGTTATGAGTTTTTAAAAGTAGAGCAAATCCACAAACTGAAGGAAAATAAAGAGATCAAGAATGGAACCAGAAAATAAGAAATTATAACTTTCTTTATAAAAAGTAAATGAGAATCTTTAAAGACAACCCCCCAAAAAGCATTATTTACAGAGTTAAAACAATGCACTTATTAACTTGCCATCTTCAAGGCTTCCTTCATAAGTGAAGAGGAAATATCACTGAAGAATTAAAATATTGTCTGGCATCAGGCTTACTCAAAGCTGTTGACAAATCAGCTTACAATTTGGACTTCAGCCTATCCACAGTGAATGTGGATCAGTTTGGCTAGTGCATATACTCTATGCACATCATCAACCAAACTATGGAAAAAGTGATGTAAATATGACTGACCGCTGACCCAAACTGTAGTGAGGAAATATTTTAATTGCGTAAGAAAAATGAGATGGAATTTGATAAGGGAAGAAAAAATAAATAAAGAAGTTATAGGGTGGGCACAGTGGCTCATGCCTGTAATTCCAGCACTTTGGGAGGCCAAGGCAGGCGGATCGCAAGATCAGGAGATTGAGACCATCCTGGCTAACACGGTGAAACCCCATCTCTACTAAAAATACAAAAAAATTAGCTAGGCATGGTGGCGGGCACCTGTAGTCCCAGCTGCTCAGGAGGCTGAGGCAGGAGAATGGCATGAACCCAGGAGGTGGAGCTTGCAGTGAGCTGAGATCGCGCCACTGCACTCCAACCTGGGCCACAGAGCAAGGCTCCATCTCAAAAAAATAAAAAAGAAGTTATATAGAAGTAGAAAAAATATTTTATGGAAGGAAAATTGAGGAAACAGAAAAGCAAAATATTAAAAATCAGTTAGTTGGGGCCAGTTGCTCAAGCAAGTAAAATGTCAGGTACAAGGTATACCTCTTAACTGATAGAGTCACCAAAACTCTATTAACAGCATCAGTCAAAAAAAAAAAAAAAAGAAAAAGGTCAACTTGTAACTCTGTGAAATCAACTCTGCCCATAGCTTTCTAGAAAAAAAATCCTTAGTGTGATGATTAGAGAAATGAAAAAAGAGAGAGGCTCAAAGGACAGTAGTAAACTGTTTATGTCCTAAATTGGTCATCATTAGCACTTATATAGTTTGGTGGAAATTGCTGTGTTAAAGCCAAATTTCTGTTTACAAAAAGAAATTGATGCTAGTAGAGAATGAATTGTACTGCATATATTCAAGATATGAGGAGTCACTGTGGTACCAGTAATATTACCATGTTGAAAAAAAATTAGCAGTAAAGATATACATTGAACATTTAACAGAATTTTGCTATTACTTTGATAATATCTTAATAAAGAACATAGAAACATAGGGCTGATAGAAGAAGTGTTATATGTAATTGTCCCACTGTACTAAGTCATATAGTACAAAATTAACACTGAATCCATCTTAAAGAAAGTATTTTATCATAAATAATATACAAGCTGGCCTGCTTAAGAAAAGAACTCATTTAAAGTTATAAGGGCAAGTGAATGAGACTATCTGAAATGAGCACATAAAATACTCTTTGATTAGATATTTAGTGAAATGTCATAAAAGGATTTTGTTTCCTGGAATAAGAGGAGCATCTGCCGTTATATAGAATAGCTATAGAATTGTCATCTTTCACATTTTCTCAGTAGCCAAAGGTCAGAAATATATATAGTAATACCTTAGTATATTAAGAGGCTTTCATATGTTTGTTTACTTTTTTCAGTACCTTTTCTCTTTAACCACTGTGAAGAAGTTATTTTCTTATTCATGGCTAGTTTTCTTCAATGTACCTTTTCAGTTCTTAATAATTATGAAGGAATGAGCTTCCTACATCCATTGTTTATGCAACCTTTGCTTTATATTAATGTTAAGAAACAGTCCAGTCATAGGCCAAGTGTGGTGGCTCACGCATGTAATCCCAGCACTTTAGGAGGCTGAGGCAGGTGGATCACTTGAGGCCAGGCATTTGAGACCAGCCTGGCCAATATGGCGAAACCCCGTCTCTACTAAAAATACAAAAATTACCTGGGCATGGTGATGCACACCTGTAATCACAGCTACTTGGGAGGCTGAGGCAGAAGAATCACTTGAACCCAAGAGGCAGAGGTTGCAGTGAGCTGAGATCATGCGACTGCATTCCAGCCTGAGCAACACAGTGAGACTCTGTCTCAAAAAGAAAAAAAAAAAAAGAAAATAAAAAGAAAAACAAAAGAAATAGTGCAGTTGTGTTTTTAAAACTTGATATCCTTTTGGCACACCTGTAGATGAATGTAATTCTGAGACTAATAGATCTCTTAGGTCTCTTCCCATCCTTAGACAGAAGTTGCATGAGAGAAATGAGATAATGTAAAAGGTCAGTACTGAAGGTCAACTCCCTGTAGGTTTTCATCACACCTGAATTGAGGATGAACAGAGCCCACTTCAGTTGGATATCTACATGGTGCTTTGTTCAAAAAAAGTGTGAGTTTTCCTTTCTCCTGTCACCCACAAACAAGAAAGAATCCACAATATAACTATTTGCAGTTCTGATACCATGGCCATAAGGCTAATCTGAGTGAGGCAGAGAATATGCACATGCACATGTGTCTCTTACAGAGAAACACATGGCCTTCTATCAGGACTGATCTGGGTGCAAATTTAAACCAAAAGCCATCTTATTCACTGGCTTCATCCAAATGCATAACCACTATTTAGGAAAAGGAAGATATCCAAGTACACTAAGAAAAATTATTGATTTTTAAATTGTGTCAAGGTGGCATATCTAGCACTAATGAAAGCACTGTTATGTCAGTGGCCTAAGAATTACAAATAATAGAAAATTAATATAAAAATGAAAATACACTCTTTAAAAAATGTTGCAGTAAAGTTTAAACTAGTTTCTGTTCAGTAATAGAACTTTTTTATGTTTTCTTATTGTAAACCTTGCACAAGTCTTATTGTAAACTTTACACCTAGTATGCACTTAATAAATACTTGAAATAAAGATTTCAATTGAAAGAAAATTGTAAGCTGTTATGTAACATTAGGGCAAAGGAGGTATTACTCCTAAATCTGTGTGCCTATAGTAACACACATGCATTCACATGCATACACCCCTTAATCATTGGGATGCTCTACCACTGACCAGAGCATCTTCTGCTCTAGCCACCAGTTTTCTTTTTCAATTACTGTCCATAGGACCCTTTCCTGAGGCCCCAGCACTACGATCATTTTTAAATCTTTTCTTCTTTTGCCCTTCATTACCATTCAGTCAGTCACTAAATTCTGCCAGTTCTCACCCAGTAATATCTCTTCATTCAGCCTCTTTCTTTTATTTATTTTCAAGGGCTGACACTAGACCAAGTGGCCCCTTATCTCCTTTCTGAACCGCTTGAATAGGCCACCCTTCCTTCAAACTATCTTCACAAAACAATTTTTTTAAGCATCTAGGATACCTGCTCCCACACATAATTTTCTATGTCTCATTTCTTGGCCTTGGATTTTATACTGCTGCTTTTCTACCTGAAGACTAGAATCCGAATTCCTCATCTAGCTGTAAGGCCACTCTACTACCAGTTATCCTTCTTGGCCTCCTTTTCTTTCCCAACTCCAAGGTCTCCATCAACTTCTGTTTCCCTGGAATGGAATGAACAAGAGCTTTGGCTTAGCATTGGTAATCTTTACAAACTGGTTCCTCATGCATCCCCATGCCCCTGTAGTTACCCCCTACTCTTTACTGCTCTGCTTTCTCTATGTTAGCCAAGTTGGTGGGCTTTCCAGTTCCCATTTCCATGCCTTTGTTTATGCTTTCTCCACTCTATGGTATTCTTCTCTCTCACCTTGGAAAATGTATATCCATTACTTTCTTCCAAATTCTTTTTTTAACCCTATTTGCTCTGCTTAAGTCTTTGTACACTGTGTGTACACACTTTTGTGTTGGTCTATAAGTGCTGTGCAGTTTTGCCTGTATAGGTTTTGTTTTTCCCTCATTCCCAGCAAGAATTATAAACATCTTCAGGGAGTGGAGGGCATCTCCTTAATTATGATACAGAATTCTCCACGTGCAACTTTTTCAGTAAATGTTTGCTGACTTCTTCATGCCAAAGGTGACCACTAGATATTAACAAGGCATTTGAATTCTCCAGTCTGGATTAAAAAAAAAAAAAAAAGGTGTATGTTGCAAAAGGAAGGACTCACTGCATATCCATATATCCATAACCCACTAGTCCAGACTAGAACCTTCAGAATGCTTGAGGAACAGGTAAAGCACTCAGGACTCCTCCTGGGTGTTTGATTGGAAGGTCTCAGATGTGTTCTACCATGTAAAGAAAGTCAAAGGACCTATGTTGCCTGGCCAGGCAATAGTTTTCAGAGGTAGTGGGCCAGGTCCACCATTCGGTAGAGGAAGTTTGCCAAATGTTGTTATAATATTCAAATGGGTTTATCCTTAAATGAGCACATTTGATAAGCATGCCCACCCAGGCTGCTTTCTGAAGATGTAAATGGGCAACAAAGCACAAGTGTGACTCTATCCGCTGCCAGAGACTGACTGGCTCCAAAAACATCTACACCCACCGCTTTCCACTGTGTAAGATGTACCGATTTACTCTAGTTGTGCCAGCCCAATGTTTGAGAATTATCAATGAATCAGTAAGGGAGAAAGACCATCAAAATTTTTCCTGTACTTATGGATCTCAAAAATTCTTCATTAAAAATAATTTTTAAGCTGACTGTCTCAAGTTTCTGTAGGGACAGCTATTATGTAAAGAAATCTCCTTCTGACTCTATTTTAGCCCACCTAATAAAATCTGATGGCAGCACATGGATTGCTTCAGGGAAAATAGTTTCGGGGTTAAAAAAAGACTTAGAATTAAACTTTATATCTTGCTCCAAAAGGACTCTGTCTCTGAGAGTATATGGAAACGATGTTTTTGGCCATGAATTAAAGAACTGTTTTATGAAGATGGTTCAGATCTAAGATTTGAAGAGGCCATTACTTTAACTAGAAGCTTGTAATATGTACTCATAAGTAACTGTGAAGACCCCCTCCTCCAGCCTGATGAAGAGAAACAGACTATTGAGAAGTCCTTGGTGTCCCTACTATGGGTTATTAATCATAATAACATTTTAACTGCCCTATTGCTAATCTCTACCTTATATTGCAAGGTGGATATTGTTATCCCTAATTTACAAATGAGAAAATTGTTGCTTAAAGTGATCAAGTGGCTCACACAATGGTGTACCACTAGTAAGTAGCTTTGGTAAACACTGATGTCTCTGGTACCAAAGCCAGTGTTCTTGATCCTCGCACCCTGATGCCTTTTAACTAAATTGCACAATACATGTGAAAGCATTTTGCAACCTAAAAAGTGGTATACAAATGGTAGTTTATATGAGAGACAGAAAGTCCTGGGAAGGGCAATTTCCAGATCACCCTGAAGAAGGAATAAAGAAAGAATGAATACTCTAAAAGTACTAGCAGCTCTTTTAGTCATATACAGAACTCCATAAATCATTCTTCTCTGGTATTTGGAAGCATTCAGAGATAAAAGAGTTCATATTCCTTTTTGACTAGACTACCCAGAAGCATACATATCCAAAGCGGGTTTTCCGTCCTTCATATACAGAGATGATGCTCATGGATAATGCCCCCAGGAAGAAAGAAGAGGTGTGAGCAGAATTCTTATATTTTCATACATATGTCAACTTCATGAGCCATTTCATTTTAGTTTTCTGACAGAGTTTCTTCATGATAACCACATGAAATAGGTACTCATTCTTCTAGATTTATTGTTGGAGTAAAATTAGTTCCTAGACATACTATCTTCCATGTTTTGGTATTAAATAAACACTGAATGAATGACTCATAGGATTTTTGACATAGCTGAGAGATACTCTCACATATTTGAAAACCTAGTTTTGGGGCCATTTGTTGTGGTGCACACCTGTAATTCCAGCACTTTGGGAGGCCAAGGCATGTGGATTGCTTGAGCTCAGGAGTTTGAGACCACCCTGGCCAACATGGCAAAACCCCATCTCTACAAAAAAATACAAAAATTAGGCAGGAGTGATGGCATGTGCCTGTAGTTCCAGTTACTCGACAGGCTGATGTGGAAGGATCACTTGGGCCCAGGAGGCAGAGGCTGCAGTGACCCAAGATGATGCCACTGCACTCCAGCCTGGGCAACAGAGTGAGACCCTGTCAAAAAAAAAAAAAGAAAGAAAGAAAAGAAAGAAAGTGAAAGAAAAAGAAAGAAAGAAAGAAAGAAAGAAAGAAAGAAAGAAAGAAAGAAAGAAAGAAAGAAAGAAAGAAAGAAAGAAGAAATCTAGTTTTTAAGAGTGCTACAGGTAATTTTATTGGTGTTAGGTTATGTGCCTTTTTATCTTAAATAGATTTGTTCTTCAAATCATTGTATTTTTATTGATTTGTTTTCATAATTTCATGGTTGGCAATTCTTGGCATTTTAGAAAGAAGGTAAAAATTTGTAAACAAATACTTAAATGATTTAAATAAGCTATTGTTTCAAAATTTCTTTAACATAATTAAACTTAAATGGTCACTGCTTTATATTTAATTTATCTTTATGACCAAATCCAGTAAGTCTAACTACAGCTAGTCTTTCCTTAAGGGTCACAGGAGATAAGAATGTTGTTCTCACTGTTAAAGCAGAGTTGTTCACTGCCTACCACAGTGCCAGAGAATAGTAGGTGCTCAATGAATAGTTGTGGAATAAATCATCTGTACTTTGTCATTTGGTTTTATGTTTCCTGGAGTGAAAAGGGAGGCATTTAAATTAACAATACTTACCTACTTCCTGAGATTTTTTCATGCTTACTCTCAAAGGTAATTTTTGTATGAAAAATCTTTGAAGAAAAAGACTTCAAAAGTTCTTGAGTTAAGCTATTATAAAAGAGAACTTTTTCACTACTCAGAAAATAGCCAATGCGTTCTTCATTTTTATGACCATTAAAATCTTAACTGTTTGCTTGATTTTAAAAGTATAAACTGTATTGTAATAAATATATGCCAATGTTGTTAAGAAACTTGAGAAATATAAATCTTTGAGTATGGAAAGCTAGAGTCCTTGGCTCATGCTGGAAACAGCCAGTTTTCTAATAGAGTTTATAGTAGCCAAGGGTTTTATAGTCAATTTACTAGTTGTTGTTAAGAAAGGAAAGTACCAAGAAGAAAGGCAACTTGGTGCATATCACAGCAAGTCGGAGATGGGGGCTAAGGCTTGAATCAGTTGATATAGTCCTGATAACTCTAAGTGATAATGCAGCTTATTGGTCCAGCTGCTCCCCTCTATTCAGAGAAATCTCATCTACACCATTGCTTTAACATAGGGAGAGACAAAAGGACTCAGAAATTATTGGTTATACAGTTAGCCCTCAGTATTTATGGGTTCTACATTTGTAGATTTAATCAACCACACATCAAAAATATTTGGAAAAAAAACAATAAAAAATAACAATATACCAAAAAAAAGACAAATTAAAAATACCCTATAACAACCACTTACCTAGTGTTTATTGTATTAGATATTATAGGTAACCTAAAGATGGTGAGAAGTATAAGGGAAGGATGTGCATAAGTTATATGTAAATACTGTGCCACTTCATATGAGGGACTTGAGCATCTGCAAGTCTTAGTATCTGCAGTGGGGTCCTGGAATCAGTCCCTCGAGGATACCAAGGGACAGTTGTATGTTTTTCTGGATATTATATGTGTATGAGATTTTTTTGCTTTCAGTAATTGTGATTCATAGTTTCAGTATAGATCTTTCCAGCTTTCGTTTAAACCCATTTGTTGCATCGTATTATAGTACTCCCAGGAACAAATTTTGGTTGTGAATGTGCCAGGAACAGTGCAGTAAGTTACCAGTCTTTTGAAGAAAGCTATTAAAGAATAGGTATTTAAACCTTTGGAAAGGAATTTGACTATGTTATTCTGAATGGTTCTGATTCACCTGAACCCTTCCTGTGTACCTCACTGCCAGAGGAGAAAAACCAAGTAGGTAGAACACATGTATCTTTTGTGTAGCAGTCTGCTAGACCTCAAATGAGATTACTGTTGAAAGGAAAAAAACAAATTTCCTTTTCATTACACAAGGTAACTTAGCTGCTTTCAAATGCAAAAACACTTTCTCCCACAACCTCCATTCTCCCTTCCCCAGCCCCTCCTCTTTAATTCCTGTCTGGAATGGAGTCCTCCCAAATGAGGATAATCCTGCCTTAGCTGTTTACTCACTTGGTTACCTTCCTGGGCTCTGCACCGTCCACAACAGGCTTTGCCATTTTTTATTTATTCCTGCCAGAATGCACTTAGGAGTTTTTATTATAGTTATGGTTGAGGTGGCACTTTAGCTCTAAGCTCTTATATTTATGATTTATAACTTTCTCTCTAAATTGCATGTTGGGCTAGAATTTCTCAAGCACATTTTCTATTTAGACACAAATGTTTCATAAAATTTGAAGAAAATATTGGGCATGGCAGCCCAATATCCAAGAATTCATTTAACTCACCTGCCTTCAGAGTTAGCTGATGCAGCTCAGTGCATCATGTATTAAATGTTATCTGGGCATTCCATAGTAGGCTATAAACAAATACCTAACTTAATGAAACTATTGTGAAAAAAATAATTCTAGGTATCTTTCAATAAAATGAATTTTAAATTATCATTGTTTCATATTTCCAAAATACCTGTAGACATCCAGATGATCATTAAATTATGATTACTCATTCTTTAATAGTAATAGTTGATCTATTACTATAAACTCCAAGAGAGTTTTAAAGAGCATGTGTTACATATATTACTTCACTCGTTCTTCCTAATAATCCTACAAGCAGGTATTCTTACTCTGATAATAACATTCAGAGAGGTTTAATAATTTGATGACAGTTTCCTCAGCTAGTCCTATTAATAGTATTAACAGGATTCCAGTCCCTATTCACCTTTGCTTGTTCTGCTAGATGCACCCATAAACCTAAATATTCTGAGTTACTCTTTCAACATTAATCCCACATGAATATGCTTTGTCATATGTTGAAGAAAAGGTCTGTAGGTACTATCACAGTCCACAGGTTGTTTGGTTTGTTTATTACATAAATGCTCTTTCCTTCTCTAGGGGATGGCTAGTGTGTAATCAGAAGTGAAGATTCAAGGATTTTTAGAGGAAATGGGCAAATTTGTAAACAGGAATATGGTTATCACTCAAATAGGGCATTGTAGTTTAAAAAAGAATCACACTTTTCCAGCCATATTGATTATGTAAAACTAGGTATCCACAAGTTGAATCCTGATCTGTTGTGCTTTATGTTCTTTCCTGGGAACTCTACAACACACACATTTAAATGAAACATATATTGTAGAAAACCATTGGAGGAATGTTGTAGAAATGACAGAGAGTAGCACTAGAAACCTTAATTTTAAATTTCATGACTTTTGTGCAATTAGAAGCTCAACCTTAACATTGCATTAACTTAGATTTTTTGCATTTAATCATAGATACTGGGTTAAAGCTATGGGAGTTAACATTTTAAGCCTCCATTAATGGTTGTAATCAATTTTTTGTATTATTTTTTGCTAAAATAATCAAAAGGGCATTTAACCTGGACAAGAAGTAAATCTGGGATTCTAGAGATTAATATTAAATCTGCTAATGTATGGTCTTACTATTCCCTGGAAGCCTAGGTAATCTGATCCTATATTCAAGAGTTTACAGGTAACAAGAATCTCAGGAAAAAGTCCTAGGGTTCAGTATTTCTCTTTAAATCGTCATAGTAGCATTGTTTTTTTAGCTTCTCAGTGGGATGAATTTTAAGCAAATGCAGGGTGGGGATACAAGGATAAAAGGAATTGACATAAAAACTAAAGGAATTGCTTAATTTGTAAATTTAACCCTGTACCATGATTCTTCATTAGGGATATTTGCTATACTGATTCAGTGCCAAGCACAGGGGGCAAATGGGACAGAAAGGGCACTAACTATATTGAAGATGACACTAGAAATTTGGAGGGCTCTTAATAATTAGGTACTTAAGCTCACCTAGAGAAGTGATTAGCGTTTAGAAGTGGAGACATGGCTACAGGAACACAGATAAATTAGAAGGGAACAAAATGTCCGGTTTTCCATAGTTCTTTTAAGCAACTGTAGCCTGCACTGGGGATAAGGGAATACTGTCCATGCTGCTTACACAGCATCCCACAAGTGCCAGTCTGTTTGGTACCAGTACATTGGACTTTGGTGTTACAGATGTAGCCTAGGTATGAGGAGCCCTGGGTTTGTTTCATATCTCTTTCACTAACAAACCAGATACTCTCAAATAAATCACTCACTCTCCTGATTTTTCCACCTTTCTGCTTATGGATGTAATGCCTTCCTCTCAGATAATACTAATATTTATAACATAAACTTAAAAATTATGGGTTGATTTTCTAGTTTATGTGCACAGAGGTGTTGATAATATTCTCTGATGGTTGTTTGTATTTCTCTGGGGTCAGTGGTAATATTATCCTTTGCAAACTAACACAGCAACCAAAGAAAACCACAGAAAACCAAATACCGCATGTTCTCACTTATAAGTGGGAGCTAAATGATGAGAATACGTGGACACATAGAGGGGAACAATACAAACTGGGGCCTTTCGGAGCATGGAGTATGGGAGGAGGGAGAGAATCAGGAAAAATTACTAATAGGTACTAAGCTTAGTACTTCATTGATAAAATAATCTGTACAACCCCCATGACACAAGTTTACCTATATAACAAACCTGCACTTACACCCCTGAACTTAAAATAAAAGTTAGAAAAAAAAAAAAAAGGTGGGTTGAAAGCAATTTACAACTAAGAGAAGATGAACATTTATAGCACAAGAGAGACTTGGCAAAAATGTGGTGTGATCTTACTTGGGTCTAGAGATACAAAGATGGATGAATCATTTTTCTCGAGCAGCTCAGAGTCTAATGAGGGCAGTGGGGAACTGGAAGGGTGGGTATAGCCTTAGCAAAGAGATAAAAACAGAATATGACACGAGTGATAATAGAGTGGTACAGTAGAGGAGATGACGTCTGGATATTTGAAAAGCAGTAAGTATGTAGGTGTAAGTAAACATTACTAATGATACGATGCAATGGAAAGAACACTAGCACAGGAGCTCATTCTGTCCTCGAGGCTTACCATGTGTGATCCAAAGTAATACTCTGTTCCTGTGTTTCTTTATCTGTAAAATGGGTATAACACCACATTGCTTATGTCCTAAGGTAGAGAAGCAAATAAGAGCTGTGTATGTGGAAGCACTTTGAAAACTTTACACTGCTATACAAATGTCTAACATTATTACTATTGTATCGCCAAAAATAGTGGAGAATCAACATAACAAAATGGGTGATTCAGAACTAAACTTATTTCACCAAAAATGTCAAATAATTATGAAAGAAGTAAACCGTGAGACTTAAAATGTATGAATGATGCATCTGAATAAAATTTTGTTACATGCAATTGATATGTTCTGGCCACCAACTAGCAGAATAATTGTGACTTTCCAAAATTATAATCTTCTAAAGCTAGGAAAGAGAAACTTAAAATTGGAAGGAGCCTGGACACTTATACACTAAAGATGACAGGATGAAAAAGAAGGAGGATTGTGCTTTTCCAAATGTCAAAATTTAAAACGCTAATAAAATCCAATAAACAGGATATTTACCATGGCTACAACAACTAGCAAAGGTTAACTTGGACAAGGACTGGAAACCATTGAAGGTACAGAGGGACAACAATCAATGAGAATGCCAACCCCCGATGAGTTCTAATCTCATTGGCATGTGCTCAAGTCATGGAGCTACTCCTTTCACAGACTGAATGTGACTCTAATCATTATTTTTGAGATTTTTTAATACACATATTATTTCATAACTGTGCTTTTTTTGCATAGCAGAAGTTACTTTTGAATCAAAGTGAGAAAACAGTTCTTAGGTGATTTAACTCCAACAGTTTGAATAAGATGACAGAATGCTCAGACACAAACAGGACCTGTCTCTACACATCTTAGACAGAGAGCAGAATATTCAAACATGTGTATCTTGCACTTAATTTAAACTGCGTGGTTGGTTACCTATCTCTTTGGCAATTCAGTATAAAGTTTTATTACTGTGAAATAGAGTAGGGTAGGGATTTATGTCACACAAAAATGAATTTCCATGGATGGGAACACACATGAAATAATTTAGGTAAGCAGTATGTCAAATGAAAATTTAAGATGTTAGAGCTGGTGGTGAAAAGGGAGGAAGCAAAAGAGGAAGTTTGTGTAATAGATGATAAATATATCACACTGGGGAAAGAAAAAGGACCACAGATACTATATAGGAAGTTATTACTAATGTTGAAGAATTGTGGAAAACATTGAAGAGTGATTTTTAGGGTGAAGAAATCAAAGCAGCCGATTAGTCGAAAAGGGAGTCTCATTTCAATGTCAATGAAAAATGTAACACTTAAAATAAATGTGAGCCTTTATTATTATACCCAGGAAGGAATAGAAACCACAGGTCTAGCTAGAGTTTCTATAGGTTTAGCCATTAGATCTTTTTTTTATTATTATTATACTTTTAAGTTCTGGGATATATGTGCAGAACATGCAGGTTTGTTACATAGGTATACACATGCCATGGTGGTTTGCTGCACGTATCAACCTGTCATCTACATTAGGTATTTCTCCTAATGCTATCCCTCCCCTAGCCCCCCAGCCACCAACAGGCCCCAGTGTGTGACATTCCCCTCCCTATGTCCATGTGTTCTTATTGTTCAACTCTCACTTATGAGTGAGAACATGCAGTGTTTGGTTTCCTGTTTCTGTGTTAGTTTACTGAGAACGATGGTTTCCAGTTTCATGTCCTGCAAAGGAAATGAACTCATCCTTTTTTAATGGCTGCATAGTATTCCATGTTGTGTATATGCCACATTTTCTTTATCCAGTCTATCATTGATGGGCATTTGGCTTGGTTCCAAGTCTTTACCACTGTGAATAGTGCTGCAATAAACATACATGTGCATGTGTCTTTATAGTAGAATGATTTCTAATACTTTGGGTATGTACTCAGTAATGGGATCGCTGGGTCAAATGGTATTTTTGGTTCTAGATCCTTGATGAATTGCCACGCTGTCTTCCAGAATGGTTGAACTAATTTACACTCCCACCAACAGTGTAAAAGCGTTCCTATTTCTCCACATCCTCTCCAGCATCTGTTGTTTCCTAACTTTTTAATGATCGCCATTCTAACTGGCGTGAGATGGTATCTCATTGTGATTTTGATTTGCATTTCTCTAATGACCAGTGATCATGAGCTTTTTTTCATATGTTCGTTGACCACATAAATGTCTTCTTTTGAGAAGTGTCTGCTCTTATCCTTCACCCACTTTTTGATGGGGTTTGTTTTTTTCTTGTAAATTTGTTTAAATTCCTTGTTGATTCTGGATATTAGCCCTTTGTTAGATGAATAGATTGCAAAAATGTTCTCCCATTCTGTAGGTTGCCTGTTCACTCTGATGATAGTTTCTTTTGCTGTGCAGAAGCTCTTTAGTTTAATTAGATCCCATTTGTCAGTTTTGGGTTTTTTGCCATTGCTTTTGGTGTTTTAGTCATGAAGTCTTTGCCCATGACTATGTCCTGAATGGTATCGCCTACGTTTTCTTCTAGGGTTTTTATGGTTTGAGGTCTTACATTTAGGTCTTTAATCCATCTTGAGTTAATTTTTGTATAAGGTGTAAGGAAGGGGTCCAGTTTCGGTTTTCTGCATAGGGCTAGCCAGTTTTCCCAACACCATTTATTAAATAGGGAATCTTTTCCCCTTTTCTTGTTTTTGTCAGGTTTGTCAAAGATCAGATGGTTGTAGATGTGTGGTGTTATTTTGGAGGCCTCTTTCTGTTCCATTGGTCTATATATCTGTTTTGGTACCAGTACCATGCCGTTTTGGTAACAGTAGCCTTCTAGCATAGTTTGAAGTCAGGTAGCGTGATGCCTCCAGCTTTGTTCTTTAGGCTTAGGATTGTCTTGGCTATATGGGTTCTTTTTTGATTCCATATGAAATTTAAAATTGTTTTTTTCTAATTCTGTGAAGAAAATCAATGGTAGCTTGATGGGGATAGCATTGAATCTATAAATTACTTTGGGCAGTATGGCCATTTTCACGATATTGATTCTTCCTATCCATGAGCATGGAATGTTTTTCCATTTGTTTGTGTCCTCTCTTATTTCCTTGAGCAGTGGTTTGTAGTTCTCTTTGAAGAGGTCCTTCACATCCCCTGTAAGTTGTATTCCTAGGTATTTTATTCTCTTTATGGCAATTATGAATGGAAGTTCACTCATGATTTGGCTCTCTGTTATTGGTGTATAGGAATACTTGTGATTTTTGCACATGGATTTTGTATCCTGAGACTTTGCTGAAGTTGCTTATCAGCTTAAGGAGATTTTGAGCTGAGATGATGGAGTTTTCTGAATACACAATCATGTCATCTGCAAACAGACAATTTGACTTCCTCTCTTCCTATTTGAATACCCTTTATTTATTTCTCTTGTCTGATTGCCCTGGCCAAAACTTCCAATACTGTGTTAAATAGGAGTGGTGAGAGAAGGCATCCTTGTCTTGTGCTAGTTTTCAGAGGGAATGCGTCCAGCATTTGCCCATTCAGTATGGTATTGGCTGTGGATTTGTCATAAATAGCCCTTATTATTTTGAGATACGTTCCATCAATACCTAGTTTATTGAGAGATTTTAGCATAAAGCGGTGTTGAATTTTATCAAAGGCCTTTTCTGCATCTATTGAGATAATCATGTGGCTTTTGTCATTGGCTCTAAACTGCTTATATAATGGATTACATTTATTGATTTGTGTATGTTGAACCATCATTGAGTCCCAGGGATGAAGCCAACTTGATCGTGGTGGATAAGCTTTTTGCTGTGCTGCTGGATTCGGTTTGCCAGTATTTTATCGAGGATTTTCACATCAATGTTCATCAGGGATATTGGCCTTAAATTCTCCTTTTTTTGTTGTGACTCTGCCAGGTTTTGGTATCAGGATGATTCTGGCCTCATAAAAAGAGTTAGGGAGGAGTCCCTCTTTTTCTATGATCTGGAATAGTTTCAGAAGGAATGGTACCAGCTCCTCTTTGTATCTCTGATAGAATTCAGCTGTGAATTCGTCTGGTCCTGGGCTTTTTTTGGTTGGTAGGCTATTAACTACTGCCTCAATTTCAGAACTTGTTATTGGTCTATTCAGGGATTTGACTTCTTCCTGGTTTAGTCTTGGGAGGGTTTATGTGACCAGGAATTTATCCATTTCTTCTAGATTTTCTAGTTTATTTGCATAGAGGTGTTTATAGTATTCTCTGATGGTAGTTTGTATTTCTGTGGGATCAGTGGTGATATCCCCTTTATCATTTTTTATTGTGTCTATTTGATTCTTCTCTCTTTTCTTCTTGATTAGTCTGGCTAGCGGTCTATCTGCTTTGTTAATCTTTTCAAAAAATCAGCTCCTAGATTCATCAATTTTTTGAAGGGTTTTTCATGTCTCTATCTCCTTCAGTTCTGCTCTGATCTTAGTTATTTCTTCTCTTCTGCTAGCTTTTGAATTTGTGTGCTCTTGCTTCTCTAGCTCTTTTAATTGTGATGTTAGAGTGTCAATTTTAGATCTTTCCTGTTTTCTCCTGTGGGCATTTAGTGCTATAAATTTCCCTCTAAATATTAGTTTAGCTGTGTCCCAGAGATTCTGGTACATTATGTCTTTGTTCTCATTGGTTTCAAAGAACTTATTTATTTCTGCCTTAATTTTGTTGTTTACCCAGTAGTCATTCAGGAGCAGGTTGTTCAGTTTCCATGTGGTTGTGTGGTTTTGAGTGAGTTTCTTAATCTTGAGTTCTAATTTGATTGCACTGTGGTCTGAGAGACTGTTTGTTATGATTTCCATTCTTTTACATTTGCTGAGGAGTGATTTGCTTCCAATTATGCGGTCAGTTTTAGAGTAAGTGTGATATGGTGCTGAGAAGAAAGTATATTCTGTTAATTTGGGGTGGAGAGTTCTGTAGATGTCTATTTGGTCCACTTGTTCCCAGGGCTGAGTTCAAGTCCTGAATATCCTTGTTAATTTTCTGTCTCATTGATCTGTCTAATATTGACAGTGGGCTGTTAGAGTCTCCCACTATTATTGTGTGGGAGTCAAAGTCTCTTTGTAGGTCTCTAAGAACTCGCTTTATGAATCTGGGTGCTCCTGTATTAGGTGCATGTATATTTAGGACAGTTAGCTCTTCTTGTTGCATTGATCCCTTTACCATTACGTAATGCCCTTCATTGTCTTTTTTGATCTTTATTGGTTTAAAATCTGTTTTATCAGAGACTAGGATTGCAACCCCTGCATTTTTTTTTGCTTTCCATTTGCTTGGTAAATATTCCTCCATTCCTTTATTTTGAGCCTATGTGTGTCTTTGTACGTGAGATGGGTCTCCTAAATGCAGCACACTGATGGGTCTTGACTCTATCCAATTTTCCAGTCTGTGTCTTTTAATTGGGGCATTTAGCCCATTTACATTTAAGATTAACACTGTTATGTGTGAATCTGATCCTGTCATTATGATGCTAGCTGGTAATGTTGCCCATTAGTTGATGCAGTTTCTTCATAGTGTCGATGGTCTTTACAGTTTGGTGTGTTTTTGCAGTGGCTGGTACCGGTTTTTCCTTTCCATATTTAGTGCTTTCTTCAGGAGCTGTTGTAAGGCAGGCCTAGTGGTGACAAAATCTCTCAGCATTTTCTTGTCCATCAAGGATTTTAATTCTCCTTTGCTTTTGAAGCTTAGTTTGGCTGGATATGAAATTCTGGGTTGAAAATTCTTTTCTTTAAGAATGTTGAATATTGGCCCCCACTCTCTTCTGGCCTGTAGGGTTTCTGCAGAGAGATCTGTTGTTAGTCTGATGGACTTCCCTTTGTGGGTAACCTGACCTTTCTCTCTGGCTGCCCTTAACATTTTTTCCTTCATTTCAATCTTGGTGAATCTGACGATTATGTGTCTTGGGGTTGCTCTTCTTGAGGAACATCTTTGTGGTGTTCTCTGTATTTCCTGAATTTGAATGTTGGCCTGTCTTGCTAGGCTGGGGAAGCTCTCCTGGATAATATCCTGAAGAATTTTCCAACTTGGTTCCATTCTCCCTATCACTTTCAGGTACACCAATGAAACGTAGGTTTGGTCTTTTCACATAGTCCCATATTTCTTGGAGGTTTGTTCATTCCTTTTCATTCTTTTTTCTCTAACCTTGTCTTCATGCTTTATTTCATTAAGTTGATCTTCATCTCTGATATCCTTTCTTCTGCTTGATTGATTCAGCTATTGGTACTTGCGTATGCTTCATGAACTTCTCGTGCTATGTTTTTCAGTTCCAGCAGGTAATTTATGTTCTTCTCTAAACTGGTTATTCTAGTTAGCAATTCTTCTAACCTTTTTTCAAGCTTCTTAGCTCCCTTGCATTGGGTTAGAACATGCTCCTTTAGCTCAGAGGAGTTCGTTATTACCCACCTTCTGAAGCCTACTTCTGTCAATTCCTCAAACTCATTCTCCATCCAGTTTTGTTCCCTTGCTGGTGAGGAGTTGTGATTTTTTGGAGGAGAAACGACATTCGGGTTTTTGGAATTTCAGCCTTTTTAAGCTGGTTTTTCCTCATCTTTGTGGATTTATCTACCTTTGGTCTTTGACGCTGGTGATCTTCGGATGGGGTTTTTGTGTGGACATCTTTTTTGTTAATGTTGATGCTATTCCTTTCTGTTTGTTAGTTTTCCTTCTAACAGTCTGGCATCTCTGCTGCAGGTCTGCTGGAGTTTGCTGGACATCCACTCCAGACCCTGTTTGCCTGGGTACCACCAGCAGAGGCTACAGAACAGCAAACAATGCTACCGGTTCCTTCCTCTGGAAGCTTCATCCCAGAGGGGCACCCACCAGATGCCACCCAGAGCTCTCCTGTATGAGCTGTCTATTGACCCCTGCTGGGAGGTGTCTCCCAGTGAGGAGGCATGGGGGTCAGGGACCCACTTGAGGAGGCAATCTGTCCCTTAGGAGAGCTCGAGCTCTGTGATGGGAGATCTGCTGCTCTCTTCAGAGCTGGCAGGTGGGAACGTTTAAGTCTGCTGAAACTGCGCCCACAGCTGCCCCTTCCCCCAGGTGCTCTGTCCCAGGGAGATGGGAGTTTTATCTATAAGCACCTGACTGGGGCTGCTAACTTTCTTTCAGAGATGCCCTGCTCAGAGAGGAGAAATCTAGAGAGGCAGTCTTTCTACAGTGGCTTTGCCGAACTGTGGTGGGCTCCACCCAGTTTGAACTTCCTGGTGGCTTTGTTTTCACTGTGAGGGGAAAACCACCTACTTAAGCCTCAGTAATGGTGGACACCCCTCCCCCCACCAAGCTTGAGGGTCCCAGGTCAACTTCAGACTGCCGTGCTGGCAGCAAGGATTTCAAGCCAGTGGATCTTAGCTTGCTTGGCTCCATGGGGGTGGGATCCACTGAGCTAGACCACTTGGCTCCCTGGCTTCAGCCCCCATTCCAGGGTAGTGAGTGGTTCTGTCTCACTGGCATTGCAGGTGCCACTGGGGTATGAAAAATAATTCCTGCAGCTAGCTCAGTGTCTGCCCAAACGGCCGCCCAGTTTTGTCTTGAAACCCAGGGCCCTCGTGGTGTAGGCACCCAAGGGAATCTCCTGGTCTGCAGGTTGTGAAGACGGTGAGAAAAGCATAGTATCTGGGCTGGAATACACCGAACCTCATGGCACAGTCCCTCGCGGCTTTCTCGGCTAACGGAGGGAATTCCCCAACCCTGTGTGCTTCCTGGGTGAAGCGATGCCCCACCCTGCTTTGGCTTGCCCTCTGTGGGCTGCACCCACTGTCTAACCAGTCCCAATGAGATGAGCCAGGTACCTCTGTTGGAAATGCAGAAATCACCTGCCTTCTGGATTGATCTTGCTGGGAGCTGCAGACGGGAGCTGTTCCTATTCGGCCATCTTGCCAGCCAGGGTCATTTTTTAAACTTTTCTTTTGCAGAGGTTACCAAAGGACCAGCAGCAAGCAAAACTTCTCTCCCCTCCCCAAAAATCTTTCTTTCCATTGATTCTATTTTGTTTCAATCCAGTCCTGATTGTGAGAAAGCTCCCTCTCAGGACAGCTCTCCTGGTTCTCTTCAGGCTGATAATGGAACTCTGGTATGATGGAAGGGTATGAAAGTCTTTTTCTAAATGCTGTATGTCTTGCCTTTTTTGTATATTTGTGTAAAGAAATTCATAGTAGTAATTCTCTGACACTGAGTTAAAAGAAGTCTTATTTTTAATCTGTCTTCACTTATCTAGTCCTCAAACTTAGGCTAAAATCTCAAATGGACTATAAAAGCACTACAGGATTTAGAACTTAATTAGATAATTTAGATAAGGGACAAGAAAGAAAGAAAAGGAGAGTTTAATGTTTCTAAATTGATGTCATCTACCAAGAGCTGGAACACAGGAGGAAGAAGGTTTGACTTGAAAGGGCAAGGAGTGCTTTTGGTTTGGGACTTGAATTTAAGGTGGCACAAAATATTTAGATTTTCTTAAAATGCCCAGGATACTATAGGCAATACAGGTTTTGAAGCTCCGAAGAAAGGTCTGGGCTAAAGATCAAGAGTCGGGAGTTATTTGTGAGGAAGTAGTAGGTAAAGCCATAAGACTAGATAAGATGACTCAAGGAAAAATTATGAGAGAAAGAAAAACTCAGAGCAGAACACTAGGAAATTCTAATACTTAAAGAATAGATGAGAAAGAGGAGCCAAACAAAAGAGGAGAGAAAACTAGAGATAGAGAATAGGGAAATTAGGCCAGTATTATTAAGGAAACCAGGGATGAAGTATTTCAGGGAGGGGCAGTGATGAGAATTAAAAAATAAAACTGAAAATGTCCAATAAACTTGACTCAAAAGAGGTCAGCCATGACACTGAGAGTAAAGTATCAAAAGGGCGATGATCATTTTGAGACAGTAGTTAATACCTGTAATTTCATAGGTGGTAATGATGTTAAAAACCCTATGTAACTAAAAGCACTTCTTTTAAATTACCTAGTTCTTAGATTTCTCAAGTTAGCTCTTCACTTGTCCCTCCCTTTAGTATTATTTTAACTTTTCAAAATGTAGTCACACATTGCTCAACAAAGGGAATACATTCTGAGAAATGCATCATTAGGCAATTTCATCGTTGTGTGAACAATATAGAGTGTACTTACACAAACCTAGATGATAGAGCTTACTACACACCTAGGCTATATGATATAGCCTATTGCTTTTAGGCTTCAAACCTGCACAGCATGTTACTGTACTGGATACTGTAAGTAATTATAACAGAATGGTAAGTTTTCATGTATCTAAACATATCTAAACATTGAAAAGGTACAGTACAAACACAGCATAAAAGATCAAAAGTGTATGCCTTTATAGGGCACTTACAATGAATGGATCTTGCAGAACTAGAAGTTACTCTGGGTGAGTGAATGAGTGAGTGATGAGTGAATGTGAACACCTAGGACATTACTGTATACTCCTGTAGACTTTATAAGCACTGTACATTTAGGCTACACTAAATTTATGTTTTAAAAAGTAATTGTGCTGTGATGTTATGATCACTATGACATCACTAGGCATTAGGAATTTTTCAGTTATCTTATAATCTTGCAGGACCACAGTCAGATATGTGGTCCATTGTAGACTAAAATGTCATTATACAGCACATAATTGTGTTTTCACATAATTGTGAAAAAAAATAGGACTTCCTTTAACTCAGTGTCAGAGAATTACTACTACGAATTTCTTTACACAAATATATAAAAAAGGCAAGCCATACAGCATTTAGAAAAAGACTTTACACTTTATTTGGAAAACATGTTTATTGGGGATGCAGTACACAAAATATATTAAAAGGCTGTGGTTGTCACAATACATTTCCACACCAACAAAACCCCAACCCATCATCCCTACCTTCTACCTAAATATTATAGGATAAAACACAAAGCTAGAATTTTTAAAAATCAAACTGCTTTTACTACCTTCTGTAACTTCTGTACTTTCCAAACCAGCTATGTTCTATTCTGAATTCATTCAACTAACTAGAGTTCTGTGGGTACACTAGTGAAACAAATGTACTATCCTCAAGGAGCTTACATATCAGTAAATAAATTATTAAAGGTGGAAAATGTGGTAAAAGAGACATAATGTCTCGGAGAGAGAACAAATTTCTGCTTTAGGAGTGTTCTTAGTTAAGGTAACATTAGCTTCTATAATACGCACACTCCCAAATCTCAGTATTTCAACATGAGTTTCTCTCTTGCTCATGTAAAGACTGGTCAGGGACCCAGGTTGACAGAGGCTCTTCAGTACATAGCTTCCAAGATTGCTGTGGGTGTGACATCCAGCCAGAAATCTGGTGAAGAGAGAGCAATGATTACACAGGAACTTTTAATGGACCAGGCCTGGGACAGCGTATGTCACTTCCACCAACATCCCACTCACCAGAATTTGGTCACAGGGCCATAGCTATCTGCAGAGAAGGCTGGGAAATGGAACTTAGCTATGTGCTCAAGAGGAAAAGTAAAACAGTTATTGAATAATTAGTAATAATTAGCAAGTAACTACCTAGGGGTCACAGAGGACCTCTCAGGTAGAATTTAGACTTAAAGATGATGGGGGAGTGTGTGGAAGAGTGGTGCAGAATAGGGAAAGGGGGGATTGAAGGAAGAACAAGCTCTAGCTTCACCTGCATGGGTAGAGCCCACAGTGTTGGTAGGGACATGTTAGCTTTCAACATCAGCTTCTTAACAGTATTATTCTTTCATCGGAGGAAATTAGTCTATTTCTGAGGAAAAAAAAATCTGCAATACGTAGCAATTTACTTACTTGGATATTGAATGTTAAAGCAGAGAGAGACTTTGTCCTCAAAACCCTCCCATTTCAGAAGTGAGGAGCCTGGGGAGGTCATGCTCTCTGGATGTCACACAGTGAGTCACTGTCAAAGCCAGAATAGAACCCAGACCTCTCAGTTTCCCATTCCAGTGCTCTTTCTATGAGGAAAGTATAAGTTTGAGCATTTTTAAACCTTAAATATGTAGAAATAACCATGATATTTTATCGTAAATTATTTCAGTCATCTCATTTTAAATTTTACTCCAAACTAAAGGAAAACGGTACTGATTTAAAACATCTATCATAATTCAATATAGCCCATATTTCTTCTTTAGGAAAAATTTTTTTTTGTTTTTTATCCTGAAGACCCGTGCCCTCTTCCTGTGTCTCATGTAGACATTTCACAGTCCAAATATACAGAGCAAGAATAGATGAAATCAACATGTTTACCATTATTCTATCTAAATTTTCAAAGAAAAAGGGAACAAAAGGTGAGTGATGACTGAGTTGCATGGCTATAATTGAGTTTTTGTTGCTTTTATTTTTATAATATTTTAATTGACATAGATGCTTAAATGTATATCAAAATGCATGTCACAGCTCTTGTACAAAGATAAATTTGACTCTAGAGCACATTTTCTTTAGTGAGAATGATAAATTATCTCAGAGCTTGTGATTCTCTACTTTTAAAAATCATAAGGTCAGTTCTTTAATTAAAAGATAAAGAAAAGTAGGCATTGTCCATGTAGTGAAATCACTTTTATCAGGATAATCTAGTAACCAAAAAAAAAAAAAAATTATGAAGGGAAAGACACAATCTATCTTCAGAATAATTGGTCCAAGAATGACTTTTTTATAGTCTCATAAGACCCACATCTAGAAGTCTCCCATCCTAGTAAAAGAAAATGAAAACTCTACTGTGTACAACAAATAATTTGTTCTAAATTTACTCATTTCATTTTTAATCATAGGCCTTAGTTATTTTATCCTATTAAATAATAAGTCTCTTATATATCAACATTCTCTTTTTCAAAACAATTAACATGAATATATGGTCAGCCTCCAGTATAGGAAATACACATATTTAACATGAAGTTGCAATTACTGGTAAATATATGTTGTTAAATACAGTACAGCTGTATGTTCCCTTACCCTAGCCTGACAGCCTCCTTCATTTGTTTCCATGGAGGCAGATTAGACAACTACCTTTTACACTCCTGAGATTATGGCTCAGTATTGCACAGACCATTAGATAATGGAATACAGCTGAACATATATAAAAACCAGCTCCAAGAATGTCTGTGGACAGAAGTCCAAAGGGGTAGCAGTATCTGGATGTGTGAGTATGTGATGACAATACTCTACAAACCTAGATACCAAAGGGCTTCCTGCCCCCTTCAGCCCTGTGAAATAACATGGATATTGTCTTACCCACCTGATATTTTAGCAAACTGCCAAGGCTTATTGATGAACCAACACTGGATTGAGTGCCAGAAACATTCTGCTCCCTAAGATTTGCCCTCCTGTGAGACTCCCATCAGATTTTTGGACCTGCCATCTAGTGGCCACTGCAGTAACAAGACAATCATTACATTTTGGCCTTCTTTTATTTTTTAAATTTTTATTTTTTTTAAAGTTAAATGTGGCTCATCTGCAGCTAAATATGGAGGTGCTCCACCCATTAAACTATAGTTCCCACCTCCCTGGTTAGATATGCTGCCGTTTTCATAGAGCAGCTTCAATCAGACCATTTGTTATGTTCAAAGAAAAACAGATTTTTCACGCAAAATGATACACTTCCCACCTGGATTTGAAAAAAGAAAGTAAGTCTTCTTCCATTATTGAAAAAAGATCTGGAGGAGGGGAGAAGGGGGAGCTGGAGAGCAGGCATATATTCTGTCAAGTAGTTCTACTTGTGAGACTAATTCTTCCAAACTGTGCACCCAACAGAGTAAACCTCTTATTTTGCTGCTTTTGCACTGATCCCCCACATAGCTGTAATGTTCTAGTTGTTTTCCCTGTCCTATAAACCACGTAGACATTTGCTATTATACATAATGTTGGCAAAGGAACAATTTACAAATGACTTAAGCAGGTAATTATTTGTTAGAATATAGGTCTATGGAAGTATATATTACTGTAGCAAAACCTGGTAAAAGGTTAGTTTTGTTTCTGTGTTTCTATTATAATCCCTGGTTGTTAGTTTTTCTTTTTCCAGGGATTTATGAGTGGAATGTAAAAATGCACAGTGGGCTATTATTATTATTTATTATTTATCAAAGGAACATGAATATACAGAGCAAAGGCCAGTTTGTGAACTATGCCAGACAGTTCCCCGTCCAAAAGACCTCAAAATACAACTCTGAAGCAGGTCCTAAAAAATGCAGGACAGAATGAAAGCAGATGGGTGAATGATACTTATTCAATATCTTAAATATAGAACTCACTAGTGCAGGTGCATCTTCAGATGTTATTTGAAAGAAGAGACAGAATATCTTGGCATTGTGTCATTTATTCATAAATATTATAAATTTTATATTATTTGAGAAAATATTCTAAATATGCAAGGTAGTTTAAAAGAAGGTGTGAAAGCTGATTCCTTCAAATGAGACAAAGGGCAAATCGAGTGACTGAACATAAGAAAGTGGAGAAGAACCAGGCCAAGGATGGAGCCAAGGAAAAACAAATCCCACAGGAACACTTAAAGTTTGATGGAAAAAATGCAGGGATTTAAAAAAATAAAGATTCCAAACAATCAAGGAGGATGATGATCTTGGCAGCTATGCCTTGAATATACTAAAATTGCCAAGAGAATCCAGGAACAATAATGGCAATGACAATGATTTAGCTGTGGGAATTGCAGTGCAAGAGTGTAGAATTCTGTGTAGTGGACATAGGGGTTGGTTCTGGTCTCAAAGACAGTATCATAGAGCAGGAAGAATAGTTAGATTTAGCTAACAGCAGGGTAAAAGGTAGAAAATGTTTGTTGAGGAAGATGGAAGTCTATGAAGCTATCTAAGGAGGCCATAGTATTTTTTGAATACCCGTTATCTGCCCTACACTGTGTTAGTTTTTACTGAGTATACTGTAGTTGTAAGTCAGGATCCTTAGGCCAAAAATAAACCTATTTTAAAGTGAAAAGGTAAGAATAACCCATATGAAACAATTAGAAAATATAAAGCAGCTGGTGTTGTTAGGGATAGCAGGATTTTAGAGGAGGGAGAAATCAGCAGGCCTCATGGTAATCATAGAAAAACCATCCGAGAAGTAAGACCTAAGCTGGGACTCAAAGAATTGGTATGTGGGGAATAGACATAAACAAGGGAGAAATATGATGAAATCATCTGAATAGAAATGAACATGGTGTTTTGGGGGAGTAGTGAAATGACTTTACTCGGTGAAATGGATGGTTTGAGCAGGAAAGGAGGGAGAAGCTGGTAGGATAGTAAAGCAAAGCTGTTGTGTGAACCCAAGAATATAAGGATTCATCAGCATGTTATAGGGGGCATTTATTAATTCATCCTGAAAGTATTTATTGAGGGCATATTATGTTCCAGGCACAAATTAAACAAAACTTTTCCCCTTATGAAATTTATATTTAATGAAGGAAAATAGACACCCCCCCCAACAAAAAAAGCAAACAAATAAATGAACAAGTTAAGTTTAGAGAGCGATTAGTGCCATGAAGAACATTAATCTGAGTGATAAAATAGAGAGTGACAGGCTAGAGTAGTGATGGTCCCAAAGGGGGAGAGTAGAGAGTATTCAAAATTGGAGGCCAGGCACAGTGGCTCATGCCTGTAATCCCAACATTTTGGGAGGCCAAGGCAGGTGGATTGTTTGAGGTCAGGAGTTCGAGACCAGCCTGGCCAACATAGTGAAACCTCGTCTCTACTAAAATACAAAAATTAGCCGGGTGTGGTGGTGCGTGCCTGTAATCTCAGCTACTCAAGAGACCGCGGCAGGGGAATCGCTTGAACCTGAGAGGCGGAAGTTGTAGTGAGCTGAGATGGCATGACTGTGCACTCCAGCCTGGGCAACAGAGTGAGACTCCATCTCAGAAAAAAAAATTGGAAATTCTCAAGACTTGGAGATAATTTGGATAGGGAGGAGAAAGGGTAGACACAGGTGATATGTAGCTATCTAGTCTAGGAAATTAAAGTTTGTAATGCCAGTATATAAGCTGGAAAGATGGAAAGTGAGAGAGAGGAAACATTGAGGAGGTAGTAGAAAAGCTAAGTGTTCCCATAACTCCCCCTTGATGCAGTTGTCTACCAGGCAAGTTTCCCAATTCCTTGAAAACGTTAGCCCCTAGCTCACTAACACTCTTTCCATTTCTACCCCATTACAATTATTGGTTATTCACTGTGTAAATACACGCTCCCTCTAATACCTCCTCTCAATTTCTTGAACTTCTCATGATTGATTCTCCACTCTGCCATAGCTACTCATTCCCATGGCTACATTTCTGATGTTTTAATTACTAATAATTACAATATTCCACAATCTCAATTTCAAGCATTCCATTTTCCAACCACAGCCTAATGTCTTGGTAGTTCAATCCCTTTGTTACCCCTAATACACCAATTCCTTAAACCCACTAGGACCCCTAATTCATTGATTTTACCCATAGCTTCTCATATGCTCACTTCATTATATAGCGTAGATTCCATGGACAATGATTTTAATCATTTCCTTGTATGCGCCTTTAACACCATTGACCTTCTCTGACTTAACTGTGCTCTCTTGACAAATCTCAACTATACTGATCATATGCAACTCGCCATCTATTTCATGCCTGTGTGCCAGCTGAATGTGGCTGGAGAAAAACACACAAGCAAATGTATGACTCTCAGTTTAAATTCATGATCCCTCAAGGAGGCCGTTAATGCTGCCCAGCAAATATAATATGTTTCCTTGTCATTTACTCTTCCATATCTGTACAAGAATATTTCATATTTTTCCCTCTCTCAAATTTCTAACACCTCCTCCCCCATCCTTACGCTCAACTTAGAACCTTTCTTTTTACTTCACTGAAAAAATAGAAACCATCAAAAGACAACTTCACAAATACTTGCTGTCCAGCACACCTACCCTCCCATATTTATCTGTACCCATGTATTTTGCCTTCTCTCCTGCAACTATGGATAAACTCTGTGTACCCTTGGCTCAGCCCATCCCTCATTGTGCCTTAGAATCTCTCTCCTCTTGCACATGCATAAACAGTGCTCCTGAAAAAGCTCACATCTTTCTTCTGTTTTATCAAATTTTCTCTTTCTATCAAAACTTTCCTATCAGTATACAAACACATAATTTATCTCATCCTAAAAATACCCTTATAAACCATACTCCCTAGCAGCTCCTGTCCCATTTCTTTGATTTCCATTACAGCAAAACTTCTCAAGAAATGCGTATAGTCACTATAAACACTCTCCAATCCTATGCTCTGGTTCTCTTTTGCCCCTCTAGTTAGCTTTTGCACCTACCAGTCTAGTAAAACTGTTGATGCTAAGGTCACCAATGACTTCCATGTTGCTAAATCCATTAACCATTCGGCAGTCTTTGTCTTTCCTGATGTCTCAGAATTGTTTTACATGGCCCATTATTCATTCTCCATTAAAACACTTTCTTCGCTTGGCGTTCAGTCCACCACACTCTCCTGATTTTTTTCCTGCCTCACAGTCTACTCCTCCTCAGTCTCTTTTGCTAGCATATTCTCATTTCCCAAGCAGGTAAACATTAGAGGGCCCTAGAGCTCAATCTTTGAAGCTCTTCTCTTCAGCTCCATTCACTCTCTTAATATTTGCACCCAAGCTTATGGTGCAAGCTTGTATCTCTAGTCCAGGCCTTTACACAGAATTCTAGGCTCACATATTCAGCTGCCTATTCAACATCTCCACGTCTGTCTAATGAGCATCTCAAACTTGACATACCAGAAATGGAATTCCTTATTTTACCAAGCAAATACATAGCCTCCCCAATATTGGTAAATAACGCTCCACCTTTAGGGTTACTCAAATCAAAAATTTATTTCTCTCCCAGACCTGTATTTCTCTCACAAACCCAACCATTGAACAAATCCTGCAGCTCTACCTTCAGAATAAGTCCAGAATCTTACCACTCCTCATCCTCATCACCACTACTACCCTAATCCAAGCAACTATCATTTCTTACCCGGATTATTGCAGTAGCCTCCTAATTGTCTTCCCTGCTTCTGGCCTTACCACTTACAGTCTATTCTCAAAATGATAGCCAGAGTGATGCTTTGCAATATATGTAATGTAATTTCAGTCAGACCACATCACTTCTCTGCTCAGAACTCTCTAATGGCTCAACATCTCACTTGGAAGAAAAGCCTTTGCAGTAGTTCACAAGACCCTCCATATTCAATTTCCCCATTACCTCTCTGTCTTCATTTAGCGCTCCACCCTAGCTCACTCCCCTCAACCTTCATTGACCCCCTTCCTAACCTCCAGCCTACCATGCATGATTTCACATTTGCACTTGCTTTTCTGACCGCCTTAAATGTTTTCCCCAGATAAGGCTTGTTTGCTTATCATCTTCAGGTCTTTGCTCAATTTTCACTTCTAAGTAAGGCCTTTCATAACCACTGTATTTAACATTTAGCTTTCCACCCCTTTTGGTTCATAGCACCTACTGCCTTCAGACAAAATATATATTTTATTTACACATTTATTTCCTCTTGCCATGGAATATAAGCCCCATGATTGTGAGGTTTTTTTCGGTTTTGTTTGTTTGTTTTTTGCCTGTTCTATGCTCTAAGAAATCCTCAGTGCCTAGTACAGAGCCTGGCACATAGAGAGTGTTCAGTAAATATTCGTTGTATGAATTGAAGGAAGTAATAACTGATTCTTTCCCTGGGTTTGGAGGTGTTTTATTAAATGCAAAACATAATATTGTGGCATAGGCTCCATGATTCTCCATGGCAAAATTTTCTTATTCTTCAAAATTAATTTTGAAAGTAAGAGTGCTTTATGCAGGCTTATCCAGAATCTTAGATAGGCCACTATTTCTGTTCAGCACCCAAAGCAGCAACATCCAAAGCATTTATTAACTTTTTTTTCATTCAGTAAATGTTTATCAGGGAATATGGGTGTTCTAGACACAGGTGGTGACATGTGCAAAGACTCAGAAACTTAAGAAAATATAGTACAATGTACTGTCGCAATATTACAAGTGACAGATAATGATGCTCTGAGCTAATGTGGTGCAATGGGGATGAGAGAGGTAGAAATGTGAAAAACGTTATGAAGTGAAAGGGCACTAGATTCAAGAAACCTGGTTAGTGGAGACACAAAATATTGTCTACCTTTATCAGGCTATAAAGTGGAAAGTGATTATAAAAGAGTTAGATAAGAATGAAACTTAAACATAGAGGACCTGGATTGTAAATTTTCCTTTGTAGGGTATAGACGTAAAATTTCTCATTTTCAGAGTGACTATAAAAACATTCAGTGTGTCTACTGGTGACCTTGGCAAAATCATTTGAAAGGTGTTCCCAGATCAGACCCTAACTCTCATTCTTTTAACATTCTGACTGACAGTTGAAATAGTTTGAGGTCCCAAATTTTTTTGTCTAGTAATCTCACCCTTCCTGAAAGTAATTTTTCTTATTTTATGCAAAAATTGCTATATTAAGACATAGAAAAATATATGTGTGTTTTTAACAGGTAAAGGTGTAAAGAAAACTAGGCTTTTAAAATTTGTAAGTTTAATAAATTAATATTAGTTCAAAACCCAATTAACTGTAAATATTGCTTTCTATTCAAAAAAGGCCTCCTTTGGTTATTAGGATTGCACATCTATATGCACGGGTGATTATTTGAAGGTGAGATAAAAGCAACCATGATTCTTCCTAGGTATGGAACTTTGGCAGATGGGTGAATGGTAATACTATTAATATTTACTCACATAGGGAACATAGGAGGAAGAGAAAGTTTGAAGGAAAAGATGAGTTCAGCTTTGACATGTTGAATTTAGGATGCTTTTGGAATATCTAATTGTAATTGTCTAGTAATTCATTTGATATAAAGGGTTAGAGGTCAAGAGATAAGTAATGGCTCAAGATACAGATTTGAAAGGTATTTAAAAACAGGGAGATATGAATGTCCAGTAGGCAATGGACATATTAGTCTGAAATATGTTTAATAAAGCATTACAAGATACAGACCTGAATATCAAGGAACTTACAAACACTTATGTGATATTTTCCTAGACTGATTTTCTCTTAAATCCACTCCCACTCATCCCTCAAACCAACACACATCCTATCCCCAGCTTTCATTTAAAATGCCTACGATTTACCCTTTACATTGCAGGTATACCTTGATTTCTGTAGTAATTGTATACCTCAAAATCTCATGCCGAACAAAATTATGTACATGAGATCACGTAGTCAGTTGACTCATTACTCTAAGAAACTATGGAATGAGTCAATTTGCATTGTTAATGACGTCCCCCTATTTATCACCCCCTTTAAGTGTTTTTGTCTGATTTTTGTGTGGGGGGTACATCATATTCAACTGATATAATGTCAAATTATTGAGATATTTAAAGAGACTCCTGTTAAACAGTGAGAGAGAAGTCATCTTTATTCTTTCTATTTCCATCTTTATTCTTTTTTTCTTTTTCTTTTTCATAGGGAAGGAAGCAGAGGTACTCAGAATTTAAATAATTCCCCAAAGGTCAGCCTACATTTAAAGTTAAATGTAACTTTAAATTTTATTGCTCTCTGAGATTCTTTTTTTTTTCTAGCATTGAATCATTTTTAAATGTTTTCTTGCCATTTCCCTTTTGTCACCCCTATAACCTCAGTAGGTTTACTTGTTTACCTTTTTATTCTAGAATATCTTGTGTCTGTTCTGTCTGACAATACTTGAAATTTTCCTGACAGGCAGCCATTGAGTGAACAGTTTATGTAGTTTTATAGCAGTAGTTGTAATCTCTGCTGTCCCAGTTTTCTAGAATGTATGGTTGTTTGGGACTTCTCTGTGCTCTGCCCCTTTATTGGCAGTCTCACTTTCTTTCTCGTGTCTTACCTTTATCTCTCCAGAAAAGCTTCTGCAAAATGTATCTTTCCCACCAATCACAATGCTGCAGTCTTAGTGTATGCAGTCTCTATGGTAACTGGGAAACATGCCACAACACCAAGATTACTAGAGCAACCATCAGAGTGGGGAAATCAGCGCATGCCCTCCTCTGGCACGACAGAAGTTTCCCCATTGAAACTGGAATCAGATACCTGTATTTTAATATGCAGGGCAAGGAGGGTGGCAGAGGAAATGCTATAAGCCCAGTCTCTCTAAAGGCACATTACTGGGGTTTGATGGAATTCTTGAAGTTGATCTTATTTATCATGAATAAAGCTAGAGTCATGTACTGATCCTGAGCAGACATGGATAAACTGGTTGAACTTGAGGAGATTTTTTTTTCCTGCAGATACATGACTAGTTTGTAAACAAGAGAATTTTACTAAATTAGTATATATGCTTAGGTAAGCTCAGGGAAATTACCAATGTACTGTAAAAATTATTTACTTGCATTGTAGAGACAGACTTTTTCAGATGATTTCCCTAGCAATTGCATTGTTGACCCAGGGAGGACAAAAGGCAAAATTGGCTCTCTCTGAGCCTGCCTTAGAGTGGGGGCAGTTCTATTAGGTCTTGAAGGGAATGAGGATGAAGCAATGAGGCTTTTCTGGGGTGCTTCCTTTAGGACTGAACTTCATTCCAAATATGCAGAGGATCTGACTCCCAGGTACAGCCCAATAGAAACAAAGGGCATAAATCAGAGTTTCATAACTTTGGCCCTATTAACCTTTGGGGCCAGATAAATCTCTGTGGAACAGGGCTGTCCTGTGCACTGTAAGATGTTTAGCAGCGTCCCTGGCATCTACCCTCTAAATGCCAGTAGGAACTTCTCTAACTGTGACAACAAAAAATACAGATATCCCCTGACTGGGGGCAAAAATTAGCCCCAGGTTGAGAACCACTGGCCTAAAGCAAGATGCAGCTTGGGTAAGAAAAGAGAGTTGGAGAATCCCTTAAAGGGCCCAGAATATTCACTAGTTGATCATTCAGCAGGTATTTATTGAGCCCCTGTTATCTTTCAGGCACTCTTCTACTTACCAGGGATACCACTGTGAAGAGTCATGATCTTGTGGAGCTTACCTTCTAGTACATGCATGCCACATGTTCCTAACTAGCAGGTTCCCCTTCCCTCCACACAGCATAACAGCAAATGCTTCAAGCCAACTGAGGGCCAAGAAAAGAAAAACACAAGTTCATATTTGAAGATTCTTTTTTCAGTTTATGAACCTCAAAACGGCTTTGATTTAAAAATGAAACTTGGCAAGTGATTAGTTCATATGTTTTAGTTTATAATATGTTTTAATCATTTTGGGTGTTTTCAAAACAAATGGTGAGATTAGGGGTTTTTTTTCTCTTCTATTTTTGGCCCCTTTCCTCTGGAGAGTCCTTCTCTTGTGTTTAGTTCTTGGTGTTCTTAGTATATTTGAAGAATGCTTTTAAGTATTTGAAATGTGTGTACATGGTTGAAAGGGGATGAGGAAGAAGAAACCGAAAACTTCATGACCCTGCTCAAACCAATACCCATACCCCAGCCCTAAAGCAGTGTCCGGGCACCACATCTTCAAGGAAGGCCCCTTGGAAACCCCTCATGGGCCAGTCCTCTGACCCAGGTGATCTCCTAACCCCCTTTATGTATTCTTATGAGGATATATGATAAAGAACGGACTGTGAGATTTGTTGTTCAAATTTTTCCCCTTAGAATGTGAGCTCAGTGGGTAATAGTACCATGTTGGCTCTGTCCACAGTTCTACTATCTTCAGCATAGGGCCTGGTATACAGTAAGCGCTTAAAAAATACATGTCAAATGGCTGGGTGCAGTGGCTCACACCTGTAATCCTAGCACTTTGGGAGGCCGAGGCGGGTGGATCATGAGGTCAGGAATTCAAGACCAACCTGGCCAAGATGGTGAAATCCCATCTCTACTAAAAATACAAAAATTAGCCGGGCATGGTAGCAGGTGCCTGTAATCCCAGCTACTAGGGAGGCTGAGGCAGAGAATTGCTTGAACCCGGGAGGCAGAGGGTGCAGTGAGCCGAGATCGTGTCACAGCACTTCAGCCTGGGCAACAGAGAGAAATTTGGTCAAAAAAAAAAAAAAGAAATATGTGTTGATTGACTGACGAACTGACTAAGAAACCTAGCTTTTGGGATGTCCTTCCCAAACACTTTAAGCCTGCACACTGCCTGTGGTTTAACGTGCCTCTAGTATGAGACCTCATTGTCTTCCTTATTACTTTGTAAACTGTGAAGTAACATGTTCGCTATCTAGTTCCAAGCTTTGTTCAGTGATTTAGAGGATAAATGCCTATGACTCTCAGTGTCAGAAACAGAGTAAAATTACATATCTTATTTACTTATTTTCTTGTTTAATATATGTTCCCTCTACTGGAATTTAAACTATACAAGGTGGAGAACTTGATCTGCCAATAATGTTATCCTCTGTGCCTAGAACGATGTCTGACACATAGGAGATACTCAACAAATGTTTGCTGATAAAATAAATGATAGGCATTTCATCTATTAATATATTGATTGATAGATTGATTACTTATTAGTGAACAAAAAATGCAGTAACGTGATGAAGTTCTTAGTCATTCATTCAATATCCTAGAGCAGTTCCTAGCACATAGTAGGCACTCAGTAAGTACCTGATGAGTGAAAGAACTGATTCCAATATACTGAAGATTTTTTCTTTTACTGAGTATATCAGTTTTCTGGGGCTTTGTAACGAACTACCACAAACTGAGTGGCTTAAACAACAGAAATTTTTTGTCTCACAGTTATAGAAGCTAGATGTTCAAGATTAAAGTATCAACAGGGTCGGCTCCTTCTAAGGCTGTGAGTTCCGTGACTCCCACCCAGCTTCTGGTGGTTTCCTGGCAATCTTTGGTGTTCCTTGGCTTATAGAAGCATCAGCCCCAATCTCTGCCGTCATCGTCACATGATGTTCTCCCTGTGTGCATGTCTGTGTTTAAGTTTCTCTTTTTTATAAGTACACTAGTCATATTGGATTGCAGGCCCACTCTACAGCATGACCTCATCTTAATCACATCTTCAATGACCCTATTCACACATCTATTCATATTCTAAAGAATTGGGGGCCAGAATGTCAACATATGAATTTTAAGGGAACATAATCAACCCATAATACTAAAATAATAGAGATCTTCAGGTAGTAGCATTTTGATGGATGACTTCTATTTGGAAAACCTCAGCTTCTCAAAATAACGTATAGATTTATGATTCTATATGGAAATTGATGTGGTAATATTAAATAGCATTTACTGTGTTATACCAAGACATATATGTTTATAGAGAGGAAACATAAAGAAAGTACAAGGGGCATGAATGTACATGGCATATATCCTTGAATGCTGAGTAGTGTGGTGTCACCAGACAATGGGTTATGTGGGGAAGACTGCTGAGAGGTGCCAAAGGGATTTGTATATGAAGCAAAGCGGCTTGGGGGTTGGGCTTCATTTTACAGGCCTCCAACATATAAGGCAAAACTTATTGAATGGTAAATGAGTATAGCAAGGATGAATTTTATTGTATGTAAATTATACCTCAGTGAACCTGACCTTTAAAAGAAAGAAAACAATGAGGTTGAAGAATGGATTTTGGAAGCTAACAATTCAGAAGTGTTTGGTGACTTTGGCAAAAAAAAAAAAAAAAATTGTTTAATTAGAAACACAGCTAGAGAAACCAGATTGTAATGGTTTGAGGAATAAACGGGAGCTTAGGAAGCTTGAAGGTGGCACAAAAGAGGGAAAGATAAAGTCTGCAAAAGATGGTTTGTTGTTTGTTAGTTTATTATCATTGTTATTGTTGTTACCTTAAATGAAGACAGCTAAAGCATGTTGGCAGGCAGTAGGAAAATTGAAAATACAAAAGAAAGGAAAAGTAACTGATATAATAAGATCCTGGATGAGGTTATCAGTGCTAGGCAGAAAGATCTCTGAAATGTTACAGGCGGATTCATTGGTGGCAAAGGTGGAGTGATAGGAAGTGCCATTTGATGGCCTCTGTTTTCTCTATGCAAAAGGAGGCAAGGTTACTAGCTGAGAGTGAAGGGTAGGGGATGGGTTATAACCAGTTAAATAGAGTAATGAATGAAACTGTGGAGTGAAAAAGGAAACTGACTAGGAGCAAATTTTAAAATTGCAAACTAATTCTGAAATTCGAACTTATGCTGGAAACCGTAATTCTGCAGGAGCATCAAGCTGTACAGTTTTGTGCTTTTTCTCCAGCAAGGATCAGCAGCCTGGAAGCTGAGGAGAACATACATGTGGGTTCATCTGAGCTCCAGAACTAGGTAAATACAGTTGAGAACTGTAGATGAGGGAATTGATGGAGCTGGTGGGTATCTCTAAAGTTAACAACCATGGGCGTCCAGACTGGTAGAGAAGAAACTGGAAAATAATAGTCTGGGAGAAAAGAGGAAAAAACAAGAAAACCAAAAAGTCAGGGTGAGAAAGTAGAGTACTTGTTTTCTGGAGCCATATGTGTCCCCGTAAGGAGCCCGGCCTTACAAAACAAGTCTTATGCGACAGGTCTCAGAGAAAATGCAGAAAGTAGAATGAACACATTACAGGGCATAGACTGGATTCAAGAACATAGCCTGGTGGTCAGTGTTTCATTCCTAACTTGCCACTAATTTAAGGCAGCTGTCATTACCACCATTATCACAGAATGCTAATCCTTAGGAAAAGAATGTAAGAGTAGAAGAAATACCTGTGCATGTAAGAGCAGAATAAATAGGAACCTCCCATGGGTCAATGGCAATAAACTTGACAAGAAGCAAATTGTTTTATTTTTTGCCTTGGATTCCAAAAGTGTGCTGAGGTTTCCCTCTAGGCATGCTCTTTTACTTTTCTTAAGATTATCGATTTATTCTGTTAGAGAGTCTACAGAGGTGACACTCTTCTTTTCTGGCCCTCGCTCTCCCTTTCTTTGTTTTCTCTTTCTCCTCATTTCCTCCTATCTTAATGGATTGAATGTTGTCATATGTCTCAGCAACCCTCCCCAACCCAGTGACCAAATAAAGTATTCCCCATTACTTACTATTGGATTTTGTTTAATCCCCAAGAAGACTGGGCTAAGAAGTTAGTGCTTGTTTAGAAAACACTTTTAGGTACTTTGCAGATAACACTGTACCACTAATCCCTCATGCCCTATACATTTAGATGAACCTGGGTGTCTCTCTCTGGTATTCGTAAGAAAAGCTCTGCTCCTATGGGCCCTGTCTCCATATGTCAGCCTAGCAAAGTAACCAACCATGTTATGCACTGTGAGATACCATCCTCTAGTTATCCTTTACTTGCTTGAGTGGACTGAGATGAACATAATATACAAGGTTTAGTAGTTCCTAAACCCTATGAGAATTCCTAAGCTCCTTCTCTTGATGTTGTCAATATATAAGTTCAAAAAATAGCTTTGGGGGAATTTCAATAAACAACTCTAAATAAGTCCTCTTTCCTTTGCAAATATAAATCCTTTGTTAAATTTTATTTTTTTCCTTTTGTTTTCTACTCCTGATTCTGTTATAGCTCTAGCAATGCTAAAAACAAGCTGGTTTGGAGATTAATATGACCAGACATACCATGAATTTTTTAAATCTCAAAAGTCCCAGTTTATCCTTCTTGGTAAATCGAATATCTGTTATATATACATACATATACACATACATAAACACATACATACATACATACATATTTATGCAGTATGTTATTATGTCTTCTCTAAATTCTTTTTTTTTTTTGTCTCCCTGTCTCCTAGAATTCTTCCTAAATGCTTTTTTTTGTTATAATAAAGAGGTAGGAGAAAGAAAACCTGAAGAAATGGAGGAGAAAAGAGTATGAAGTGCTAGAAGATGGAAGGAGAAGGCACACTATGGAATAAGGGAAACCAGTGAGGAGATTGAAAAAGTAGTGATTTTCTTTTCCCGAGTTCCCTTAGACTGCTTTTAGGTTTGGTTTTGATATTTCTCTCACCTAGTGCCCCAAAATGACCTCTCCCTAGCAATTTGTTCCATAAAAAATATTCCTCTTACTGCCAGAAAATATCTCTTACCTGTCAAGCAGGTTGAAATATCCTGCCCCAGCATCTAAACATCCTCTCCAGCCTGCCAAGCCCCTAACCACCTGACCCAGGGGACTTGGACCCATTGCCATTAGTTCTACACACCCCCTACCCCATGCCAGCATGGAGAGTGTTAA
Organism: Homo sapiens; assembly: GCF_000001405.40. Classification (NCBI taxonomy): domain Eukaryota; kingdom Metazoa; phylum Chordata; class Mammalia; order Primates; family Hominidae; genus Homo; species Homo sapiens. Next base: position 114,513,462 of record NC_000003.12, on the reverse strand, counting down.
TGGCTGATGTAAGTGTGAAAGAACATAAGCGATAATTTGGTTTTACTTTATTAAAATTCAAAATATAAATAGGTAAACTACATGTTGAATTCATAAAATTCTTCCTCCACTGTTTAGAAATACAAAAACTGCATTTTTAGAAAAGGGATTGATTGGTGTCATGTACGTATTTGTTCACGTCTGTTGATGCAAGATAATAAGAGTATTAACATAGAGGTGGAATAATGGTATTTATAATTTCATCACCACTGTTTATATAAGATAAAAATGTCTGAAAGCAACAGAGAGAACATTTGCTGCTCTATACATACATTAAATTCTCCCATTTTTGTTTATAAAGCATATGAGGAGGAAAAACAAGTTTAACAAATTGAGGAAGAGTTAGTGTTCTTTTTACCATGTCCACTGTCATTTACCTAAGGTAGCCAGGTTCAGAAAATACCAAAATATAGTGGAGAGGGTAACTCCTTATAAGAGAATATAGGGACCAGAAATATGCACTTGGTTAACTGTTCTCTGAGATTGAGATTACTTGAGCTAGATTATGGTCCTCTGTTCAATGCAGAAATTGTTCTACCCCAGAGAGTAGTGAGTACTACGTCTGGGAGACCAGTAACTTGTGTGTAATTTGCCTGTAACTTGAGATATGTATCTTAGGGGCTGAGGCTCCATTCCCTCTTTCAAAAAAGAAAGGAAAAAAATGGTGCTTCAGATCAGATTGTAAGGACTCATTTCAAAAACTTAAATAATTCTGGGTAGACTTTTATATTTTCATGGCTGTTTGAGAAAGAAAAGTTAGTTGGGAGTGGAGAAGGGGTTTCTCATTTATATAAAAATTAGCTGTGTTGATAGTATAGCTCACAAAGGATCAGGTCATTCATGAAAGGTTAATGGATGTTACAGGGCAAATGAATAAAAACAAATAAAGAACAAGAAGAGGAATCATCATGGCAGGTGGTTATATTTATAACTTGTCTAAAGTGGGCTAATAACCTGTCAGTGATAATAGAGACAGAAACTCTCCAAAACATACATTAGAGTGGAAGGTCCTTGAGGGCAGAAGTAGAATCCAGTTGGCAGAGTAATCAATAATAGACTCGGGAAAACTATTTGTTGAATTAATGAATGAATGCATGGTGTTGGAAATACTTTGTATATTCTCCCCTATCTTAACCAACTCTCAAGATAAGTTCAGAAACTTTATTAGGCTGTCATGAAAGAGTTGATATTTAACAAGGACATAAAGCAACTAATTTTTATTAATTAGTTCCTTTTAGTCCCCATTCATATTCCTATCCCTGTCTATTTTATTGTCTGTTGGACCAATTTTGCATGAAAATGTTAGGAGATGAAGTCAGAGAAATAGTAAGGGACATACTGTATTGGTCTAACAGACCATAGTAAAGGCTTTAGAATCCTAAGCATCAGTGAGCCTGAAAAAGTCTACTGGGCAGGAGAGTCTTTGAAATCACAACAACCCTATTTTTTTCAGAATTACCAGATGAGACACTTCAGCCAAAGGCTGGAGCCCTAGATATAAGAGCTTGATTTAGGCTATTTGTTAACTGTGATATTTCTGACCAGTATAAATAAAAATAAACTGTGCTTCACTGGACCTTTGTTTTTTGCCTATTGAGCTAGTTTTATCCATCAATTTACCCCAGTTGGCAGCCTTACCTAAGAGAAGCTTAGGGAGCAGTAGCAAATGTGTTTTTCAGCACACTGAAGACCTTATAGAACTTATCTATAAGGTCTCCAGTTCTAAAGTGTAGGATTTAAGACACTAAACAAAAATTTAAAATATTAGATAGATTTTCCCTTGTACTAACTGTTCACTGAACTAAGAATTATAGAATTCCTGTGTATTTAATAGTGTATGCATAAATCACTTTGCAAAGGAAAGAGAGGTTAAAAGTTCACATAAGACATATATGATCTCTAACCAAGTCCTTCCAAGGTGAACCAATTTGCTACACTTACTTGTAAGAATGAGAGAAATCCGATAGTTTGCCTAAGATGGGATATTCAGAAGTCATTTTCTTGTCCATTTAAGTCTAAATCTTTAAAACTCTGAAGCCATGTTACTAGTAGAACCGAGGGAAATAGCCTAGAATTTTTCTTGTCACTTACAGAGATGACAGACTTACAATATGATGATTCTTTTGAAAGCTTCTTACAAGACCTAGAACTTGTCTGGCTCCATTTATCTGGCCAGGATGTATTTCTATGATTTATCCAATGAGATTCTTAGCAGAGCCTTACATTTACTGCATAAGATAATTATATTTCTTTTCTTTGCCATGACAAAAACCACTCTATACTATACACATAACTTTAAAGGTTGCCTTTTTTTTTTTTTTTTAGCATGTGGACAGAGTCTATAAAAGCTTTTTTCAGTTTCATCATGTTGACAAGCTGATTCCATTAAATCACCCACCACCATCATGTTCACTTTTTTTTTTCTTTTTTGAAAAGTTAGAAAACAGTGATCATCTTAGAGTTTTCAAGGCATTCCCTTTGGAAAAAATAAATCTGGAAAAACATGAGTCTGTTCCTTCAAATGGAAAAAAGGCCCTTCTCTTGAAGCTATTCGGGATAGGGAAGGAGCTCTCGGTCTTTTACCCCCTGTAAGATCGGATGTTTTTTAAACATTCTGAGTATAGATCAAACTTCTCTACCTCAGTGTTTCTTATGTATTATTTGCTACTTCAAATGGACACTGCAAGAAGTTAAATGAATGACATGAAAGAGATTCGTTCAGGGATTTCTTAGTATTTTGCACCCTCGGATGCAATGCAATTAGATAATATTTTAGGATCACACTGCTGTTTTGATTAGGGCAGATATATCCCTGCTCCTCCCATCACCATGCTTTCCTCACTGAGGGGGAAGAAATCATATGATCATGCTGCTGCTGGGTCATTTAAAGCATTGAGTGGATGTGTGAAATGAGAAAAAAAAAAAAGCTCAGTGTGGGGTTAATTAGCTCTGTGGCGTTGTGGGTGGGTCACTTCCTCCAGACCAAATCATGCAGGAGGAACCATGCATGTGCAGACTGACAAAATTAAAAGAAAGCCCATGAACCTTCAGACTCTAGGACAAAAATTGATTGCCTTTGGAAACAAGAAAGGAACCCTTTCATGCAGTGAGTACTTTGGGCTTCATTGGTCAGAGATGAATGGACTTCCCTTGAAGTGTCGGCTCAGGCCACTGTCATATACTGAAAATGAATCTATGGTTTGAGAAGGACCTGGCAAATCTGGTACTTTTAAAAATTTACCTCTGCTGACACTTTTTAAAATCATGTCTTTCTCAATTAGGATACTAGCCTTATTTTTGAGGTCTCATCTTGGAAACAACATAATTTCTTCCCCAAAGTATGGGTGAATACTTTATATTTTCGTAATTGTGTTTCACGGTATTTCACAGACTGCTGCGGGTTCCCTGCCTGCTGAGATTCGTTCAGCTGTGGTTTGGCCTGAAGGGTTCCCACTAGGTTGTTTACAATCTAATCCTTGAAGTGGGAGGTTAAGGAGCAGATAGAAAACATCCTCGATCCCTGGATCATTAATAGGTGAATACAAGAATTCAGATATTTACAAGGAAATCTCACAGGCCAGGATTTCTAGGGCAGAAAGATATTGTGAGAGGCTCCTGGAGCATATGCTGACAAGGAGCCAGGAACCAATGGAGATTATCCATGAGGAAAACACTGACAAATATGTTAATAAAATTTCAGTGCAAACCATTTGGGGTTTCTTATGTTTCTGCCTAAATTACTCTGACTTTAGTAGTAACAGCACTTCATGGAGTATACAGAGAGTCACCAAATGTTTATGACTTTTGAGAAGAAGAATATGTGTGTGTGCACGTATGATGTGTGCATTTATAGGTATATATCTTTATTTGAAGTAAAACTATAAGCACAATTGGCTTCTTGAGGTGGGGAAGCAAATGACCCCTTTTAGCAGTATACTTGGAAAACTCGAAGCATCTAGGACGGAATTTGCCACCACCACCACCACCACCACCACCACCACACACACACACACTCCCCAAATACTTTGCTTATTACCTGTGAAAAAAACTGAATGTAGATCTTGTATCAACAGTTAAGAAAATGCAAATTCCCCTAAGTAGAGGCATTAAAACAATTAAATGAATATATTTTTAGCAAACTGAGAGCAAGTTGTGGTTGGGGAGATGGAGAGCTCACTAAGAGTATCCCCAAAGAAGCAGTCTCAGCCGCATTTGTTTCTGTTTCTTTAACTGCCTGGTGATAGGAATGTGGATGTGGAAATAAGTAGGACTAGAAGGTGGGGGAAGCAGAAAGTAAGTTTTGCTAATTCTAACAACCTATGTTATCAGCTTATTGTGCCACAGCTTTTCAAAATTCAAGTTGCTGGTTAACTTGACACCTTTACTGTTCCATTCATTATGAAGCAGCATAAGCAATGGCTACATGCACCAACCATTATCCTAGTTAGGTTGTCAAAGTTAGCTTAATGCTGACTTTATTTTCTGTAGTGATACTAAACAAAACGTTTCTTTTGAAAGGTCTTAGACCTCTATCCTCCCAACTCCTGATCACAGTAATAACCAACCTCAAGAAGTCATTAGTGAAGACTAGAACAATATCCTATAACTAGTCAGCTATGAAGAAATTGGCATAGCTGACTCTTTGATTCATGTTCTTATGGAAATAATGGGTTGCAAAATAAAACTACATTTCTTTCTCTCTCTCTCTTGAATTCATTTTTTTACTGGATCTTCTCTACAAGTTACATTGGAATGCAGATTTTGTTTTTGTTTTTGTTAACAAGATTCGAATAACACTCAAAGGCTTTAAAAGCCAAAGTCCATCTTTAGATATAGCTTTCTTCTTTAATCTACTGCCAGTTTCTTATGTATGTGTATTTTTACCTTCCTGATGCCTTCGCCTGTTGATTGGTACATGTTAGTGCTTTGCTTATAAGAGTTGGGCAATAGTTCAGTGATCCAGTCCAAATCTGGGCCATAGATAGAATGGACTCATCTTCTATTTAAGAAAAGTGGCAAACTGCTTTAAATGAATTTGGTTCAGACAAGGTCATTGGAGCTGTTCATCTAACCCTGTGCTGTATGTAATGGACACTTCTGCTGAGCTCCAAAGCTAAAAGGTAAATAGACAAAGAAAGCCAGTAACTTGCCACCCCTGTTAGACCTTATCTGTGAGTCTGTTATTAGATTTACATTCTTAATCATATGGGGCACATTTTGGTCATTTAAAGGAATTGTTTAGTGGTTCTCCTGTTGTCTTTGAAGATGGTCCAGGAAATAATAATAGTGAGTTCATATATTACTTTCTGGACCTTCAAAAAACTTTTTCTTTAATTGGAAATTGAGTTTATATACATATTCAATATGAGGTTTATGAAATATTCAGCAAATTTCTTAGACATGAAAGAATTAATTGTTAGACTGTTTTACTCTAGATAATCGCTATGTTAAAGCCTTAGTAGATTCAAGTACATTTTTCCCAATTTTATTTGTGTTATATGCACTTGGCAAATTGAATAAAAAACGTGAGCACCATATATTACTATTTTGAATGTAATAACTTATCAACTATCTGTATTGCTTATTTCTTTTTAAACTGTAGAATGTATTTTACTCAACTGTATTGTGATTCTGTATAATTTTTAGGGTGAACATTTTATAGAATTTTATAGAATCATACAGAGTTAAACAAGACTAGAAAAGTTATTGAATTCATTCTCCTGACTGGAGGCAGAGCTGCATTTATTTTATCCAAAATAGATGAAGATTTTTCCTATTTTAAGAGAGTCAGGAAGAAAGAAATTTCAGAACTGCTCTTAGCAATCTATTTGATTATTTACCACTTGCATATTTAGAATGTTCATCTTTAAGTCTTAAATTCTGCACTGGACGGTTTAATGTCATTTTGCCCTAGGACAAAAATGCTGATCATTATCCTCTTTGTAACAACTTTTCTTATAGTCAAAAAACCATAAAGACACACCTCAGCTCTTTCTTCCCTAAGCTAAATTATCTCAGTTTTTCAAACATTTGCTTTTGTTTCTATAGCTCTTTCTATACCTGAGTGGCAAAGGGGACTATTTTTAAAAGCTCTGTCATATGTGATGCCTCTTAGAGAGGCACTGCATATTTTAATTTCACTGTGCTGATGTGGAAATAGCCACAACTTTTTCATTATATGCTGATGGACAGGGCATTTGTGTTCATTTAACCTTGAGGTTTAAACTTGTTCCCGAAAAAGTAACTGACTCATAGCATTGGCTAGACCCAAGAATAAAGAGCATCAGTTTTCCTAATCTTCAAGCTCATCTTGCCCCCACTCCTAAAATGCACTAAAATTAACTTTTCCTTGACCTCTCTCTGGTGCTATTTATTTACTGATTTAACAACTTTCTTCTGTCATCTCTGTCTCCTAAAATAGACGGACAGCATTTATTCAACAAACATTGGAGTGTCGTGCTGTGTTTCACACACTATGCTAGGCTTGGGAGATTCAAGTGTGAACCGTTAGCTGACTCAGAGACATAGATGTCCCAGGCCATGTTCAGGGAAGAGCAAATAGGCTGTCACCGTATATAAAGAAGCAGCAGTGGGAAAATTTTTTATTAAAAGTAGAGAGGTGGGCCGGGGCCAGATTGTGAAAGGTCTTGGAGGCTCTTAAGCAAATAGTTGGTAGTGACAAGTCTAAATGATTAGACCACATGATAGCAGTGCCAAACCTTTTCAGCATCCCTTAAGATCAGTTTACTATAAGTCAAAGGTCCTGGTACATCAATCCCTTTGGAATTTATAGAGCTACAATTTCAGTAGTTTAAGATATAGAAGAGAAAGTTCTTTGGAATCAGATTGTAAAGGATTCCTGAATGTCATCATGCTAAGGAATTGTGTCTAGTTTAGCAGCAATAAAAAACCATCCTAAATGTATTAAACAAATTCGGTCCTTGCCACCCCTCCCAGCACTACTGCTTTCATTTCATTCTAGTCTGTCAGACCCTATCCCCGTAAGAATCAAGAAGGAACAGGGAGATTCATATGGGGTGGGATGGAGTGTTACATTGTATCTTGGCAATGTCTCAGGCGCAGAAGCAGTCCCAGACCTAATTGCTGAACTTTAAAATCTTCTCTCTTTATTGATTATAACCTTATTTCATCATCAAAATTTTGAAGGCAGGCCATTTTTTAGGATTGTTATCATAGCATCTTAAGAAAAAAAGATCTCAGTATCATTCTCTTATTGTTCTTCTTGAGACGGATCCAAAATAATATGCGTTTTGGAAAGCAGACCCCAAGATATGTATGACCATTTGTGGCATTTATAGTCTTCTTCTTCCTGACCAAAAGGAATGAAAATACATCAAGAATCTGTCCTGCAGGAAACCCCAAAGTACCTAGAGAGTGATGGCACAGGTTCTGTATGCACATATAAATACCCTTGCATCTGGCTTTCTCCTGTAAACCTTTTGCCAAATAGAAAATAGAGAATTAAAAACTCCCAAATTCAAGATGCATGAAATGTCATTAAATCTAGTACAAATTTTTTTGAATCTGTCAGATAAAGGAAATCATGTATCCAGAGTAAAGATGGAATATCAGTTGACAGGCACTTAATTTTGAGAGACATATAAATCTAAAAATCTAATAGTGCCTCATCCTTTGAAAACACTGGAAACCAGAAAGGTATTAGGAAAATCAATAAGGTAAAAATCATCATCCTACTATTTGGAATGACTCCCACATAAGAATTAATTAACGCAATACTTCTAGAACGTTAAAGGGATGTTAAAACATTATCTCTACCGATAGAAAACAAACATATAAACCCATCTAACTTTTAGACAGAGTAGTTAAGGAAAAAAGATTGGAAATATTAATTAAGATTGGAAATAAGAGGTCATTTCTGTCCTGTTGTCACACCATTTACCCTCTTCAGCTAGAAGGATAAGTGTCAAACTTCAGTTCATCCAAATTCCTCAGCTCTGTCATCAGTGCAGTGACACATTCTAATTTTCTGACTCATTTGTGATGAATAATCTCTCCCTTTTCTATTCACAATGCTGAAAGTAACCAATTTTGGTGTGAGTTATGATTACTTATTTTCCCTTTTTTTCAATTGCACTATTATTGTTTTCTCTTAGCAGAATTTGTCTCACTCTTTATCACCCAGTGTGAATCTCATGTTCAGAAAAGCCCATGGACAGTAATAGTGCCTAGGCTTGGAGTTAGTCAAGAGGAATGAGAGTCTGACGACCCAGATTCTGTTTTTAACCCAGCCAGATACCTCAGCTGGCAAGTGGTTCAGCTTCCTCACCATAAAATGGGTATAATAATAGCTTTCGCTTACCACTGTGAAATATTTAGAATGCAAATCAAGCCAAACCTGTCTGCTTCCAAAGAGAAGCTTAAACTAGCCTGCGTAATCCTGAATGAGCCCAGATTCAAGGGGAAACATAAAGTGGGAAACTCCTAAAGGTAGTGTAATTTAGTGGTTAAAAATATGTAGATTTTGGAATGGCACACACTTATTCAGACGCCAGCAGCGGTATGATCTGAGCTGTTTCCTAATTTCTCAAATTTCTCTTTTTTCTCTAGTAAATTGGAAGTAACAGTATTTTCTCTTGTAGTGGGGATTAAATGATACACTGCTAACCATGCTTCTCAAACTCTTCCACTTGGGTGATCCTCAAGTTAGAGTGAGTGATCCAATACTAAGGGTGCCTGCCAGGACATTGCTTGAAGTAGTCTGCCACAAACAAGACTTTTCAGTGAAGTCTCAGGTTTCACCCAAAAAATATATACACAGATTTTCCTTTCAGCTCCTCAATATATTCTTGTTTGTTTCACTCAACCGGAAGTTCCATGAGGACAAGAACAGTATCTGTTTTCTTTTTGGTATAACATTGAAGAAGTAGTTATTGGATAAATGAACACGTGTGCAAATAAGACTTTAAATTACTTGCCCACAAGGAATACTGACCCTCCAGGAAGACAGCCATGTATTTACTATTTATTTTGTGGCTTTTTCTACTCCCGTTACACTGCTCACATTCCTGGGTATACTCATATCCAAATTTGGGAAGGATTTATTTCTCAAGGTACCTGAAGGACTCAGTAGATAGTGATTCTTATATCATTATCATCTCTCTGCTCGGTACTCCTCTACTCCATTGTTGCTAAGGCTTTGTAGATTTTTTTAAAAAAGAAATTATAAAGGACTAGGAAGGTAGGAGTCTGGCAGGCCTTCAAAGAAGCCTGTGTGGCTCTAACCACATACCCTTACCCACTTAGAACTCTTTTTTATACATTTTCTTTGCTGCTGGCTTTAGTTTATAGCATTTCATGAAAACTCTGTAGAGGTGAGTAGCTATGGGATTGAAAGAGGGTTTTTCTCCCCTGTCTGCCTAGGCCAGGGGTTCCTAACCTGGGATTCATGAATGGCCTTCATGGAGTCTAGGAGTTCCTTGAAACTTGGTGTTTTTGAGGAGTTTTCTGGAGAAAGAGATTCTCATAGGGATCGGTATCACTTCAAAATGTTGAAAACCACTGCTGTAGAACTTTACATAAACTACACTAGAATTGACTTTAAAGTTATAATTAATAATATTTTTGATTCTTGGAGATTGACACTATATAATAATTTCCACTCAGACATTATAATACGAAGATTAAACTTCACCCCTCGTCATCCCCCTCTCTCTGCTCATCCCCCACCTTCCACCCTGATATTTTAACGTCCTGAATTACTTGGGCTTTACAGTTTTATACTCTTTGCTAGATATATTTATGCTTTGAACAAAGTGTGCTTAATGCAAATGTTTTTAATCCTCTGTGAAACTTTTATAGATAATTCTTTGCATTTCAGATAAAAACAACTTATAGACATATAAGGTGAATATCACTTAGGTGGAAAGAGCATGTATCAATGAAATAACAATTTGAATTGAGCAAATATAAATCTATGTAGATTAATACATATTCTCAGAATTACATAGCAGATTATAATTCAGTCAAGAAGTAGGTGTCTTTTGATGCCTATGAACATTTATGAATTGTGTAAGAACTCTGAGATTAAATTTTTAGCCATACTATTAAGTTTGGGATCATATTATCATTTTATATTAACATATAAGTACAACAATTATATCCAATAAAACTTCCATCTAACTTGGCTTTAATTTGTTTTAGACTGTGACATACACACTGTAATTTTTCTCTCCATTTTGGATTCCTATCATTGACAGCCATCCTGTGTGTCATTTGACATCCAGGAAAGATAGTTTTTCATTCCAGACATTGGATGTGTTAGTCAATTTGGGTACAACTTACATTGATCTCTTTTGATCACATCAAAAATTTAATTTTAACTAATTTTATGAATAAATGCACCTTGAAATTTAGAAAAGAAAGTTATGTGTTTAGATATAAGAACATAAACACTAGGTATAATTTTAGAAGAGCATAATATTGTTGAGAGTTATTGGGTTTATAACATGCAACAGAAAAATGATCATTGAACATATTTCATAGAAAATTGCTAATAATATTTTCTTCTTCTCCCCAAGGTTAGAGAAGACAGCAAGTTCAAAAAAGGAGAGGGAAAGAAAGAAAGAGAAATAGAGAGAGAGGAATGTAAGAAAGGAGGGAGGGAGGGAGGGAAGGAAGAAAGGAGAGAGGGAGGGAGGAAAATGGTAAGAAAATATGCCCCTGTGCCATAGTCTAATATCCTGGCTTGCAGAGAAGACTAGAATATAGCAAAACTTAGAGCTTTAAAATCTTTGAAGACTAGTCAGTGTTATATATATATTTCAAATTTGTATGTGCTTTCAATGAATCATACATAATCTAATTCTCTTGCCTAAAATTTTCATTAAACTCATGAATTTTGTGAAACAATTTGAAAGCATTGGAGATCTCCAGCCTCTCTTGTATTAGCATTATAATAATCCAGGCTGGAGATTTTCATCTTAACTCGTCTTGTCACCATCCTGCATCAAGTACACCTGCATGTACTTGAGCAAGGTTTCACATTGACCACAAAGGGAAATCATTTCTTTGAAGAAATCTCTACAATAGTGCAGTTGTCCCAGAAACTTTCCAGGAAGGGTGATGTCTTTAATTGCTGGTTTTCTGCTTTAGCCTTTTCAATGCAAAGATACTTAATCAGGTCCTTCTACTTGATCTCCTTTAGTGAAGTTTGTTTTGCATATTTCTGGAGGCCTTATGTGAAGTTGTTAAAATCATGGTGTCAGAGAGGCAAGATTGAATCACCCTGTATTAAATTCTTGATATATTTAAGTGGGCTAGAGGTAGGGGGACCTGCTTTGTTTTCTCAGTATCTTTTTTTGGTTTATTAATTTGTCATGGCTCTCCTCCTACTTCAGTTTTATCCTTCTAAGAGAAGCTATCAAAACACTGATGGGTCTGGGCACGGTGGCTCACACTTGTAATTCCAGCACTTTGGGAGGCCAAGGTGGGTGGATCACCTGAGTTCAGGAGTTTGAGACCAGCCTGGCCAATATGGCAAACCCCATTTCTACTAAAACTACAAAAATTAGCTGGGTGTGGTGGTGCGTGCCTGTAGTCCCAGCTACTCAGGAGGCTGAAGCAGGAGAATCGCTTAAACTCAGGAGGCAGAGGTTGCAGTGAGCCAAGATCGTGCCACTGCACTCCAGCCTGGGTGACAGAGGGAGAGTTCATCTCAAAAAAAAAAAAAAAAGAAAGAAAAAAAAACAAAGCACAATGATGGGCAGACCAGTCCTATAATAGTTTTTTTTTTTTTTGGCCTGTGATTTTTTTTTTTTTGACGGAGTTTTGCTCTTGTCACCCAGGCTGGAGTGCAGTGGCGTGATGTGGGCTCACTGCAACCTCCGCCTCCCAGGTTCAAGCAATTCTCCTGCCTCGGCCTCCCAAGTAGCTGGGATTACAGGCGCCCGCCACCATGCCTGGCTAATTTTTGTAGTTTTAGTAGAAACAGGGTTCCACCATTTTGGCCAGGCTGGTCTCGAACTCCTGACCTCAAGTGATCCACCCACCTTGGCCTCCCAAAGTGCTGGGATTTACAGGCGTGAGCCACCGCGCCTAGCCTGGCTTGTAATTTAAAGAGTGAAATATCAGATTTTAAACATAGAACAAGAACACTGTTAGGGTCAGCTTCTCCAAAATCTAAAATTTTCATCATTTCATCTGAAATTTTCATCACCAAACAGAGTTGTGTTTGGTGGGAGAGAAGCTTTGTTTAAAATCACTTTATCAGATTATTTTCCACCATAGAGGGGACATTCTAGGCTGGTGAGAAGGGGTAGAGGCAGTTTTAGAAGGCAAGTCCGGGGCAAACTTAGGACTGAGTTCTTAGCTACACACGAATGTATTGAATTTGTTCAGAGGAACTTCTGGACATTAAACATACTAAATATACCTTAAAAGAGACAAAGTTTATCAGGGTTTGACTCATCTTTGTCAAAATTAGCTAAAATTGGTCATGTACTGTATAGTAAAGCTTTTACCTATTCTAGTCAGTGCTGCCCAATAGAAGTTTCTACAATAATAGAAACATTTTCTATCTGTGCTATCCAGTAAGGCAGTCACCAGCCACATGTGGGTATTGAGCACTTGAAATGAAGCTGGCAAGACTGAGGAACTAAATGTTTAGCTTTTTATTAAATGTTAAATAATTTAAATTTAAATAGACAAATGTGGCTAGTGGCTATTTTGTTAAATGGTAACATAGCTCTACCAAATCCTATATGATACAGATTAGAATGAAATGAACAAAGAAAGGTCTTTGCACTCCTTGTGCTGGGAAGTACTGTCTTGGTCATCATAGCAGGGGGTCATACCTTTAGAAAGTTTTTATGAAGCTGGGTCTCCTTTATTTTGAGGCTAGAAGTGACAAAATAGGCTCCTTTAGGAACAACCAGTCCCATCTATGCCTAGATTTGCTTTCTTTCTTCCCACTGTATCATTTTGCTTTTATATATTGGTTTTGCATCATATATCGGTTTGCTTTTAATTCCTTATTTTTTCTTTGATTTTCAGATCTTTGACCATCAGTCTGTGACCTGCCCCTTCTCTTTACGTAAGTAAAAGTGATTTCTTTACCTTTAAAAAAAAAAGTGTCAGATTTAGGAAATTGTGGTTTTCACTGGCATATTTCCTAGTTGACTTTGTTGTGGTTTCTAGTGCTTCTGTAGTGTGTATTAGTTTCTTTTGCGTTTGGAGTGTATGCTGTTGGTGGTAATACTAAGTTGCTATCCATGAGGGTGCAGAAAATACCAGTGGCCCAGATACTGTACTTCTATAAAGGCTGCCCTTTACTTGGCTGCAGCTGCTGTTTGCAAAAGTCACTGCTCTTTTAAAGTATAGCTTACATTATTCAGCCAAATACCAGCAACAGTTGGGCTTTTGCTCCCCTGTCAATCATTGGGCAATTATGTATTCTTCAGTTATGTACCCATCCCTAGGTCCAATAGTTTTTAATTTTAACTTCTAGATCAGAGCTTTCATTTATTGACAAAATTTCTAATATCCCTTTACTAAGAAGTACAAGACTGTAAAATAAATAGACTAAACTTTTGTGCAAAATTATGAAGTCTACAGGGGAAAAAAAGAAATCCCAGATTCACGTGTGCCAGAAGGTTTATAAAGGTACCACTCTTTTTTAGAAAAGATGGAAAGGTATTCGGGGGGAAAAAAAAACACGATTTTATATGAAAAAAAAGAGAACGTTCATTATTTAAAATTCAAACCAGGCTGCACTGAATGGGTTTAAATAAATTTTATTTTGAACTGCTTGAAAAAGATTCTAGGCCAATGAACCCAAATAATCAAAGTCACTTATAAGAGACACCACCCAAAAGATCCTACAGGTAGTGATAGTCACCTAATGTGATAAATAATTATCGGTATCCTCTGGCTGCTTCTCACTCTCTGGTGAGCTCTGTTCCTTATTCACAACATTATATCTTGCTTCACTGACTCTTCACTCCAAGGTATTTCTTGTATTATAATCATTTGCACAGAATGGAGGTTCCCATGGCTATTTTGTTTATGCGTGCCTTCCACTAACATTCCTAGAAGATAGTGGCAAATATATTTAGGGAGGCAGAATCCTCCAAAGGATGCTAAGGCTAAAGTGTAACGTGACAGTTTATTTGACAGAGAAAGGAGATTGATTAAACTCCCCAAAGACTGGAGCTGTGTGTAATGCATTTATACAACAGGGGTGGGTCCTACCTGTCCCTGACAAGTCTTGTTATTCTCTATTTCAGTGTTGATAGAGTGGGTCTGTAAATGCTTTGGAGGATGTCAATATGCATGCTTATGGTTACCACTTTATATCTGCACAGCCCTCCCCTCAGTTACCTAGCACTGCATATTTCTAGTCCTCTGACTGGCAAATCATTTTTGTTACAGTTCTTTTGTGTAAAAACAGTTCACATAATAGCTCTGTGTTAGACAAGGCATTAATCCTCACATCACCGGGATGAGTCAGCACAGTGCACTCCTGCCCGCACGGCTCAGCTATTGTGACGTCAGTGCTATAGGGCGAGCCTCAGACACAAGCAGTACAGGGGACCTGTGTCACCAATTAGGAATCAAGGGGGAGACTTTTGAGATAAAAAGTGTAGTTGAAAGGCTGTCTCTGGCTCATAGGAAAATGCAAATCTGATTCTATGCTACATCAGCCATCAGTTGCATAGCTTCTAGAGATATCCTATTTTTTAACCACACATAAGGCTGGGGGAGTGACCTATAATGAGCAGATAATCCGTTCATATACCCATGACCTTGTGCCATCCCTGGGCCAGGCTTCATGTTTGCTTGGCTTGTTCCAAATCTTGAAGCTGCCCTCATATCAGCAGGGTGACCGGGCTTATGACAGTCCTACTGTCCTCAAGTATCCCATAGACACAGTTGATGGTTGATGGCTCCAGAGTGGTGCCCCAGAGGCTCGACAAAAGGAAAAGAAATGTCCAATGTCCCTTGAGAACAGATCAGAACATTATCTCCCCAGTGCTTTGACTCCAAGTGCCTCTTCAATGGCCTCCTCTAAACAGGTACAGAATTCTGCTTGTTCGATCTTCTCTTAGCAGTGCATTTAGTCCAGTATCACAATCTGTATTTGACCTGGATTTCAATAGGAACTGAAGAGCTCTCAGATGTTCCCCCAAGAATTTCCCATTCCATTACTGTTTAGCAGAAACAAAGAGGAACCCTCCATAATCTGCCATGCTACCTTGAAGCAGGTAGCACAGACTTACCTTATTTGGGAAACTTGGTTCTTATAAGTTAGGTCTCTATACAATTCAGATTCAGATTTATTCTCAGGACAATATCTTTCAGTATTGAATATTAAGTCTTGAAAAGGGTGTTAATTTACAGCCTTAGTGGCAGTCTCTGTTAAAAAGACCTTCCTCCATCACAGAATTTATCCCTCACTCTTACTGTCACCCCAGCCAGTCACCAGCCCCTGCCATACCCATCAGAAAGTGCCTTACTGCTGGGATCTTCTGCCTTCATTAGATTGCTAATGGGCTCCTACTATGCTTATAAAAGCTAACACTACTACTTGGCTTCGTTTTGATTAATTATCATGTACAGCTCTTTATTTAGTTTTCATTCAACAAACATTTATGGAAAGCTAGTCACTGTGCTTGGTTCTGGAAACTCCGGGATAAATAAGAAATGCTTTCTTTTGTTAGAAATCTCAGTCTGATAGGGGAGATACATAAGTGAATAAAGACTATAGCATATGATAGGCACTGAAATGCAGGTATATACAAGACGTAGTAAGAGGAATGAAGGAGGAGTGCCCACTTGGATGTGGTAAGGTGACCAGGCTGGGTCTTAAAGTCAGAAGAGTAAATTGCAGTTTACCAGGTAGATATGAAAGAGCAGAAAGAAAAGGGGATCATAATCAAGAAAAATGTAAGAGCATTTACAAAATCAGGAGGCGTTAAGTAGCAGCGAGATTCAGAGGAGTGAATAGTTCAGTGTGATTGAAACATGGTGGTTGAAAGAGTAGTATGAGATTGGGCTGGAAAGCAGGCAGGGGACCTTGCCTGCCATACGGAGGACCTTGTATGCCGTGCAGAGGAGTTTGGACTTGATCCTGCAGGCTCAAGGAGGCTTTGAAGAATTGTAAGCAGATGTATGTTTTAGAAAGAGCACTTGGTGAAAGTGGAG
The DNA here is from genome assembly GCF_000001405.40 of Homo sapiens. Lineage (NCBI taxonomy): Eukaryota > Metazoa > Chordata > Mammalia > Primates > Hominidae > Homo > Homo sapiens. The sequence continues at coordinate 114,497,241 of NC_000003.12, read as the reverse complement.
AGGCTGACTCAGAATAGGGAGACCAGGTCAAAGGTAAAAGCCAAAGGCCTGAACTGTGCAGTAGGGGTAGGATGGAGGGAGAGGCTATTTGGTAGTGTTGAAATAGACATTAACCTTTGTGTAATTCCAGCATATCTTGGCCTATTGCATAATCTTTGCCTTCTAGGAGAAAGGCTGAAACATTGTGTGGAGTCAAATTTCAGACCAAAATACATCCTTATGGGATCTTCAGCAAAGACCTCAATTTGAATATGACCTCACTTTGAGCTACTGCCCCCTGGTCACCAGGCTCGCGTGCCTCCTACTGCCCATAGTGGGTGTGAGGGAGGAGCAGGCAGATAAGGAGAAGACATTCCCAGTGTCCTGCTTGTCTCTTCTTTCACCTGAAAATGAAACAGTTTCTAAATAATGCCCCCCTAAAGTCAATCAATGCCCCAATTTCCTATCATTTTCTCATTGCTCCCTTTTTCTAAGCAAAATTTCCAAACCATTGAACTGAATTGCAACTTATGCACAGCCGGGTGTTGAAACAATTCAGTGTATTCATTCCTTCTCTCTGAATTAGAGTTCACCATAAGTGTGCTTTTCTCTTGTTCACTTTGGGCTGCCAGGACAATTTAAAGGAAATTTTCAACAGCTTATGTTTCATGTACTATGTTCTCTTTTGCAAATGGGAGGATATGCGTGGGTGTGTTTAAGCCTTCTCTATATTGCTTTCTGGAGAAAGGTTTGGGAAGATGAACAAGACGAGGAGTAGGGACCTATTGAAAGCCCAGGTCCCCCAGTGACCTGAGTGCAGAACGTAGGCTGGTGATCAGATGGTCAATTATGTGTTTGTCAAAACACAGTGGGCTGCATTCCAGGCTGCCAGCTTTGGAAGCCCAGCTTCTGCCAACCAAATGTCATCTGGGAACATGCAACACTGGGCACTGTGAAGGAGTTTGAAATAGACCATGCCACAGCCAACCTACTGCCAGTCTTATAGCACCAATATGGCATGCACAGCCGGGCCCCATGTTTCAGAGCTCAGGAATTCACTGTACTAAATTCAAGAGGTCAGATGGGTTCATGTTTTCAAAGCCTATGTTCTTTGCTTTGAACACTGTGACTTGCTCCTCAGCAATTTCCAAGGGATTTTTCCAGTCACATCTCTGTGGAAACCACTCTTTTTGTGATGGTTATAAGATCCTTGTAAATGTCCCAGAGGATAGGAAAAAAAAAAATCAACTTGCTCTGACAATGACTATGATTTCGACAGAGGGATTCCAACTCTTAGGAAATTACATTAAAGGTGCATAGCTTTTAAAATATCAGGAACCACCTTGGCAACTTATAAAAAGCAGAAGGGCTTTGCCTATTTTATAAAGTGATTTGCATATACCTGCATAAATAATGTCCCCACCTGTACTTTTATGCATTTAGGTTGAATAAATTAAATTTTGTGATCTTTAAAATATTCACTGTCTTTCATTGCTCAGACACCATTTTCAGGACCCTTCCTCCTCATTTCTTTTCCTAGTGATAAGAGTGGCTATTTTTTTTTCAATCTTTTGACTCATTCAGAGAATCAAAACACTCTGAACACCAATCGACTATAGCCAGGAATATTACCTCCCTCTGGTTGCATTTCTCTTAGCCTTTCTACCTATCAGATGGTGAGTTCCATGTATTTTTAATAAGAGAAATAAAGTATTACTAAGGCGAAAACACAGCACAAGACAGATTTAAGTTCTATTTACATATATATGTAAGAGAGAGAGAGACTGTGTGTGTGTGTGTGTGTGTGTGTATACACAGACTTGCACTGATACACACCTCAGGGACATGCCCATAGTAACCTTTTCTTTCTTTCACCACTGCACTGCGACAACCTCTTCAGGAACCATCCAGCTACTAAGCCATTTCCGTTGTACCTTGGGCCTTCAAATCAAAGCCTGGTCAGTAGGCCACTCTCCCCCACATTCACGCTTTAAGATATTATTAAAAACATGCTATGTACAAAGAATAATTTTTATTGGATAGTTAAAGCATAAATATACCATAAGTACATGACCCTTTCTTGCTCTTAAGGAATTTAAAATTGAGTTAGGAAAAACAGTTATATTGTTGAGCGTTGTGTATGCACATAAGATAATAAATGACTAAGTTCCAAAAGGAATGATACAGTCCAGGAAGTACCATAGGGTTTCATTCATGAAAGAGCCTTGCAGGCTAGAAAGTTTCATGTAAAACTGATTCAGCTGAGTCTTGAAAACTGGCTAAAATGTAAAAAAGATGAAGAGAAACAGAATCATATTCCAAGCAAAATCATATACCAAAGTGTTGGAATCTTCGAGGGGGCCCATAAATAGCATCACTTTTCCCCACTTGAATTCTAAACCTATTGAAAAATAAGACAAAAGAACTGATAGCTAGGGAACCAAAATTTTTATAAAGGTTGGTTGAAGAGCATAGCTTAGTGTAAAGAGGAAATGGGTTTGCTGACTCTCTTCCCTTCAGTCAAACCTTTCAAAAGCTCTCTTACAGGAAAATGTGGATCTGCATATGAGCAACACTTTCCAGGTCATCACCTCCCGATAGTCTCAGTAGAAAAGGAAGGACAAAGAGGTTAAACTCCTGTGCTTACAAATTTGGATAGATCAGTTCTACCTACCTGAGAAATATAGACCAAGGGCTTTCCCACCAATGGGATACTTTGCCTCCATGGGGAATTATAAGGAATGAGACAAGAGGAAAGCAGTGTTTAGAAAACATCTGGAAACTAGGAGTAGGGAAGAGGCATTCTTACCCACACTGACATCCATAGACTGGAAAACAAGAGGAGGAAGTACTGAGTGAGATGAAAATGGGAACCAGAGCCACATCTGGTCTGAGAGCATATACCTGGGGTAAGAACCAGTAGTCCTACTGGTTATCCAAGATCTAAACTAAGGGCCCCTTTTCAGAGTCTCAAAAGTTACAAGAATCAGAACCTGGGGGAACAGGCAAGAAATGAAGATAATGGACAAAAGCCTAGTTAGGAAAAAAAATACAAAAACTCTAGTTTCTTGTTCAACTAATAATAACAATAAGAAATACCTATTGAGTGCTTGCCTTGCTTTAGATACTGGACTAAATACTTTTCATGGCTATCTGATTTAACCTTCAAAACTACCCTATTAAGTAGATGCTACTATAATCCTAATTGTGCAGATCAGAAAACTGAGATTTAACATGTTTGATTTATTTTATAAGAACATCTAATAAATGGTAGAGATAGAACTTGATTCCAGGACTATGTCTTAAAAGCCTCAGCCAAATTTTACTGGACACAAAGTTGAGTGTCTACTAAATACTAAAGGTATATATAATAAAGGAATATTAACATAGTCTCTCTCCTTCTGGAGCTTATAATCTGGGGAATGTAAGACAGATACTAAGCAAATGGTCTCACAATATAACTTGTAATTACAAATTGTGCTTACCACTATATAATAAAAGTACCATGTGCTCTAAGGGCAAATAAAAGAAGAAGATTTAACTGAGTCTGGAAATTCAGGAGAAGCTTCTCTGAAATAGTAACATTTGAGATGACACCTGAAGGTTAAAAACAAAAAGTAAGGATGGATGGTGGAAGAGGATTCCAGGCAGAGGGAACAGCATGAAGTCCCTGAAGAGAGCTGCACAGAGAGAAAAAGGTGACTAGCAGCCCAGGTTGAGGTTGAAGAGATACGTAAGGCCTGATGATAACAGGTCCTTGGTAGGCCATGTTAAGGATTTTTGTGTTTATCCTAAGGACAGTAGAGGAGCAAACTTAAGAAGGACTGTGGCATGATCATTGTTGTTTTTTAAAAGGGTAAACTTTGGGGCATTTATCCCAGAGAGATGGAAACATAACTGTACAACACCTGTACATTATGTTACACCAATGTACATAGCAGCTTTATTTGTAATAGCCCAAAACTGGAAACAACCCACATTTTCTTCAGTGGGTCAGTGGTTAAGCAAACTGTTATATCTATACCATGGAATACCTCTCAGCACTAAGCAGAATAAATTATTGATGCATACAATAACTGGTTTTAATCACAAGGGTATTACATTGGGTGAAAAAGCTAATCTCAAGATGATGTACTGTTACGATTCTTATCTATATAGCACTCTTGAAATGAAAAAAATATGTAAGGATTGAGAACATACTTGTGGATGACAAAGTTAGGGAGTTGGGATAGAAATGGAGGTGAGTGTTGCTATAAAGGATAACGCAAGGGATCTTTTGTGATGGAACTGTCCTGTAGCTTGACTGTGGTAGTATTCATGAGTGTATGGATGTAATAAAATTGCTCAGAACTAAATATACACTCACATACTCATGTGCATATAAAACTGATGAAACCTGAGTAAGGCAGATGGATTGCACCAATGTTAATTTCCTGATTGTGATATTGTACTACAGTTATATAAAATGTTACCATTTGGGCAAAACTGGGTAAAAAGAATAACAAATCTCTCTGTATTATCTCTTACAACTGCACGTTAATCTAAAATTATCTTGAAATTAAAAATTTAAAAATATATATCAAGGTAGCTTAACTTTGGTAAATAATTTGGAAGGATCAAAAATGGATATGAGGAAACCAGTGAGGGAGCTATTCCAGTAGACCACATAAGAGGCAGACTAGAGTATTGACAGTGGAAATGGGAGGAAATTGATGGAACTGAGAGATAATTCAGAAGTAAAATATTCCTGGACTTTTTCATGGTTGGTTATGTGAAATAAAAGAGAGAAGTGGCAACAATGACTCCTGGTTTGGGGCTTATCAAACTATATGAAGGATAATACCATTCACAGTTACATGAAACACCAAAGGAGGACTGGAGTGGAGAGAAGTTTGTAAGTTCTGTTTTTGAGATGTTGAGTGTGAGGTACTTTGGATAGATACATAGTGAGCATATTGCACAGGTATTTATATACATAAAACTGGAATTCAGAAGTAACATGAAGGCTGGAGACATGAATTCAGGGTAATCGACATATAGTGGTAAATGAATCTGTTGGCATGAATAACATTGCCTAGGGACAGGGTTAGATTGAGAAGAAGACCTAAACTGAGACTTGAAGAGCTCTTAATATTTAATCCGCTGGTAGAAAAAAATGAGGCCATAAAATACCCTCAGAAGGAGCCACCAAGAAGGTGGCAGGAAAATCAGAAAACATAGGCACAGAAGCCAAGAGAGTGCCTCAAAGGTAGTGGTCAGTGATGTGACATGTTACTGAGCAATCAAGTAGGTTAAAGACTAACAAATATATATTGCTTATATTAATTTTGAGCTTATTGTTGACCTCAGCAAAAGCTGTTTTGTTGAAGTGGTCAAAACAATAACGTGTTTGTAATGGGATGAGGAGAGAATGAGAAGTGAAGAAACAGCAAATGTGGGCCACTCAGAAGTTTTGCTATGAAGGAAAGGAAAATGAGCTACTGCAATATCTTGAGGGGGGAAGTGAGGTCAAAAGAAGGTTGGAAAAGCATGGAAACACTAGTATTTTTTGTATTTTCATGGGAAGAATACCGTAGAGAGGAGAGATCCAATGTGCAGAAGAGAGAAGAGCATAGGATGACTGGCAGTATAAGATTACTGATAAGGCCAGAGAGATGGAATCCTGAGTACAAGTGGAGAGATGGAAGGAGGGACACATCTTCTATTTTTGTAAGAAAGGAGGAGTAAAGGAAAGGAGCAGATGCAAGCCCACGTGTAGATTTGGTACTGAAAGGTTAAGAGGTTTCCCAAGTGATGGGCACTGAGGGGCAAGGTCCTGCTAAGAATAAGCGGGGAAGAGATTTAAGGAAAGTAGAGATTTGAAATCGTTCTTGAGACAAATGGGACAGCAAGTTGACCAGAGAAATACAGTAGGACTCTCCTTGGCAGTGTGGAAGGTGCAGGTGAGTCTGGTGGGTTGATGTTGATACCTATCTGCTCTGTCATGGGATTTTCTCCAGCAGTTTGGGGACCAAGGTGCAAAATCAGAAGAAATGAGTTTGAATTAGGATAGGGTTTCACCTAGCATTTGTGGCATTAGGAGTTTTAGCTTCTTGTTTTGGTTCTAGCTGAGGCCAGTAAGAAAGGGCAGTGAAAGGGCTTAGTTAAATTCTCCAGGCATCTGTTGAGTATATTGTATCAGGCACTGTGTTTGGTACAGAAAATACAGAGGTGAGTAAGACACCATCTATGCCTTCAAATAGCTCACAGTCCAGGGTGGTTTGTAGGCTGATATCTGGTCCAAAACACCAGGAACAGGGACTTGAATAACCTTTGCAAGGACCAGGAGACCGATGTCATTCCTTTTCTTTCTTATGCCTGCTCCTTCCCTCTGCCCTGTCCTCACAATACCCAGTTTGTTTTTGTGTTTTGGCTTTTTGTTTTGTTTTGTTATTTACTTTCTCAAAAAATATCTACTCTCTGCCTTATTGCCAAGCCTCTAGTATGCATCATACATATGTGAGAGACAACTTTGATTTCTCCCATTATCTTTTTGCTAAAATATGATGATTTAGAAACAATTAGATCATCTACTTGAAGTATGGTATTGGTATAGTGTGAATTGTCTCTAAATGTTAAGAGCTGGCATCTAACACTACAGAAAAGCTATTTATTTAAGAGGGCTGGAGACAGGAGTGTAGACAGGTGAGAGAGGGAACAAGGGAAGAAAGAAGGGAGGGATGGAAAGAAGAGGAAGGAAGCGGGCCGGGCACGGGATCTCACGCCTGTAATCCCAACACTTTGGGAGGCCGAGGCAGGCAGATCACGAGGTCAAGAGTTCGAGACCAGCCTGGCCAACACAGTGAAACTCCATCTCTACTAAAAATACAAAAAATTAGCCGGGCATAGTGGCGGGTGCTTGTAATCCTAGCTACTCGGGAGGATGAGGCAGGAGAATCTCTTGAACCCAGGAGGCAGGGATTGCAGCAAGCCGAGATCGCACCACTGCACACCAGCTCAGGCGACAGTGTGAGACTCCATCTCAAAAAATCAATCAATCAATAAATATATATATAAGAAGGGTAAGAAAGCATATTAACTACACAAGATCTTATATAGCAGCTCATCCCTGTTTGTTATTCAAGGGAACTCCCATTTAAAATGAATAAATAATCCTCCATCCCTAATGGTGATCTACACCATCAGCCTCCAAAAACAGCTTCCAGACCTAGAAACGTACCAGGGTACTATAGGTTAATTATAAATTCCAGGTGCTGGTAATGCAAGAGAAGATATGGAGAGGGTCTGAAGGAGGTGGAAGTTTATAACTTCCAACAGAAGAAAGATCCCTTACTCAGATTTATTTTAAGCATTATAAAATGATAGCTTAGAAAGAGGTGGTGGCCGTGATGGCTTATCTTTATTTGGGCACATTCCATTCTGTGATATTCCCTTTAGGAAATGATGTTAGGGTCATTTGACTAAAAGCTAAATTGCTGATACATCTGGGGTAAAATTTGGCAGCTGTCGAGCAAAACAGCTTTTTTTTAATATTTACTTTTTTTATGATTCTATAATTCACACTTATTGTGAAATATTTAGAAAGTATAGAGTAAAGGGGAAACATCCATAATTCCACTACACAGAACCAACTATTATTAATAATTTTTTAGATCACCTTCTAGTGTCTTCTCTAGATTTTAACATGCCTGAGCATACATTGCATGTATACAGTTGTATCCCATTTTAATTCAATATTATATAATAAATACTTCCTGGTATAATTAAAAACTCTTTATAAATAGCACTATAACATCTGAATAATATCACATAAAGCCCCCAGAATTTACCTAACCATGCCCTAGATAAAAATATTTGGGTTATATTCACTACTTGAAATTTTATATTTTAAAATTCTTTAAGGGAAGAACTATGATGTACATCTCAAAGTGTCAAACTTGGGGGAAACTTGAGGCAGACATTGATGTCACCCTACTAAGAGAGCTAGTTAGTAATTGCTAATGACTGAAGATCATATTGGAATTTTTAAGTATTTATTGCAGGTTTTAGGTAAGTTCTTTTTCCCCCAAAATAAAAGTTCTAATTTTTAATTCTAAAAAAGTATACATTTAGTTTTGCTTGAATTTGTTTCATTGATAGTATTTATAAAGAGCAAGGTTAAATTCCTTTGAAATCTCACAGCCCAGAGATAATCACTATTAATAACTTAGGAAATATTATATTTCCATACAGTCCTGTTTATCTTTCTCTTTTTCTTTCTCTTTGTCTTTCTCTTTCCAGACTGAAAGGAGAAGTTACTTGCTGTTTTGTATTCTATTCTTTTCACTTAACATTGTAATAGTCATTTACCATGTTAATAAATATAGATCTACATTATCTTTTGACAACAACGTTGCACTTCAGTATATGCATAATTTATTGACTCAATCACTTATTGATGGACAGTTGGGAATTTGGAACTTTCTTCTTACTAAACAATGCCACAATAACTGTCTTTATATGCACATGCATATGTACACATGTTTGTACACTTACATGATTATTTCCTTAGGATCAATTAATTATAGTGGAACTGCAAAAGTAAAATGCATTACTAAACTGTCCTCTAGCATTGGTTAATATCTTCACCAACAAAAAAAGAGACTGCCCATTTCTCTGCATCCTCACTAATTCTGTAATTTTCAGTGATAATTTTTGCCATATACATGAATATTTTCATACTGGAGGTATGAGATGCATTTTCCAGGCATAAAACCAAAGCCTGAAAACTTTTTAAAAAATACATGTATTTTAAATTTTATTACATGAAAATAAAAATTACTATGGTAGAAAATCATTTTTTAAACTAGGAAAAATATTTGTGATATATCCCTAATATTTTAAGAATAGCTATAAATCAATGATGAAAGGATGAATAACACAATAAAAAAATTGGAAAAGACAAATGAGCCGTCTAACAGGTTTGTTTGCTTAGTCTCATTCTTTACTGCAAAGGCAGTGCTCCCTGAAGTCCTCCAAGGCCACCTCAAGCTCTGCTTCTTATGCTCTGATGGCAACACCTACCCTCACCGCCCTTCAGGGGAGTGTTGTGGGAAGCAAAGCACCACCAGAGACCTATGACATTTCTGGGTTGGGAGGTGGTAAGTATTCACCTGGTTACATACATTTATGTTTATTTGGCATCACCAGCCCTCAAAGGGCCAGGCTCACTCACATGAATGTAAAAATTATCATCAGCGCTCTGCCTTAGACTCCAGAATCAGTAAATTATTGGGAAGGGAAAAATACACACTGGCAACATTGCCTGATCCATGTCTCCAGGGCAGGATTGACATTATTCTTCTCCCAGATGTAGATAGAGATTTCTGGATGTTCTCATAAATAAAGTGCTAGAGGCCATGTCATCAACGTCCTCCATCTTTCCCCGCTCTCTGATTCCCATGTGTATTACTACATACTTAATGAAATGGAATATTCTTCAGCAACTTCAGGGAAAGTGAAAGACGCTAGAGAATTGGAAATACCACACTAACAGCATCACCTCCGCCTCTGCCGTGCAAACTGTGATGACAGGGCGTCTTCCCTGTGTTCTGGGACAGGGAGCATCTGGGTTCTGGGAGTGAGTTCCTCGAGTCTTCCCGAGGGTCAGGAGTTGTACAAAGCTGTTCTGGGTGGTAATTGGAGCATTCCTTGACCACAGAAGTTCATTTGCAGATGGTAAGGGATGACATGCTCTGGGGCATTTTTCCCCCTCTTTGGCAGAAAATTGTGGACATGAAAGTCATGTGTGTTTTAAATCCTTAGACAGTGTCCAGAAAGGAAGCAAAAGAGAGGCAAACATGTTAGAGTCTAGGAAGTCCCTTCAGGCCAACTACAAGCTAAGGAGAATGGAAGGAACCAGGCCTAGGAAATGGCTTATCCTCTACCTGAACAGTCAAACACCTCTTGAGGTGTGCACATATGGTTATGAGCCAGGCTTTAGTGCTGCCAGCAGTGCCCTTGGAGACCATGCCACTGACTCAGTGTACCTAGGGCTCAGAGTGTCAAATGTCTCATTTTCTTAATGATGCTCCTAGAAAGCTTCACATATTATCCACATGCTTCTGTAACATAGTTTATACTCAGAAGCTGGGGTTCGAGGGAGATTTTAAATGTTATATATACATATATATATCTTCCACATACACGCATCCTACTTGTTTAAGGAGTCATGCTACTAGGACACTTGCAGAGGCATCTTGTACAAGAAGTCTTTGCAGTGATAAAATTAAGAGTTTTTTTTCTTTTATCAGGGTTCTTCTTTTACATGGTCTCTTTGTGTAGTCTCTATATTATTCTTCATTTCTTCTAATGTGTGGGTATTGAGAACAGATCAGGCATGCTCCAGAGAATCATTTCAAGATATTCATCTAAACAGGTCACCTTACCTCTCACACTTCGATAGGCTAAAATGGGTTCTACCTTTAATCCCTGGTAAATTTCTAGGCTTTTTGATACATGAAGAATAATTCTCACCTCTAATTTAAAATTAACCTTGTACTTTGAATGAGAGAACCGTGTGTCTCATGAAAGAACATGAGTGAAAGGTACACCTAAATCTTTTAATAGTAGCCTTCAGCCTAGTCCTTATAAGCTACTCAAGGACACATAAGAAAAGTAATGAAAAGTCTTCAGTCAAAATAATTTTCTGAGTTTTTTTTCTATGCTTTTATCCATCACCACCATGCTTGAATAATCTTCACTGCATTGGTTCTTCACCAGTAGCTTTCACATACTCCTCTACCAGTTTTATAACAGTACCTTTCAGTAAAGGTTAGGAAGAATCCTAACACTGTTAACTTCCTCAGTAAGCATGCACTATCTGTTGACAGGGTGTCTGTAGACTATCTATTTACTTAAAAAGAACCAATTTTTTCATCATTACATTATCATCAGTCATTAACATTACTCATCTAGAATGGGTACAGAGGCAAGCCACCTCCTAGTAACCTATGTGTTTACCACTCCATCCCAAATCTCTGATACACTTAGAAAAAAAGTTTTAGACATGTAGGATAACATTCTAGAAAACAGTTTCAAAGATCTGAATCTTAGCACAGGAATTCATACACCGCCCCCCCCCCCCACACACACACACACACACTCTTACTGACCACCATTATTTGGAATTTTTTTTTATTTAATCGACAAAGAACTACAGCTAAAACACTTTGAAGTATTCCTTTTGAAACATTTTGATGTTGGATTCTGGCTTATTCCTTCTTAGAAAATGAGGGATTACATTTAAATGTCAAATAAATGCTTGTACCTAATGTGTTAGTCCATTTTTGCTGCTATAACAAAATACCTGAGACTGGGTAATTTATAAACAACAGAAACTTATTTTTCATAGTTACAGAGACTAGGAAATTCAAGATTGAGGCACCTGCAAATTTGGTATCTGGTGAAGTCCTCTCTGCTTCCAAGATCGCACCTCTTGCTGTATCTTCATATGGCAAAGGGTGGAAGAGGAAAAGGGAGAGAGACAGCTCCTTCACACCTTTTATATAAGGGCACAAATCCATTCATGAGGGCTCTGCCTTCATGATTTAATCACTTCCTAAAGACTCCACCTCTTAATACTATCACATGGGCAATTAAGTTTCAACATGTGAATTGGGGGGTGGTGAACATTCAGAGCATATAATCTAATAAGAAATGAATCCATAATTTTTGACCGTTGTAATAAAATGATATTTCATTAAGCATCACTCATCTCTACTCAAGTAGTGACCAAAAGATGGAGATGTTCTTCAGAGAGGAGACAACAGCTCTCTGTGGGTAACCCCCAATATGGATGCAGATTTGGAAACAGGAAAGCATGCAAGTAAAAGCACCAGAAAAACAACCAAGAGATGTCTGCACCTTAACTGCACTAGCCACCCTAAAATGAGTTAGGCTTTATAAGATGGAATAAAAAACATGCACTCTAGACAGTAATCCACTTCTAGGATTGTGTAGGGTTTTAGTTTCCTCTCATTTCTTCGCAAAAGTATTTTTGTAAAAATAACTTGGTCTAAGAAAAAAAGATTTCTCCATACCACAGTTGGATTATTTCATGGGAACAGTATACCACTTTGGCAGACTGCATTGACTTTCAGACCAGCATGCGGATCCAGGGAAAATAGACTGAGTGACCCAGGAGGGGCAGAGTCAGGACTGGCTGTATGCAGGAGTCCTTACCATCTTCCAAAAGCTACCAAATCAATCCTTTATTTCCTGTCTCAACAATCGGCATTGGCAAATTTAAAAGATCAAAGTTCCTTTTAAGACCTGAGCTATTATATTATTATATGGGGATTACTTCTAGATCAGCTACTGTTACCTTTGTCTGTGGTCCAGGGCCTCAAAGCACTTCCATACACGTGCGTGCGTGCACTCACGCACACACACACATGCACGCGCACACACACACACACACACACTCTATTGATATGAGCTTTTCTCCTGCCTATTAGATGCATTACAAATCTGCCTATAATGGGGCCTCTCTGCATTCCAACAAAAATATTTCTGGAGCTCTCCTGGCTCCCACAACATTTGCTGGGTGCACATTTAATATGTTTTAGCTTTACTGCCTGAAGATGGAATCAGGGACATCTACCTGCACATGACAGTGCTTTGGCTCTTGCAGTTGCAGAACTTAATGTATGTATCAGTAATGAAAATCTTAATTAAGAAAGCTGCATCATTGTCCATGAACACTCATTTTTCTCCCCCTGCAAAGCCCTTTGTGTATTGCAGTATATACCTGGTCCAGACAGACAGAGCCCTCGAAGAGCTTGTCTGGCAGATCTTCTCTTGATTATTAACAGCTAGCGAATGACAAAGTCTCGCTCTCCTTTTGTCTTGAAGCTGAGGCTTGGAACAGCAGAGCACACAATGTACTGTAGGGTTTGTTTGTGTTTTTTTAAACTTGCTTTTATTACGTTGGTGGGTTTAAAAATCCGACAGTGTTGATCAAAACTAATTTAGGTAACTTAGAGTTGCCAAAACACTAGCAGATGCATATTTACACATATACTCTCAGAAAAATGTAATTTTCCATATAGAAACAATGCACAAACATAAGAAGGGAAAATTTTAATCTGTCTGCCCATGTTTCTGGTAACTTTGGCCTCCAGTACTTAAAGGCTGCAACGTCCTCACATATGTGACCTTAGCAGTTACTTCTTTTCCTGTGCCATTGTGCATGTGCCAATTTGTCATTTGTGCAAAGAGTAAGCAGCTTTGGAAAATGGAATGACTTTATGCAGACAACTAACTGTACCCATAAAAATTACAAGAGTTACTAAGAAGGTCCTTTGAACCTTAGTTCAAAGGACCTTCTTAGTACTACTCTTGCAATTTTTGAAAAGGTGGCCTATAATTATGTTTATGAAACAATGCCGAATTGTGATATTTTAATAAAGCTCACATCATAATTCCCCCAAATAAAAAGTTAATCAACTTAAAATTCTCTTAAAAGCCTCAAAGCATTTCACTCTTCGAAAGTAGCAACTCCTACCAATTAAGTCTATGACCTCGACCCATGTCCTACATGATGAGGAGAGAGACTCATGTTCTCAGTCACTTACATATCGTTCAGTCTTCTGCATTTTCTAAATTTCTGGTCTACAGTGTTAACCATTTACTGGTAGAGCCATGTAAATAATTGAATTGGATTCAGGCCGTATGCTTATATGATACTTTCTACTGGAATAGGACATATTCACTTAAAGAAGGTCTGATAGTAAATACTTATGATCTGTCTTCTGCTTGCTGTACCTATACTGCCCTCACCAAGAGGGGAGCAGCCATGCTGTCTCAGATGGTAATGGTGTGCTGCTTATTTACTCTCCTTATAAGTTCGCATGCTTTCACTCATTTATTTTCAAAATCACTGTAAATAATGGTCAGTTTTCTGCATATTTGAAGCAACAAAATATTTGTACAAATATTCTTTTTGTGTATCATGAAAGATATGAGGAAGACATCATTATGGGAAAATTATTTTCAAATAGTCTAATTTATTAAAATCTCATGATTGCACTCATAGCATGTTTAATTAAAGTTAAATATGAAAAGTAAAAATAGACTTATGTTATTAAACTAGAACCACAATGAGAAAGTAAAAGAGATGCTGTCAAGGCTCTTCACTGCTACATAGGAATTATTGTGAACAGGTTGTTGCACTCTGAAAACTTTTCCTTTTTAAGAACTATCTGACCAGTACTGCTATAAATCCTAAAGCAGCTGTGAAGTAATAGGCCTATATTTGTGCTGCAGGTCTATAGTATAAAGCATACAGTAAGCTCTCAATAAATGTTTGGAGAATGAATAAATAATTATGAGTGAATAAGGCAAAGAATGAATAGCACTGGCATTTCAAAGACTAAATCAGAAAATCAGGTACTGTTCTTAATTTTTAAAAGTCCTTGATTAGAGGTTAGAGGTCTGCTGAATTTCTAGACCTTGGTCTATAACTTTCCAAACAATAAACTACTTAAAGAATTATGAATAATCTTAATATTTAAAATTTGAGCAGATTGGTTACTTTCTACCTCCAGAACACACACATACATCCATGTATGTGTGTAAACAGTTACTGGGTCACAATATAAAATGTAGTTTCTACTATAAGTCATGAATAAAAATATTTTAAACCCTGCCAAAAAAACAACAAAAAATTTGTGTAGATTAAGATAATATCTTCTCCTATTCAGAAAATCTACAGTTTGCTTAAAATTTAAGAGTGACTGACCCATTAAAAATCACAGGCCTTCTTTCCTTATCTATGAGGTAACTCAGATTTGGCCTCCATTCTGCTAGGTGGTCTCCTCTCCCCTTCCTTGGAGTGCCATCCAAATGCAATATGAAAGTGAGGGTGGAGAGCAGTTAGATACAGTCTACTCACTATGGTGTCTGGTCTTCTCAGTGTTGTCTTCTGAGCTCAAATTCCCTGAGATGTCTGAGAGCCCACCTCATCTTTAGTTTCCTGTCCATGTAGATCCCTGATGTGTCTTCCTTGTCCCAGCTCCAAGGCCTCCTCAAGTCTTCAGGCTCCTTTGTCATGTCTTCCTTGCTCTGGGCCCTTCTGGGTCATGCTGGGGCATGGTGACCCTGTGAGGTTATCTTAAGTCCATAGTCCTAGACACCCCCCTGCAAAGACATCTTCCTGCTCCCACATTGTGGATGTGTTTACCCTCAGACCCAACCCTCACCCTACCCTTGCTCTACAACAGTGGCTGACCCATGTCAGCTAGATTCCAAGTTGGATTTGGTGCTTGTGAGACACTTGTGAGTGGCAAGAGGGTCAGTAGAAGGCATAGGCCAGAGATTTCCCCCACCGTTCTTTGCATCATCATCATCACCAGCCACATTTCCTTTGTGGTTTACTCCCTCTGAACAAACCTGCTGTGACTCCAGCTTCCCTGGTGACCCAGGCCTCTGGGCATCAATAGCACCATCTCTTCCCATTGTCCTTTCAGCATAGGGACATAGAGACACAGTCCTTCACCTAAAAGAGTCCACTGACTATTAGGGAAGGATGGATGTGTAACACAGATGTCTGTAATGCAGCAAGAAACAGAGAGGAAACAGATTATTTAAAGGATGCATTGGGACTGGAGATGCGCATAGAGTCGTTCCAATACTTGCCTGCAAAATAGAGTTTCTCAGAGAAGGCCTAACAGTCAGGTGGTATTTGATCTGGATCTTCAGGAATGAATACGGATTTAGCAAGCAAATCGGGGAGGGATTCTCACCTCTGTTATTTCTCTGTGTCTCTCCCAATGCAATGATTTTCAAGAGAAGCTTGTACACTCCTTATGTAGAAACATAACGGATCTCTCAGGGTTTATCCTCGTTTGGATTAGTAAATGGGGCAGCACTAGAGTAGTAGGATGCGTGTGACCTGAGTTTCAACTCTGTTGAGTAGCATCAGCAGCTTACAGGAAATGAGGTTTTTTTTTTTTTTAATGTATCCTTTTGTAGATTCGATGGGGCCATTTCTAGAGTTCAGTCTTGACCTAAAGACTTGGATCTCAAGGCACTCAAACCGTCTTACAGAATGTGCAATCCACAAAAAATATATACTTAAGCCATTTAAAATATATTATCTCTATATTGGCCAAACTTCTATAATGAAACAGATTTCAGACTATCCTGTAACACTCCAATCTGTCAGAACTTTCCTCAGAATACTGTATTTTGCTATTTTTTTAAAACAGAGAAATAAGACTATTGATTTACAACTAACTTCATCTATTAGTATGCTAGAAACAATATTCCTAAACTTGTCCTTTATGATCTAATAATTTTAAAAATGAAACTAATTGTTGTTCTTTCCATTGTTTGAAAAATGGAAAATGATAATATTACAGAAAACAGTAAAGACATTGAACTGTTTAAAAAAAAAAAAATGACCAGCCTTCCGATGACTTACCATCCTCTTTGCCTCTTTGCTGACATCCCTATGTGTTCCTCATCATTTTTGTGCTTGAAATATGTATTGTGTCAGCTTTAGTCCAGCCAACAAGTTGAGTAATCCAGCAGGTTTAGGACAAAGAAGTGTGTTGCAACTGAGGTAAAAGGTCTTTAAAAAGCATATTAGCTGACTATATGGATGTTCTTCAGTTCAAACCTGACCACCCTTTGCTCTCACATGGAAATACATCCACAAGCAGTGTTGTAAGTGATCCTATCAGCAAACGTGTGCATCAGTGCTCCTCCAGAACATCATATTTACGTTAGGGCTTAATAGGACATTCATAAAGCAACATGCAGTTTGTTATTTTTAAATGCATGTGACCTCCTTATTTCAAAAGCAAGTATCTTTAAACATAGTAATAGCATTTCTCTATATGCAAACCTCTGTACATGAAAAGGTTTACATTTTAAAACAAACATGTTTTTGAGTTTTATCCAAATTCAAAAAAAGCATCTGAAAAATTTAACAGCTGAAAAACACTTTCTCCTTGCTGGGAAAACTTAAACCTTGCTAGGCTTTATGCAACTTAAAAAAAAAAAATCACTTCTGTGCTGAGAACTAGCATGAGAAATCTCAGCATGAAAGGTTGGTGGATTTTTTTTCTTCATAAAACTAAGCCCAATTGTTGGTTTTAAGAGTGATGCCACAATATACATATGCTTTGTTAGGAACAAATATAATCTAATTTCAAGGGCATCTTCAACAAAAATTAGGGGGAAAAGATAAAGGCTACTTAAGCAGTGATCCAGTGTCTGAAAGCAAAGGTTGAGAACATCATTGTACCATCAAGGTCTAGAAATGCTGCTAACCCTGAGCGGGTTGTTACTGTTTGAAAAGCCTATGGGTATTTGTTTTATTGTTGTCTCACTCAATTCTTACTTAGCTGAGAGTATCTCACAAGGGAAGTACTGCTCTGTGATGGTGTCCTGGACTTTGTTTTCTATTTGTTTCAGCACTTCAATAAATGGTCTGTTACCTGCCATTATGACCTGTATGCATTTGCTGAGCAGTTTTTCAAAACAAAACAAATTATGTGGCTGTATTTCTAGAACGCTGAGCCATTTTCAAGATAGTATAGAATTAGAAACACACATAGACACGTCCACACAATTGTATGTTTATACTGAACACATATATTCAGACATATTCAGGAAAATAAGAAAAAAGAAAATAGGTTGGACAATACAAATATGGAAATACAGCTTGTTCAATCATTTAGAGCCCATACTTCTAACGGTGTACATATGTAGACGTGACTTTGTAAAGAAGACCCACATGTGTGTCTACACTCAAGCATCTTCCTCTTAATACTCTACTGAGGATAAAGGACACAAAGTAATTTTTGAAATATCATGCTGGCTACTTTTAGAGTATATTAGTGTGAGTAGTGACTTAAGAGGTCAGGTTTAAGAGAAGTAGCAACATACTTCTATTATTTACATGGTGATTTTTTTTTATAAGTCCTTCCTTGAAGGCAGACTTAGATATTTCAAGACCTCCTTAGAAAAATTTTTCAGCACCTTCTGTGCTCCAAATTGAGTCAGTTTGCATCATGTTTCAGTGTAACTGAGTAACAGGCTAGCAAATTCTCTGCTTTCTTATTCACCAAAATCCAAAATAGAACTCACAAAAACTCCTTCCTTCTTCCCCCCATCCTGAAAAAACACCCTACTGTGGCCCCCCCCCAATAGAGGAACAGACCAGAAAAAAAAAGAGTAAACAGAGCCAGCTGTAACTATAGCACTTTGCTCAGTACTGTGAGCTTGCTAGAGCTGGCACATTTTTTATAATACAGATGCATAAATGTACTGTCTGAGGCAGAGGAATTGCAGCATCCCCTTTAGTATTTCTTGACTGCCTTGGTCTAAAGTATGTTGCACAGGAGAAGCCTCCCTAAACCCAGAATAAAATACTTAATTTGGTATCTATTTTTTAAAATTGTGACCTTCTATGACTTAATTTTTCATAAGGTTTGTAGAAAACCACCTTTTTCAGACTTTCACAGGGTTTTTCCAAATTCAGACTTCCGGGGTCTATGTCTTACTCTCACACATACACATATGCATACACATTTCAGATTACATATTTAAAGTAAAATATGTAAATATGGACTGTTTTAAAGTTATTAAATGTGTATATGTGTTTGTGTGTTTGATAATGAATTGTTTAATAATGAACTGTTGTTTCACAGTGGACATAAGATAATCAAACCAATGGAAAATTATTGTTTAAAACCATGATAGCTATTAGTTTTTCCAGAATGAGATATGCATTTTTAAGAGCAGCTTGTTATGGAGTACTACTTTTTCTTCTCTAAAATTGTTTGCTAGAATAAAATTTGTTAAATAAATAATTCTGATTAAAGTGAATGGGAAGGAGAAAGGTACTTTACCCAAAGGTCCAGTTAAACATCCAAAATTGGACCAAAACTTTGTCCAAAATTCATATCTGCCTCTGAGGAATAAAGATTAGAAACACTGAAGTCTAGGCTGGGTGTGGTGGCTCACGCCTGTAATCCCAGCACTTTGGGAGGCCGAGGCAGGCGGATCACCTGAGGTCAGGAGTTCGAGACCAGCCTGACCAACATGGAGAAACTCTGTCTCTACTAAGAATACAAAATTAGCCAGCCGTGGTGGCGCATGCCTGTAATCCCAGCTACTCAGGAGAACTCATGAACCCAGGAGGCAGGGGTTGCGGTGAGCCAAGATCGCGCCATTGCACTGCAGCCTGGGCAACAAGAATGAAACTCTGCCTCAAAAAAAAGAAAGAAAGAGAGAGAGAGAGAGAGAGGGAGGGTGGGAGGGAGAGAGAGAGAGAGAGAGACAGAGAAAGAAAGAAAGAAGGAAAGAAGAAAGAAAGAAAGAAAGAAAAAAGGAAGGAAGGAAGAAGAGAGAGAGAAAAGAAAAAAGAAAAGAAAGAAAGAAAGACTGAAGTCTATGCAAAAGAGTGCAGGGTACGGACCGGGCGCGGTGGCTCATGCCTGTAATGCCAGCACTTTGGAAGGCTGAGGCAGGCGGATCACCTGAGGTCAGGAGTTCAAGCCCAGCATGACCAACATGGAAAAACCCCGTCTCTACTAAAAATACAAAATTAGCCAGGCGTGGTGTTGGGCGCCTGTAATCCCAGATACTCGGGAGGCTGAGGCAGGAGAATCGCTTGAACCGAGGAGGCAGAGGTTGCGGTGAGCTGAGATCGTGCCATTGAACTCCAGCCTGGGCAACAAGAGCGAAACTCCATCTCAAAAAAAAAAAAAAAAAAAAAAAGTGCAGGGAACAAAGGTCATTTTCAGTAGCTTAGAGATGAATTCCAGAGGTTCAATCCTGTGTTTGAAAACAGACCCTGTGTCCTTTTGGGCACATTAATTCACCTTTAAGCATCAGTTTCTTTATCTATAAAGTAATCAGAAAACTCTTATGATGATTAAATGAGATAGTACACATCAAACATGTAGCCCAGTAAGGCCAATATCAACCACATAGAAAATGCTTCGTAATGGTAATTATGGATCTAAATTATTTTAGCAGTGGTCGTATCTTTGAAATAAGCATTTAGCCTGGAGATAGAAATGGTGCACACTTAAGCATGTTATTTCAGGTATGTTTTTCAGTTTATATGTGATGTTTCTTTATAAGCACAACGCATAATTATGCAACCAGTATTTTGCTTTTTCAAAGGTGACATTTATTGCACACTAACAGTGTTCTAGGTACTGTGGAAGGGATTAGAAGCACATCTTCTCTTATGATCCTTAGAACAGCCCCTATAAGTTACCATTATACCCATTTTTCAAATGAGAAAACTGAAGCTGAGAAAGCATCAGCAGCTTGCCCAAGGTTAGATAACTAGGTAATGATGGGGTAAGACTTTGATCCAGGCAGTCTAGCCCTAAACTGCAACCTAAGAAAATAATTACAAGTAAACAAAAGCCATTATGCACAAGATATTTATCATATGGCTGTGGCTTGACTGTGTCTCCAAAAGTTCTTGTGTTGGACACTTAATCTCTGATGCAACAGTGTTGGAAGGTGGGGCCTAATAAGAGGTGATTCAGTCATGAGGGCTCTGCCTTCATGAATGAATGAATGCCACCACTGCAGGAGTGTGTGCATTAGTTATCATGAGAGTGGGTTCATTATAGAAGTGAGTTTGGCTCCTTCTTGCTCTCTGGCTTTTGTGCTCTCTTGCCCTCTGCCTTCCACCATGGGATGATCTAGCAAGAAGGCCCTCACCAGATGCCAGTACCTTCATACTAGACATCCCAACCTCCAGAACTGTGAGAAATATATTTTTTCTTTTTAAATTAGCCAGTTTATAATATTCTGTTACAGCAACACAAATGAATTAAGACATAAATATGCTTTTTTACCTTTTTGTTCTAGATATTTCAAACATATACAAAAGTAGGAAGAATATCATAGTGAACTCTCATGAGTTCCTCACTCTGCTTCAACAGTTGTCAGCCCATGGTAAATCTTGTTAGACATATTTGTATTATAAAACTGGAAATAAGCTAGATGTTCAACTCTAGAGTGCTGTGTTAAGTATAGTACGACATATCTATTAGATAGAATTTTGAGCCAGTAAATGTTTATGAAGAACCTATAATAGTATGAACTATTTATACTATATATTAAGTTAAAAGGCAGCATACATAGTAATACATATGGTATAATCCCACCTTTTTTAGGATTTTTAAGATTTTTTATTACTCTCCTATATTTTCTAAATTGTATATCATGAACATATCTTAATTGGGAAAAATTAATATTTCTCTAATATTCAGAAAAATATGAATTTCTTCATTAATAAAGGCAGCTTATTTACCTAGCCTCACAGAGTAAGACTCCATCTCAAAAAAAAGAATATACTTACCATAATTCAAACTTTTCTAAATGATTCAGGGTTGTTATCTTGAACTACAATTCAAATTTGTTTCTATTGATGAGGGTGTGGAAGTATAAAAATAATGCTACATATTTGAATGTTATTTTATGGTTTCCAAGCTTCTCAATTAACCATTTGGTCCTTATTCTATAAGATTATTTGCTTCTGTGTTTCTTTACCCTCTGACTGCTATATCTTTAGTTCTCATGCCTTCTTTTCGTAGTTTTTATTTTTCTTCTTTAGCTATTAAGTTACTTTCTGTTGTGCAAGTCTCTAAGATCCTCATTCCTTCTCTGATGCATTATTTCTAATCTTCTTTAGACAATAAAACAAAAAAACATGTTTTGATTGTGTGTAAAGTACATACATGAACTCATTCACTTGACAAATATTGTGAGTCGTGCACTTGTATACTTGGCACTGGAGAGGATACACAGATAAGACATGTCTTGCCCTAGAAGTTTTAATCTAGCAACGGAGCTGAGACATGTGTCTACTTTGCTAGAATTAATAGTGAAAAGTGAAATGCTCTATAAAAGTAGTACAGATAAGGTATTCTTGGAGCTCAGAGGAGGGCTAACTGAGGGCTTCATCAGAAAAGATGACACTGGATTTGGGCTTTGAAAAACAAGCAGGATTTGAGCATACAGAGATAGAAGGAAAGAACATTACTCTATCATGAGAAAAGCATGGAAGAATCAAAGGGTAAAGATTCTGCAAAGAAGTAATTGAGTTTAACTTGAGCATGGAATGTGTGAAGATAAGTAGTGGGAAATAAAGCGGTAAAAGTATATTGGGACCAGAAAGTGAAAGGACTTGATTATTAGGGCAAGGAATTTGGACTTTATTCAGGAGACAGTGGGGAGCTATTGAAAGTTTTTAGTAGGAGAGTAACATAATCAGAGCTGTGCCTCAGGAAGATTAATCTGGCAACAGTGAGTAAAATGGATTGGAGTAGGGAGAGACCAGAGGACACAAGATCAGGCAGGAGACTATTACAATAGTCCAGGTGAAAGGCAATGAAGGCACTAACTAGGGCAGGGGCAGAGGGAATGAACAGAGATGGCAAACTGATTTATGAAATGTGGCGGGAGAATTAATCCATTATATTTGGGGAGCAAGGGAGAGGAAGACACCAAACACATCTCTATGATTTTGAACCTTAGTAGAGTCATAAACAGAGCAGCAAAGCAGGAGAAGGGTTGGGAGGGGAAAGCACACGTTTAATTTTGAACACACTGAGTGAAGGTGCCGACTGGGTATCTGTGAGTGGTCCACTAGGCTTTTGGAGACACGACACTATAGTGCAGCAGAAGGGCCGGGCTTGGAGATAAAGATTTTGAGTCACCTATGCCTCACTAGATAGAGAAGCAAGAGAAGAGGCTTTTAAAAAGACTTGGAGGATTATGTGTGGTTTATTTAGTACCAATTTTGGCTGCTTGCAGGTCTTTTTCACTTTGTTTGTTCTTAACCATATTTGGAATGCCACATAAGTGGTGTGCAGATATGTGAAGCATTGCTGTATGCATGCAAACACACAAAATAGATTCTAAAATAATGAACTAGTTTGGGATATAGCTAATGGGGTCAATTTTACAGTGTCCATAGACTATCTTCACTTGTAACATATTCCTGTGGGATATGGTTTGGCTGTACCCCCACCCAAACCTCCTCTTGAATTGTATCTCCCACAATTCCCACATGTGGGAGAGACCCAGAGGGAGGTAATTGAATCAGGGGGCTTGTCTTTCCTGTGCTATTCTCATGATAGTGAATAAGTCTCAAGAGATCTGATGGTTTTGAAAAGGGGAGTTTCCCTGCATAAGCTCTCTCTTCTCTGCCACCATGTAAGATGTGACTTGCTCCTCCTTGCCTTCTGCCATGATTGTGAGGCCTCTCCAGCCACATGGAACTGTGAGTCCATTAAACCTCTTTTTCTTCCCAATCTTGGGTATGTATTTATCAGCAGTGTGCAAATGGACTCATACACTGTGTAACCTTAGAGAAATCACTGTACCTCTTACTTCTCTGGGTCTCAGATTCCTCATCAGATAGATGAAGAGATTGATCAAGATCCCTGGTCTCCATAACTGGTTGCAAGCAGCCAAAACTGACATAGAATTAGAATCACTTGGGGAAGGCAGGGGAAGGAAAAGGCCCAGGAATCTGTGATTTGTATTTTCTACTTACTTTTTATTTTTTAGAGACAGGGGTCTCACCATGTTGCCCCAGGCTGGCCTCAAACTCTGGGGGTCCAGTGATCCTCCTGCCTCAGCCTTCCCAGTCACCAGGACTACAGCCACATTCCACTGTGCCTGGCTGGGAATCTGAAACCTCTCTATGTGATTCTGAGACACATCCTGGGTTGGAAATTGCCGGGCTACAAAACCTCTTAGGTTCACTCCAGCTCTTATATTCTAAAGCTTTATCAATATTTAGACAAAATATGCATTTTTCATGACTCACTCATAAGGAAGGAAATATATCAAAAATGCAAACTTACTTTCAAATTCAGTTCATCAGCTAAATACTCCACCTCTCTCCTTTATATTAGGAGGACAATATATTTTTAAAGTATTTGAAAGACACAATAATTTGGAAATCTCCTGTGATTTTATAAAATGTGAAAGATATGTAGTGTGTGCCGAAGGGGTAGGACGGAAGGGAAGAAAGCCAGGAAGTCTGGGACATAGCACACATAAAGCGTGCTGTTCACCAGCCATACCTGGGGACTGTCTGCATAGCCACAGTTGAAGTATGTCTGTGCTCTGCAATTGATTTCAGTGCTCTGGCTATTCTTGTTGAGGCACGCAGTCCTTGTACTGTTTCTGATTGTACCTGTCAGGTTGTATATATAAGCATTTCAGAAGTCCTTCTGTGCAGACTCAGCACAGGTTTAGCGTGAAATAAAAGAGCCAGTTGAGATTCCAGTCCAACAGGTGAGCTATTTCCTTAATGGGCTTATCTTTAACATACCCTCTTTGGTTTGGTTTCCATCATACATTTCATACTTTACCTTTCACATAGCTCTTGTTATTACAGCATTGCCTCAGCTTTCCTAGATCATACATTCTGAAGCTTCCCCAGGGTCAACAGCATGCTGTATTGGGCCACACAGAAGGGAAGGAGAGCAGTGAGGTATCTTTTTTTTTTTTCTTCTGAGATGGAGTTTCGCTCTTGTTGTCCAGGCTGGAGTGCAATGGCACAATCTCGGCTCACTGCAACCTCCACCTCCCAGGTTCAAGCAATTCTCCTGCCTCAGCCTCCGAAGCAGCTAGGATTACAGGCCTGCACCACCACGCCCGGCTAAGTTTTATATTTAGTAAAGACGGGGTTTCACCAAGTTGGTCAGGCTGATCTTGAACACCTGACCTCAGGTGATGTGCCCGCCTTGGCCTCCCAAAGTGCTGAGATTAAAGGCATGAGCCACTGCGCGCCCAGCTGAGGTATCAATTCTTTATTCACTTCCTATGTCCTCTTTCTTCCTTTTTCCCAGGGAGGACCCAGTTAGATGAACTTGATAGGTTAGACTGGATTAACCTAGACTGTAAAAACAGGTTGGAATTTGGAAAATCTGAAAGTTTCCAACTTCCAGGCAAAATTTTGACGTCCCATTTTGCTCAACAAGTATGTTTTGAGGAGTTACTCTAAGTAGGGAATTCTGCTCAGCTTGTAAATCAGAAATTAGCAACCAATTTTAGTGATTTTGTCTGTACACTGGCTACTACAAAAATTCTAGACATAAGTGCAGAGTAGAACTAGTGATAATGATGATGTTAGTACTTTACATTTATTTAGCCCTGAACTGTCTTTTCATAAAATTATCTTTGGTGCCCTCCTATTCGCCTAAGGAAATCCTTTTTATCCTTGCTTGTGTCACTATCATCCCCTTCTCCCACCCTTCAGTTCCACAGTTATCCATTTCCTTTCCCCATTCAAACTGCAGCTTCTTGACTTTAGTTACATTCAGTTAGGTGATCTGGTAACCTTATTAAAGTAATTTACTCCAAGGTGTAAATGAGGTTTAACCCTCTTGGAGAAATAAATATTTTAAAAATATCTTGTTAGACAACTGAGTTTCTTTCCCCTGTTCAGTTAATGACACATGAAGCGAGATGTTTTTTTGAGTAGAGTCCTCAGTTATATCTCCTTTGCCCTCTGACCTCCAACACACAATGTTTTATTTACATTTGTAAAGGAAAAACATGAAATCAGCCAAGCAGTCCTATATCTGTCACCCTCTACATATTCTCTCAGTCGCTCCACCTCCCTGATGTAGCTGTACTTTCAATGTGACATGACACCCCCATATATCAGACATTTGCTGACTTCAACCATGCAACCCTGCTGGACCCACCACCTTGTTTCCTCATCTGTTCCCACTCCAATTCCTGATTCCTGGCTGCATCTTGTATTTATCATCTTAATATTGATCTTTGAATTTACCTCTTTAGATTTTGTTCCCATATTCTGGGAGAGAGTTTAGCAAAGTACAAAAAGCAAAGCTCTGGAGTAAAATGCCACTAGTCATGTGACCTTGAACTAGTTATTTACCATCTCTAAGCCTCTGTTTTCTCACACGCAAAATGGGAGTAGTGTAAAAATTAAATATGATATATAGATAGGATGAAGAATATTAAGAGTTCAATGCATGGAGTTATTATTGTTAATATTATTTATTATCTTTACTCCCCTCAACAACTTCAATTGGGATTCTCCCCTGATTCTACCTTGGAGAACCTTTCTTGAGTGTTGTATGCTGGTCAGGACTAGTTTCCTGGATGTGACCTTTTCAGCATTTTATACACAAAATAATGTCAGACACTACATATTTTCTGAACAAAGACTTAGGACATAATTTTATAAATACATGCATATTTATGGGGATAATAAAAGACAAGATTTGAAACCAGGTCTGCTCCAGGAGATCAGAGACTTAATCTCCTATATCTAACCTTAGGATGTGAATTCTATACACTGGACAAAGATGAATTTTAGAGTCGTAAGGTAATACTGATAATTAAGAATATGATAGCTCTGATAACCAATTGTATTAAGAAAGGATGGTCAATTACACAAAGAAAAGATGTTAGTATTTCAGGAAGGAGTTTTTTTCTTCTAAAGGAGAAAGCAGAGCCGTTGGAGTCATATCTGGGTTTGCATGCAAATTCTACCACTTAAAATCCATGGACAAAAAGACACTAACTAAATCACCTTGGTAAAAGCATTAAATTTATTTGAGTTTCAATTTCCTTATCAGTAACAGATTAATGACACCCAACTTGTAGACTTATTATGAAGATTAGAAATAATGCATAAAATTCTGGTATATTGTTAGGTCTAAATAAATATATTTCCTGGAAATTGAGAGCCAGGTTTCTCTTCAAGATGAAAAAGGAGCTGAAATTATGCCTGTCTTCCACATATAACCAAGATCTATATTTAAAAGCAAATAAAAAACTAACTACTATAAAACATGGAAATAAACATTTTCCACATTTACATTTTTAACCCTAATTTTTCCACTAAGTATATTCAGATAGGCAGGTTAAATATAAATTAAGTACTTTTTCAACATCAGTTTCTAAAACAGAAACTTTCAAAGGATTCCTAATGTACTTTAGTAGTATAAAAGTGTCTTTTGTTATTATATAAGGGAAACATAGGGTAATCTGAGACTGTGTCATTTTTAAAAAGCTGTTAAGAAATGATCACCTAACATTTTATGGAGAGATACCAGAGGTATTTAGTGAAATCTCACTAAAAAGAGACTCCCTTTTTCTATATCTTTAATGCTTAATTTCCAAGTGGAAATATTGTTTTTAATCTAAATCTTGAGCATTTTAGATAAGTTGAGAAATTGTGTGGTGAGTGGTTTTTGTTTTTTATTTCTAATGAATCAGTAATTTTGACCTTCGTTCCATATGCCTCTTTAATTTATGGTGAATAAGTAATACTGATTTTTCAAAAATTAATGCACAATCTCAAGCCCCCAAGTTTTAAAATTATGATATTTCCAATGGCAAATGAAATAACATGCTGTCCATGCAGTTAGTGATTTGAGGCAATTTGAACATCATGATAAGAGAGGGAGGGAATTACAAGCAGTGTTATAATTAAAGGTCTGTTGATTCTTCAGTTTAAATGCCATTGTTGAAAGATTTTTCACTCAGATGTCAAAGTCTGTGGCCAGCCAAAACTTGGCATGCTAGAACTCAGCCCAGGGAAACATTGTGTTCTACAGATTTAAAAACCAAAATCTGTTAAGAACAGAAATGTTGGGCTTGGGCTGATTTCTCATGAATCAGAACCAGAACATAGCCAAATACCACCTCCTCTTTATGAAAGGAAGTAGTGCAGGTGGATGTTAATGGGAAATGTTTGTTCAGATGGGAAATGAAGGGAAATTATCATTAGATATCATCATACAGTGCACTGGGTTAGAGTTTTATATCATTAAAGCATGTTTCTTTGTGAAATTAAAAGCATTTTAGACCCCTCTTCTATTAAATTCTTCATGGGTGTTAAGTGGGGAGCAGTATTTACCCATCTTTCAAGATTTGCACATTGAGGTTCAGTCTCTCCACATTACATTCCTTGTGACTAGGAAAACTTGAAGTAAAACTTTATTTGCTTAACTCTCTACCTAGAAATATATTTCCAAACACCGTCTTGCCCTTTCTTTAATTAGAAAGTTACAAATCAGTGGCCTATGAGCTGCATCTAGCTAGCAGATAGAATTTTTTAAAATGTATGTTTGGTCCACAGAATATTTAAAATAATTTGAGCCAACCTTTAAGGTTAAAGAGATTTCACACCAAAAAAAAACTAGATTTTTTTTTTTTTTTTTTTTTTTTTGCTTCTCTTGAAAAATTGGAGATCTGACAACATTAGATCTGCATCCACATGTGGCACCAATATCTGGAACTGAGTAGCAGCTGCTCACTTCAGACAAACCATGTTCTCTCCAGTTTGACAAAGTCCCTATCACCCCATATTTTATGCCACACCTACTTCACTCATTTGCTCTTCCACCCTGGCTCCTTGAGGCATTTGACTTTTCTTTCATTGCTTGTGGTCGTTGTATTAAGTTTCCTCGCTTGTGGTATTACCTGTTAAAGTTTCCAAAATTTTCTTTTCATTAAATAATAGCATTGCAAAGACTATGCCCAATGATACTGGACAAAGAATTATTGAAAAGAATAAAAGTCAGAATGCAACCAAAATGTCCAAAAATAGGTGATTGTTTAAATTGTATTTTATGCTGGTATATCCTTAGAATAGAATACCATGTAGGATTAAAAATGTTTATCTTGAAAGAATGAATGCAGATTACTAAACTATGTATACATCAAGATTCCTATGTTGTAGGAGAAGAATATTCATACATATAGAAAAAGAGCTAAAGTGATGTGTCAAAGCAGTATCAGAAAAATATGTACATATACAAAAAATATAAACAAATAAGTGAATAAGTAAGTCCCAAGGGCAGCTTTTGTGGGTCCCCTTCTACAGGGCTTTGTTAGTCCCTTTTGACCTAATGGTTTGAACATATGCTAAAGCTATTTTTTAATTCTCTATCAAAACCTGATTTTCCTTCTTACCTTTATTCTTTAGAGAATACAATGAAGAATAAGATTTCTGTAGTTGTTTTAAATACTTGAGAAAAGTATTCTTACTTGCCCACATGCTACACTGCCACTTTGGCAAAGCAAGAGAACCAGTTTCTGTGTTGGCTTTGAGTTAGTTTGTTCTTCTAAAGCACCTTTTGGTGACATAAAAAAATATTCAAAACTTTAAAAAAAATCTTGGAACAGAAAAAATACACATAAACATTGCACTTAATAACATGACCACAAAAACTCTTAGAGGCTAGGACTGAAACTCATCATCACAAAGGCGTCAGCTTTTTGCCAACCATAGGAAGGAGTGCTCCCAGGTAAAAGCCATCCAAGCATTTATGGAAATTTTTCTGATCCCAGCGTTTAGCACAATACCTTGGAGTTAGGAAATGCTCAAAAATACTTCCTGAATAAAATACAAATAAATTCACATTCCCACCAAGGAATAATTAACCTGCATATAAAAATTCAGTTATCTTTTGAATTAAAATCAAACCATAAAGTTTGGATCTTGCTAACTACTCTAAAAACTTCCAGATATAGTTTTGCTTCAGAGTTAATAATGCCAACATTTTTCCTAGGAAAAAATAATGTTTGTTTATGTGTGTGATTGTATGCATGCTTGAGTTTAGGGAAAGGGTAGAAAGCAATAAGAGGTGGTCCTTTCAAAGATGAGTACAGTGATGAAGACTCTAGCTCTTAAATATACCTCTTCCTCACAGCAATCCTAGGTATCCTGTTTATGATTTGATTGTTTTGACTATCTATCTCTAATTCTTGAAGCATTTGAAGCATTCTTCACCTTTACACTCTATAGCGTCTGTTTTTATGGTTCTCCTGTTCATCTGAATGATCTTTCATCCATCCTCCCTTTATCTGCCCACAAAATGTAAGTTTGTCTGTCTTTCTCTCCTCACTGCATTCTTGAAATCTGTGGACAGTTTCATGAAATCCACATAGCTTCAACTAGATGTTTGGAGCACTTCCCTAGAGATCTAAGTATCTAGTCCTGGCCTGTAGACTCTGGTACTGCACATGTGGGTTTCCTGCTGCTCAATGGACATTTCCACATGTTTCACCCACAACATCTCAAACTCCTACTGCTATCCTTTGAGTAGTCTAGAAGCTAGTCAAATTGACCCCAGACACAGTTTGTGCTTTCCTATCCCTTGCTTTGACTCTTTCTGTTTCCCTTGCCTAAAACCTATCTCTCCAATTTCTAATTGTTGGAATTTTCCCACATTCCAAAGTCCATCTCAAACACTGCCTGCTTCAGGTAACTTTGTCAGTGTCCACCGCTGAATAGCAAATGATATTCCTCAAGTCACTGAAACCTACAGATTTTTTTTAGCAACGCTTTACGGTATTAACTTATTTGCATCGTGTTTTAGTTATGTGGTATTTCTTTTCTCCCATGTTCTAAATATTAGGATTATTGCTTCTAATCTTTGTAGCTACTTTCTAGAGCTTAGGTCCTAGCAGAGTCCCTTGCTCACAGCAGGTGCTTATTAAATATATACTGAATTAAATTGGATTTATGTATTGATGGTTGCGCATTGCACATGTGTTGTGATTTGGGAGACCCAAAACATCCACCTGCCCAAACTATCTCTTCCATTTTCCAGGCCATAGTATCTTGCTTTGGGACGTTCTCTTGTACAAATGTGAGGAATTTCCACAAATTTAGTCTTTTGTTCCCAAGCTAAGTACACTATTGGCTGGGTAACATGTGAGTTCTGCTACTTGTTATCTCCTAAGAGGGAGCAAAGTCTTAAAAAAGAATAGGCCAAAGTTCAGATATGTTCTCATGGAGGCAACAGATAGGAAAAGGTCCATGAAAAAGACAGGATCACAGATAGGAACTTGGACTGTGCCACTTATTAGTTGTGTGCCTTGCTTGTCTCATCTGTAAAACTAGATGATAATAATAATGATGCCTACCTTAGATGTTATGAGAACAAAGTAACGGGGTGTGAAGTGCTTACAATAATATTAGGCACATTGTGTTAGTGAGGGTTGACTATTATTAGTTACATATGTCATACATATATGGGATATATATAGTGTATATGTACTCATATATTAAGTATACTCTTTCTCCCCTCACTGCATTCTTGAAATCTACATAGCTGCAACTAGATATTTGGATCACTTCCCTAGAGATCTAAGTATCTAGTCCTGGCCTGTAGACTCTGGTACTCCAGATGTGAGTTTCCTGCATATATATATATATGCTTAAAACATAATGCACACACACAAATGTACATACATGTATTTGTTAATTATTGTCGCAAAGGAAATCCTGGATACTCAGAGACCTTAAATGTCTGAAGATTGAGGATGTATAAGAGAAGAGATGAGACTCTGTCACACAGACCTGAGGTAAAGCTCAGCTCTGCCACAGGGAATACCTGTCTTTTATATTTGTTTTAAAGATTAAATGGCCGTGTCATGAGCATAATCATCCTAACATTGGACTTTGGACCTCCTTCTTTTGGTGATTCCTATCCCTTTCTTTTCTTTCTTTCTTTTTTTTTTTTAAGACAGAATCTCACTCTGTCACTCAGGCTGGAGTGCAATGGTGCGATCTCGGCTCACTGCAACCTCCGGCTCCTGGGTTCAAGCGATTCTCCTGCCTCAGACTCCTGAGTAGCTGGGATTACAGGCGTGTGCCACCATGCCTGGCTAATTTTTGTATTTTTAGTAGAAACGGGGTTTCATCATATTGGCCAGGCTGGTCTTGAATTCCTGACCTCAGGTGATCCACCCGCCTCGGCCTCCCAAAGTGCTGGGATTACAGGCATGAGCCACCGCACCTGGCCCCTATCCTTTTTCTGAACTACACATTTGTTTTCTTGACAAATTAGATTTCAGACTTTTGTTCTGGACCAAACTTAGAAGAAACAGGTGGTACTGTTTCAGAAAAATGGTGTCAGTACAAGCTAATGATTTCAAATTATTAATAATTTAATACAGTAGTGAAATGTTAAAATATGTACGAATTAATATGCACCAAGCCTAACAGAGAACAAACACTCACCAAACTGTAGCTAAATCCTTAATCTAGAACAAACTTACCAGTCAGACCAGGTTTTATAAAAAATAAAATATCTCTTACCTATGGAAATAATTAATTATATTACAGATTTTACAACTGGCTTTTTTTTTTTTAAGTACAAGAATTTAGGTTTTTACCTAAAAACAAAACAGTCCTTTCCACTTAGTTCTATTTGAAGGGAGTGTGTGGGGGTTGGGGGAGAAGGAAAAACGAAGGGGAAAAAAAGTCTTGAGAACATCTACAAACTCCTGGATATTCAGAGCTGAAAGAAAAAGAACCTTGTAATGTACCTTCTTGCATTTAGTCCTGTTATTGTAGTGCTGTGATGTGGCACTCAATGCTCTAGGGGACCTAGAGCAAGTGTTACAAATGCAACCAAAAGTCTCATGAAAATGAGCCTCTTAACAGTGTGTGAGCTGGTCTACAATGGCCTCAGGAAATCCCCCCAGCTATTCATGTCCTTTTTATCCACTACATTCTCTGACTCAAAGGGAAACCTCCCTTCACCTCCTTGACCAGAATTGAGCAGACATTGATTTGGTTACCTAGAGCTTTATTTATTCATTTATTAGTCTTTATCATTTGTATTCCACTAGAACAAAAGAATATATCTTTTCTTTGCATTAATCTAAGTTTAAAGATGTGCAAATGTGTTTGTGGGAGAGTGCATATTTATGTTTACGTAATTTTATGGGTAGCTGGCTTTAAGTTAAAATATTTTCTGTCAAAACCATAGTACATAGAGCCTCCCCATCACCATCACTGTGCAGAATGACTGTACTTGACACATAAGCTGAATTCCTAAAATTGTTTCACGTAAAGTGCGCCTTTTAAAAGAGATCATGTTTTTCTATTCACTTCTATAATTAGATTGAGTGTCACACAGGAAAAATAAGTGGCCCAATGTATATGTTTTTTTAAAAAAATTAAGAATCACAACTTTCACCTCAGTGATAATGATGCATTTATCTATGGACACTTTATGTGCATAAATTGCCCCCCAAGAAAAGCCAATAAAAAGTGAATATAATTAAACAGCAGATAGTTTGAAAGCAAATGCTACTTGTAAACCACTGTACTGAAGGCAGCGGGAAATTTGGAGATGTGTAAATCAGGAATTGTCCTCAGGGAGCATATAGTCTAGTTAAGGATGCATAGCAGAAAAGGTAGAATTGTATGCACAATTAAAGATTCAAATAGCAGTTCAATATATTCAGAGATATTCTTCGCACAATTATATTAATGACTTATGTTGAAATTATACCATGTAGTTAATTTCCCTTCCATTTTAGAGGACTTACTGAGTACCACATACTATGACAACTATCTAAATAGCAACAATGCATTATGAGCTCTTCACATGAATTCAACTTAGGCGAAATTCAATTTTGGTTAACAAAGTTTGGGCAATTCAAGCAATAATAATTTGTTTTGAGGTAGACTACATGTTCCTGTTCTTTTAAATGTTAATGCACAGTAGCTTTGTTACAGATTTCCTTCAGGAATGCTTGTTGAACTAGTGGACATTTCTAAGCAGATTTTTTATATTAAGCAATCAAGAAAAAGCCTTTGAAGATATTTTCACTCCCTCAATACCAGCTTCGGATGCTATGTTTTCTTCAGTGTTATAGTACTGAATTTGTTCTTACTTAGGGAATATGTTCAAAGTTGAGTTGGCCAGAATGGAAACATTGTAAATTCTGCAGCAGTGTCTATTTCATGTATAAACTAATCATGATCAAAATAGAGATCCTATAGGGACCTAAAGGAAATTAACATCCTTAGTTACCACCTTAGCTGTAACCTGAAAAAGGGATTAATGTAAGTTCAGGGGGAAACCTTGGAGGCATATACAACGTAGATGTCTAAAAATATTCAAGCTACCGTACCCAATATGTCTGTATATATCTTTACTCTCCTGCTAAAGAGTAAATAATAACAACATCAGTAACACCAACCGAATGAGATTCTTAGTTTACAAAGCATTTTGGATACATCATCCATTTTGATCTTCAGAACAATTTGTAAGATTGGTAAGGCACATATTATTCATATTTTACAAATGAAAAATCTATGAAATGTAAAAGGACAGATGACTTGCTTAAGGACACAGAGCTCTTAAAAGGTGCAGCTGCATCTCCTGATGCACCAGTGTGACTGGCTCAGAGGAAACAGCAACCCAAACAGAATCTTTGCTACACAACTGTCCTGCAAGGCACAGAGGGGTTGCCAAAAGGTGACGTGCAGACATTAGTCTTCAGAGGAAGGACGAGTCCTCAGGCCAAGAGGCATACGTCACTATTATTTCATGAAAGAAGGAAAAGACATGGTTAGCTTTCTTATGAGGTGGTTTTCTCCACATATATAGAGCTGTTGAGAAATACTGCAAATTTTCATTACTCAGAGATTGGATAAAATTCTGATGATTTTCCATGAAAATCATAGTTGTGTCTAATCTGGTTGCATCTGAGTTCCCTTCAACCTACTAAGAGTTTGGACTTGAACCTCTAAAAAGATCTCAGTCCTGATCAGGACCATCCTTCCCACCTACCAGGATATACATATTTTCTATTGAAAAAATATGTGACCATAATCAATTGTTGAGCGAGCTCCCTGGAGCTTCTTACTTATTTGAGAATATGGTATGGAAATGCAAGAGATCATGGGCCACTTTACTAAAACTGAGTGTCATTGGAAATTGATAAAAAATTGTGGTTCTGAATCCCACAAGCCATAGACTTTCACTGGCATACAGAATTCAAAGCTGTCACTAAATTCTGCTACCTGATAAATAGAAAGGTAGACTTTCAAATCAAGAAATTTAGCACTTGGTTCTAGAGACTAATAATGCCAGCAGATCCTCCATTCAGCATCACACCCTTTAAACATCTACAGACTTCCAGCCTTTATTTTGGCCTGGAGAATTGGACATCTGGAGCTTCTTGAACTTTTTTTCAGTATTACTACCTGGGAGCCCTAGTTAATATGAAATATCAAGGCAATATCACCAACAATGTGGTCCTAGGATACTTGCAATCCAAATTGATGTTTCTTCTACAATAATAACCCTGAGGTTGTAAAGTGTTTTCATATGCATGATCTTGTTAACTTCTACATTAACTTTTCACATAAAGCAATTTATTATTATTATTAATTATTATTATTTCCATCTTACAGATGAGACAAATAGACTAAGAACATAATCTAAAGTCACATAGCTGGCAAATGACAGAGTCACCATGACACCTAGATTAGCAGGTGATCTCACTCTGAGTCCAACGTGTTTTTTCATTAGCCTTGATGAGCCTCACAGATTTGTCCTATGACAATTGTTCTCAGCTAGGCTTTAGAATTACCTAAAGGGCTTGTTAAAATATACACACTCAGACATCCACCTCTGAGCATCTGATTCAGTAGGTCTAGAATAAGACACAATAAGTTACGTGTCTAACAAGTTTCTAGGCAATGCTGATGCTGCTGGCCCAAGGACTACTCTTTTAGGAGCACTATCCTATAGAATGTAAGCGGTAACTGAATGGCAATGATACACTATGGCAAAAGAGTCTTATTAAAGTTTGGATAGGGGCTGGGCGCAGTGGCTCACACCTGTAATCCAGCACTTTAGGAGGCCCAAGTGGGAGGACCATTTGAGGCCAGGAGTTTGAGACCAGCCTGAGCAACATAGCAAAACCTCATCACTACAAAAATTTAAAAATTAGCCTGGCATGGTGGCACACACCTGTGGTCACACCCAGCTACTCTGGATGCTGAGGCTGGAGGATTCCTTGAGCTCAGGTGGTTGAGGTTGCAGTGAGCTGTGATCACACCACCAGTGCACTCCAGCCTCGGTGACAGAGCAAGACCCTGTCTCAAAAAAAAAGAGGGGGGGGGGAGGAGATTGTTTTGTTTGTTTTTTGCCTAAGCTGCCTCATGCTTCTTTTTTCTGACCTCTGTTAAGAAAGCTCAGAAAAAAATGTGGGGTGGGGGTCTAGCAAGAGAGCACTCACTTCTGAATGAGTTCAGGTCTCTGGCACTCAAGAAATGGACACTGAAACCCTTCTCTTTGCTTCTAACTAGAACTACTGTTGTAGATTAACTTGGAGATACAATTGCCAAACCACCAGTGAAGAGTTACTATAAGACAGGAGGTGGGCAAATGTGATTAGATGGATCTGCAGCCAACTGATCAATTAACCAATAATCATTAGATTGATTGCTTTATGTCAACTTAGAAGGAAGCTCTTAGTGTCAGGAGAAAAGACCCTCCTTGACTTATCCTAGTCAATATTTTTCTGAAGACTGGTAAGGGTTCTTGTATCACAAGCTCAGTTTGAACCAGTAAGGTAATATATCTGCTAAAATAATTTTTTAAAGAGCTAAGAAATATTTCAACTGTGTTGAAAGATTATGTCCAGATCAAGGTAGCTGATGGTCCCTGTGTTAATTTCCTATGGCTGTTATAACAAATTACCACAAGCTTGGTGGTTTAAAACAATGCAAATGTATTCTCTTACAGTTCTGAAACCAGAAGTCTCAAATCAGTTTCACTGTACTAAAGTAAAGGTGTTGGGAGGGCTGGTTCCTTTTAGCGGCTATAAAGGAGGATCCATTTATTTGCCTTTTCTATCTTTTGGAGGACCCTGCACTCCTTGGTGCATGACCCCTTCTTCAAATAACCCCAACCTCTTGTTTCTGTCATCACATCTGCTAACTCTGATCCTCCTGCCTCTCTCTTATAAGAACCTTTGTGATTACAGTTAGAGTCCACCTAGAAAATCCAGGATAATCTCCTCATTTTAATAGCCTTAATTTAATCATATTTGCAAGACCCCTTTGCCACGTAAGGTAACATTCAAAGGTTCTGGGGATTAGGACATGGATATCTTTTGGGGGGGGCCATTCCTCAGCCTACTATAGTTCCTTTGTAGTGTGTTTATCAGACTACATTAGGAATATTGTACCCCTTTATCAGCACCAGAATTTAAGAGTTCCGTCAGTAAAATATGTCCAAAAAAGAGGGGATCTGGAGTCAAGAGTATAAAAGCCATCTTTCAAAGTATGAGTGAGAAGAGTGTGGAACCAGGGACAGACAGACTGGGTTCCAGCACTAGTTCACTTCTACCAAGTTTTTTTACCTTAAGCTTGTCAGATAAAATATCTCTGCCACTCAGCTCTTCTCTGTAAACTGAGAGAACCAGAGAATTTCCTAAATACCTTCTGCTTGTATAAAATCTGTCAGGCTGTTCCTAAATGGCATTTAAAAACCAAGTGCTTACTATCTCTAATATTCAGGATAAATCTTGTCCACTTTTCTTTTGAATTCAAAATTCACCTAAATTTTGAATTTAAAACATGTTTTCTAAGTACTTCTTGCTATAAAAATAGTGGCGATACTATGAAAATAACCAAAACAAGTGCTTTTCACTAGCTAATTCTTAAATACTATACCCTCCAATATTATTTTCTGAACATCAAATCACTAATCTTAGGATAAAGTATGCCCCTTTTACATGTTGAAAACTTGACACACAGAGAGAAAAATTTGTATTTACTCATGAAGAACAAAGGGAATTAAAATTTGTTGCTTCCAGCTTTTCTGGGAGATCATCTACCACCATGGCAGGTGTGATGCTGGACAATACATTAAATATACAAGGTAGAATGGAAAGACCTTGTCCTGGAAGAGCTCAGTCTTAAGGAATGAGTAACTAACCAGAGGGCAGTCACTGAGAGACTGCTATCATTATTACAGGGGTCAAACAGGTGGGAAAGGGCTGTTTTATATATTTATTGTGGCTTGTTCTCAGATAAGAGCATGGGACTTGACCACTGGTTCTCAAAAGGAAATATGGACTAGTTTGATACAAATCTCTCTATAGCATGAGGGTTATCTTATGAACACCAACTTTAAATGATATTTTACAGAGCGCTACAAAAAATAACTTGGAGGAAGTTTATAAGAAGGAAGGCTTCAAGAGCTGAACCAGAAAAAAAGGTGCTTGAAAGTAAATCAAATTATGAGATACGTTGAATTATGGCATTTATTATTATGTGCAGAATATGCATGGAATTTTGAACTAAAAGCTGAAGGAGCAAAGATCTAGAAACCTTCCTGCATAATAAATAAATTAACCCTTTATTCTCTTATTTTCCACACTCCCTATATTTGATGACTTATTCATACAAATGTACACTAAAAAGGCCTAATAAACTATGGTCTACCATGGGTGCATTTACCTATTTGTGTACATGTTTTAAGCATATTTTTCTGGGAGTGTTTCTTTAGTATAATGCAGGCACAGTATTTCAAAGGCCAAGAATTCTTTGGAAAAAGGAAAAGGAGTTGTGTCTGTTTATGACTGTCAAACTTTCCTAAGCTTATTAAATTAGGATATGTTGTCCTTTTCTTTCATAATTTGAAGATTATTCTAGTGATATGTTTGGAGATAAAAAAAAAAAACCTGTCAAGTAAGTCAGAGCTAATAAATGGGTTAATAATTCACTGAAAACCCGTACGTTCAGTATGCTCTACCACTCAGGACTTAGTCTCATTTTCTACTCTAAAATATCGAAGTTTTCATTGGTATTTTTTTATACTGGAAACTACATAGTGTAAGAAAATCAGCTTATCATGAGCAGGTCATCAGCTCTGGAAATATCTGCCCATGAGAAAAAAATGTGATTGGAATTCTGTCACCAAGGAAATGTTTTAAAAATCTGTTTCATTGCCAAACAAAAAGCTTCAACTAGTTATCTTTATTTTACAATGACTTTAATTCTTTTGCCCATTCATTTATTACATAGCTACTATACACTGATCATTTAGAAAAAAAAGCACCCTAAATGATTATGCAAACCTTAAATATAACTATATGTTTGTGTGTATTCGTATGCTTTTTTAAAGAGCACATTTGTGACAGGAAGTGAAGAATGGCATAGTCGGGGGAAAATTAAAGAGACACGATGTAATTATCCGAACTGGAATTAAGCCAATTAATAACCCTTGTGCTAACACTGTCCTCAAAGTGCTGAAAATGCCGTCAGATATTTAAATGCCCTGGGTGGTCATGGTCAGCACTCTTCCCTTCATCCATTTTCAGCACCATGCAGGGACATGGCTCACCCTGGTTTCTGACAAAGGACTACACCTGAAGTGAGCTACAGAAGAAGGACAGATTCTATAATTCGAAAACAAGATTCTCTCAAGTGGTTTTGCACAGATTATTACTGATCTCCAATGAAATAAAAATTCTAGTGTTTTTTTTATTTGCTTATTCATTCAACACACATTGACTGAATACCTACTGTGTGCCAGTTTAGTACCATGGCTGAGAATGCGGGCTTTAAAATCAGATTGGCTGGATTTAATTCCCAGCTCCTCACTTGCTAGGCGTGTGATCTTGAGCAAGTTACACAATCTTTCTATACCTCAGTTTTCTTTTCTATGAAATGCGGATATTGGTAGTACCTCATTCATAGGATTCTTGTGATGCTAAAGTATGATTTTAAAATGTAAAGTCCTTAGCAGACTGCTTAGGGCAAGCCAATTAGTAATATGTTGGCCATCATTATTATTATGAGCCAGGAAATATAGTAAAATCTGGGAACAAAGAAATAATACAACCCCAGATGACCTAACATCCTTGAAGTTTAGATTTTAGGAATTTAGTTCTAAACTTTATAATCTCTACTGCCAATCCTTTCTAGTAGAGATCTGTATATTAGATCCTTGCTTTGCTATATGCTTTCATGTCTTGAACCTACATGCTTTGAATATAACACACTCAGCACATCCATAATATACACTTTTGTTTACACACCTTCCTCCATAATAACTACCGTGTAATGACTAGCTGTGTACTTTATATGTTTCCTCATGTCATCCTTAAGACAACTCTATGGGACCAATATCATCACCTTTTACAGAAAGGAAAACTGAGGCTTTCAGAGTAGCTGTGACTTTTGCAGTGTTATATATAAATATGTGTTTGCTCCAAAGCTCTTGTTCTTTTTTCTCAGTTCACCAACAGACATTTACTAAGCACTCCACTGCTTTCTTCTGGGCTCTGGCCTATCAGGTATTTTGGGGCTTGCCAAAGGATCTGCCATTATCAAAATCACTGATTCCTTCCCCCTTTCCAAATCAGTCAACTGTAGGCCGTGTGTTTTAGGCATGGCATAGCAGCCATTGTTAAAG
Organism: Homo sapiens; assembly: GCF_000001405.40. Classification (NCBI taxonomy): domain Eukaryota; kingdom Metazoa; phylum Chordata; class Mammalia; order Primates; family Hominidae; genus Homo; species Homo sapiens. Next base: position 114,456,991 of record NC_000003.12, on the reverse strand, counting down.
AGGTTGGTGTGCAAATAAACTAAATTACTCTGGCTATGACTTCTCTCAGATTACTTGTCTTTGAGTGGGCTCCCACGTGCCTGACATTTCTTTCGGTTTTCTTCTTTCTCCCTAAGTAGCAATGTTGTTGCTGAAGCATGACTGAGAGATAGTTTTCGGTTTCATACACATCCTGAGTCTTGTTTTAGGGCAAGAAACTTAATCTCTCCAGTAACATCTGATGGCACTGTTCTCTTCATAAGCACCTCTTTCACCATTTAAAAACTGGACCTTCAATTACCCATTGTCAAAAGGGAATCCTTAGTGAACATGATCATATGTGTCCCGAAAAAGATACCATCACTTTCATGGGCGGAAAATATAGTTTCCCCTTTTTAGTAGCTCATTTTCAATTGAAATATATTGGAAAGGTTGTACATACCTAATTCTCCAGGTGGAAAATCTCATCAGTGCTTTAAAACTACATAGTATGCTGAAAGACTCAATCTCTTTCACCCACAATGTGCCTATATTTTAGAAACGAGGTGTATGAGAAAAACCACATCTTCTCACTTGGTGATATATAGCAGATGATGTTCATAGAGCGAATTGTAAATTCAGGGTGAGGTCTTTGTAGATCAAACCACTAGCCTTCATTAGCTTGAAAATGTGACACAAGTTATATCTTGCTGAGACGAGGCCTCTACAATATTATATTTTTCTGCTTTTCTCCTAGAATGAATTAAAGACTTAAATCCCTTGTTCCTAGCATTCAAAATGGTCTCTCTCTCTCTCTCTCCATATATATATATATACATAAACACACATATATATAAAGTGGAAATGTATTTATATATGTAATTATATTTCCATTTGGCTATTTAAACATTTTGAGAAATTGGAGGTTTGTGCACTAACTATATAGGTGGAGTAATCTTCTTATTTGGGAGGTAAGGGTGATTTTCATACCTGTTGGGCCAGATCTTCAAAGAATACTCTAGGTTAGCTGGTGTGGTGGAAAGAGCACTGGCCTGGTGGGCTCCTGGAGTCCTAGTGTCTAGTGTCGACTCTGGGCCTCAGTTTCCTCTCTACTAAATTGGGAGGGGGAGAGATTGATCTCTGGGGCTTTTTCTAGCTCTGTATTCTCTGGGTCTGCAAATCGCCTTCAGTGTCTGCCTTGCCAGCTCTGTTTGTCACAAAGATTAATCCATTTTAACTGTACCTTGGAGTGCACCCGGGAGAGGAGGATGGATGGATTGTTTTGTACCTAATATTGCATCAGAACTTTTGCCTTTTTAGATGAGATCGTGCCGTGCCTAAAATCTGTCTGCCTATCTGCCCACTGACTTTGTCTGTGCTGATCTCTTGCCACGGTGCCTCTTCTTCCAGCATCCTTCTCCCTCCAAGATCTAGATTCGGCATCTGACTGTACCTGTCTTGTTCTCTGCAGCATCTGTCTGCTACACTCCTAGACCATCGTTAATAAACTTTCACACATTACACGAAAACCCCTAATATGTTGGCACCTGCACATAAATATCTATGGTTCATAAAACTAGAGGAGAAAACTCCATTTTTTAAAGACCTCTATCTAGTGCCATTTGTATTTGCACTTTTTGTTTAGTTGTAAGTTTTAATAGTTCCCCCTTTGAGGATTTGTCAGTACGAGCAGTATTGCTTATCAGAACACACCAACAGTCTTTTTGTAATATTCGCTTTTCCCCTTTGGTTCAGCCGAGCCTGCTGACAGATCATTCAAATTCAATTGTTTTATGTCTAAGCCGAACAGCTAATTAAAGTAGGGATGATTAACCTGACTGGCAGTGCCGCTCTCCCTCTCGCGCTCTCTCTCCTTCTCCTTTTCTCTCTCTCTCCCTCCTGTTCCAATCAGTCTTTTTCTCACACACTCTCTCTCTCCGTCTCTCCTCTCTCTCCCTCTCTCTCTCTCTCTCCCCCCCCTCTCTCTCTTCCCCCTCTCTCTTCCTCTCTCTCAGTCTCTCTCTCCCTCCCTCGGTTGGTGTCTCTCTCTCTCTCTCTCTCTCTCTGTCTCTTGCTCTACTGTTTTTTTTTCCTCTCTCTCTCTCCTAAACGTGGTCTGCTTGCTGATGGCAGAATGGCACTCGGAGATTTGTGCATTGTGTCTGGTTTCCTACGGGCAGGCTGACCCAGTGCCTCCAGGGACTTATCAATAGACCACTCAGAAGAGACACAGACAGGAGAGAGGAGGAGGGGTGGGGGGAGAGAGAGAGAATCAATATCAAGAATAGAAGGAGCTCCGAAGCCATTTTTTTTTTAAAGAAGTATCGGGACTTGGGAGAGGGTGACAAAGAAGGTTTTTCAAAGAGGCAGTGGAGGAGGTTCTAATAAATTTGGAAGGAAACAGTTCCCTGTCTTGGGAAAAGGAGAACTCCTGACTGATTAGCATTCACACCAGGTATGAGATGTTCGCTACCCCTTATCACTGTGTCGCAACCGAGATGGAAAAGCCTTTTTTTTTTTTTAGGAGACCGAGGGAGCATGTATTTTGCTGTGTTTGTTGTTGGGGGGTAAGAGGGGCGGCGTGAGAAGCTGTGGGCATTTGTGTATGAGAGCAGAAAGAATGGAAGCAGTACAACGGGGGGTGGGAAAGAGTATGGAGTATGTTACTGTCTTCCCTGTCTTTGTGCACCCCTGGGGGGTTACCCAAGTTCATTTCTAGCAGGTGGATTTAGACGGGAGTTACTTAACGCTTGACCGCCAGTTTTGAAAAAAAAGAAAGAAAAAAACGCTGCTTCCTATGTCTATTAAAGGAAGCTCCAATTTCTCTCTCTCTCTCTCTCTCTCTCTCTCTCTCTCTCCCTTCTCTTTTCCTCTCTCTTCCTCTCTCTCTTCCTCTCTCTCTGCCCCCCATCCCTCTTCCCCTCTCTCCCTCTCCCTCTCTCTTCTTTTTTTCCTCTTCTAACCAGACAGCGGGAGGGTTTCTGGCTCCCAGCCAGCCCAAAAGCCTCTAAGTGTTTTGCACTTGTTTCAGGGAGTAGCTGCCCGGGGATTTTTCAGCATTTTCACTAGAGAACAAAGAGTTCTTTACAAAGGGAAGGGTGGGGGGGGGGGGAGTGAGCTTAATGTCTGATATATGTTTTTCTATTTTTATTAGTTTTTCGCCTAAAAAGAAAGAGACAGGAACAGAACATTCACTCTATAAAGACACAAAGACATTCAAAAGAAATCCAGTTATCTTTTCTCCCCATCATCCCAATATATACATATATGTACATGAAAAAATTAAAAAGAAAAAGACTAGTTAAGTTGCATATGTTGCTCTTTTCTCCTCTTTTAATCTTTCCAAATCCAACTGTTCTTATGCTCACTTTATGCTATTTTTTTTCTACTCACAATAAAAGTTGTTCAGGATGCATCTTCTCTTATCATGTCTTTACCCTTTCTGGGTCGCCAAAATCTTGTGGAAGAAAGAACAAAAGTCCATCAAATAATCAATTTGGTGACTAGAACATCTTCTACTTTTGCCACTTGGGTAAAAAGTTAATTATGGAATTTGGGTTCCCAAAATACCAATGGGGTACATCAGTTCATTCGATCTCACAAGTTTTTGCATCCATCTGTTTAAAAGGTACCACTTGTGTCACTTGTCAGTTATTAAGAAAAGGTAGTAAGGGAGCAGATATTTGTATTTTATTTTTGTTTCTAATTATGTAAATGACAAAACCCCCAGAGAGATTTCTTGCCCCTTCTATGATACACTAGTTCATGCAAAATATAGTCTAGATGGAGATTTTGTCAACGATTCTGATTGCCACGTAGCTTTGTGTTCTCCATTTCAATTTTTGCCTATGCATGTATATTTTTACCATGAATTTGTGTTGTAGCAAACATTTCAGAATGCTTATCATTTTCAAATTAATGCTCCAACAAAAGCAAAAAGAAATCAGATGTGAGCTGTATGTGTAAAATGTAGTAAACAATTTTATCTTTTATATATGCTGTACATTTATATCTTTATGCTAATATCCTGGATTTGTAAACCCAAGATAATGTTTTCTTTCTTAAAGTTCTCCTCTTAATGCATTTATATGTTGATTGTCACTTAGAAATCTTTTTAAGGTACATTATAGACACGAAACTAAACAAGGGGAACAATTCTCAAGCTCTACAAAAATCCTTAAATATATATTATGTACCATTCCTAACTACAGATAACTGTTTTGCTAAGTAGAAAACAGCTACAACAGTTGTTTCAAGAATCAGAAACTCTTTTCTTTTTTTTTCTATTAACTGAAAATAAAATCTATTCATATCCCTGGGGAGGGAAAATGTAGGGGAAAATATAGATATATACATTTTCCATAATTATAGAATGCATTTATGTAACTGCTTCTTAAGGGTGTAATACATATCAGGGCAGAGTGTGATGCTCATCAAAAAACCCTCCTGGCTGGGAGGTGTGAGTGCCTTATGTTTGAAGTAACTTGATAACAAGGAGTCTTTTCGGGAAACCTTACTATGTATGTGTTGCCTCAGTAATGATCCTCAGATAAAAAACAAGTACTAGGTGGCCAGTGTTAGCACTTGAACTCACTGAAAGATATTAGAAGTAGGGGAACTTTTGGCAAATCCAGAATTTTCCAGGGTAACTCACTTCTTACACTTACATGTTTTCTTTAGGAATATTCTTGAATTGCTTTCAGACTTTTCTGTATTTTTGTAGAATTTTTTAATGCTTTTAATAGTGCTTAAGGAGAAAAATACTTTTAAAAAGAATGTCATCCAAATAAGAGAAACTCAGTCTTTAAAAAGTTTTATATTGAAGACAAGAGTTGTTTTGGTTTTGCTTTTTTCCTTTTTGCTTGTGTTCTATTTTTTCTCCCTGAATTCTTTTGTTGCTGTGGGCTGTTGTCCCTGCATTTTTAATTTTTCATTTGGTACCCCCCCTTTTTTTTCTTTTTTCTTTTTCTTTTTGGTCTGTTTTTGATGTGACCAAGGGGATCTTTGAAAGGGGCAGAGGGACTGGGATAACAGGCTGTTACTGAAAGCTGCACTAGCTCTTCTTGATCCCAACTCAGGCAGCTCCTATCAGCTAGTTGTGCCGCCAAGAGTACAGTGACAGGTGATAGCTGTCATTCTGGGATTCTTCGTGGATCTGACCTGAGAGTGACACATTCACAGTCGAGGAGAAAAGGGAAAAAAAATAGAGGAGGAGGAAAGAAAAGCTCTTTGAGCTGGAATACACTGGCCCTTTCTTCCTGTAGGCAATCCGCTCCAGTTCTTGGCGACGTGTCCTGCACTATCAGATATCATATGACTTTTTATTTAGATTCCTTTTCGGAGAATGGCCTGTTAGGACTCTGTTTGTTTTCTTTTATTTAATTTCCTTCTCCCCTCACCCACTAGTTTTGCGTATCTGTGTGTGTCATAGCGTGTGTGCGCACATGCATATGTGTGTGCAATTTTTATCTTTGTTTTTGTTCTGTTGATCTGATGCTTTATTTAAAGACAAAGCTTTAATTATTTCAGTATACTGGTTTAATTATTTGCCAAAAAGAAACCTCATTCTAGGCTTTTTGGGGGGTCCATTTTTAAACACATCCATTAACACATGAGGCTGGAGATCCTATATGCTTGTTGGTCTGCCCTTGGCCCACTCCCTCACCTTAATTTAACCCTCCCCTTCATCAGCATGCACAGCAGTATAAGTTAGGAAACACCTGTGCTGAGTTGAGAGAGAAATAAAAGTAGAAGCAACTTCTTCAAATTTGCACTCCTAGTTTCACTTTAATAAACTTTTTTTAATCGTTGATTTTTTTTTTTTTTTTGGCATCCTCTGTTAAGCTTGAAAGCATCAGAGATAGTGAACGATGTGTCTGTGGAGCTTTTGTGAGGCCAGCTGAGCACCCTTGGAAAGTAGAGCAGGAGCTGAAATTCATTCAGAGACTTAAGAATTAAGTAAGAGATTTAAATAAGATCTGTGAGATCTGTGAGCTGTTCAGGGTTTGGTGATAGATGGTAAAATGGAATGCTTAGGGATATTCAAGGAAGAGAAAGAAATTTTCAACCAGGAACGAAACAGGCATTTCTACTGCAATTCATACTTTAAAAACCTTCTTTTATCAAATTTTTATTTTATATATCTCAAAATTTAATCAATTGGTATGATTGCCTTCTTTTCCACGCTTGCTATGAAAAACAGATGAATTGTGCCGATGTTATTACTGGGTTTCTCCTAAATTTTTGTTGTATTTCTTTTTCGGCTTTAGAGAGTTCTGATTTTAGTTAGCAAAAGAAAAATAAAACTTCTCTAGGTATGCATATGGTTGTATACACATTATTCTTATCTACATATAATATATCCTGTTTGTATCAGGATATAATTTTTGTATAGTTACATGCAAGACTGCCTTGAAAGTTCAGATGACCATTACATTCTTTAAACCCATAGTTTTTAGTTTCTTGTTAGTTTCTCTAAAATTATTTTTTACAGACCTTAAATTTGTAATGCCTTATCATAGCCAGAGGTGAATTTTGTTGAAACTTGGAGAAAAATTTATTCCACCCCTTTAAGCGTACCCAAAAGGGAAGAGAGAACTATTTTTCGTTCAACAAAAAATTTTAAAAGCCTTTTTTCCTTCAGCGGAAAACTCCAAAACAGCTTTGTCTCAGAACGTTAAACTTGGCATGGATAAAAAAATTTGAGTTTTGCTTTGTTTGAGGAAATTTGTTTTTGAAACAACAATGTTATAAATATTTTTAAATTGCCTGCTGAGCATGCGCTGTATCTGACTTTATTCATAGTTTTAAACACACACCAAAGTGCAGTCTTCTGAATGGCCACAGGTAAGGCTGTTGATTTGTATGATCTTTCGCAGAGGCACCTTCTGTGAGTCTACTCAGTTTTCCAGAAGGGAAAAAGGCGAGAGCTGAGTTTAGACCTGGACACCTTTCTAAATATCATAGAGCAAAAGTAAATTGCCCCATTAAGGCTTGCACATTACACTTAGGGTAAGTACTGTTCAACTTTCCTTTTTTATAGGAGTTGCCTGCCTTAACTTTTCAGCTTAATACGAGCAGCGTAAATTAAGAAAAAAAATTAACTCAATCAGTTATTTCACTGAAATAGAAAATTTGCAGATTTTAAAGGGTATCTATTGTGCATAAATTTGGGGATACGAGAATTTGCCAGTGAAATGATAGCAGCTCTGTGCTTACAGAGCAAAGATGTGCTAGTCTGAACATGCCTGATCTCATCTGGAATCGAAAGCTAAATCTAGGTGGGCCTGTAATAATACCAGAAAAGGAACACATGTATCTTTTGTGCAACCTTTTTTTTTTTTTTTTTTTAAAGCTAGGCTTCCAAAGGGAATGACAAAGAAGCAGGTTCTCCTCTTGCTTAATAAGTAGTCATAGTTTGCCTCTGGAGATATGTATTTCCAGTTGTTTTAGTTGTTTTGTTTTGTTTTGTTTTGTTGTTGTCATCGCTATCGAAGAATATTCTTTCCTGTCAGTGATTATTAACACTTTCCGTTTTTCAGAATGCTTTAACTCTGTTTGATGTTTCCTCACTTGGTTACCTTTCTCAAGTCTGCGATGACCCTCTCAGGCTTTGCCATTCTTATCGATTCTTACCAGAATGTACTTACTCATTAGCTGTTTTGTTATAGTTATGGTGGAGATAATCTTGTTTTTCAGGCTTTTATAACTAACCAAACAAATTACCTTTTGAGGTGAAATTTCTCATAGTTATCCTTGACACAGAACTGAACTTGTCTTGAAAAGGCTTGAAGAAAATCCAATTAGCCGTTTTTTGAGAACTGAATATTCTAATAAATGCAAATGGATTATTTTACAAAATACTTATTGATGTGCAATGCTTTTCTAATCTGTTTTTCTTTTCGTGCTTTAAAACAGACCCTGAAAATTAAATGTATTAAAAAGAAAGAAAGAAAAAGAAAGAAACCTGCCAGGTTAATACTGATATTTTAAATACCCAATTTAAAATAATGCTCAAAGTTTGAATTTCTTTGCAACATATCACCTTTCAGTGTCAGTCAGTAATACCTGGGCAGGTATATATATACATTCACACCCACAGGGAAACATGAATCCACTTTACAGTTACATTAATTCTATTTTAACCTACAAGAGAAAAGGTTAGCATTACTGTAAAACTTTTGTTAATTCATTATATTTTATTTTTCTGTAATAAAAAATTCACTGAACTATTGCTTTCATCCAATTATATATATACTTAACACCCATTTATATTCAAATATTTTATCTTAATTTATGAAGTATTTTTATAAGTCTTATATGCTGCTGAATTTTATGCAGCTATATGAACGTTTAAGTTTTTTCTGATACAATTTGCTTTGTTCCGAATCTGTTACTGTGTTAGAAGTTTTTTTCTTTCCCAATCTAGAAAGAGTATGGCCATCTTTTCCTATATGTGATATCTATACATCTTCAGTATTCTGAAGAAGAGATTTTTTAACCTGCAATCTCTTGGAAAGCTTTCAAACAAGTGGGAGAAGTAATCTTTACTTTGCTTCTCCTTGATCCATCTGTTTGCCCTCACTGTACCACCCGTCACCACCAGCAACCCTGAAAAAAACAACAGTAATAAATATGATACGATAATTTTTCTGATCACAGAACCAGGAAATACCAGAGAAAATTGTGGCATATGTAGGAAAATGCCAAGAGCTTCTCCAGTAAGATCAGCTGTTTTTATACTTTTTTTTTTTCCTCTTGAATTTTGTTTGTGACTTTTTTGGCTTGCTGAAGCACATCCCCATAATCTTACGAAGCCACAGCAAATTCCCAATGCCACAACAATACTGTGCAGCCGGGGAGAGGCCAGAAGAGCTGATCCTGGGTGGCTGCAGGCTTCCCCAGCAATGGTGCAAGGCAGGAGGAGTAAGTAGGCTACTCTTCTTTTCCCTTCTTACCTAGGCTGCCCAACCTGCCAGCTAGAGATTTTCTTTCTGTAGCTTTCTCTTCAACTGTCTGAGACATTTCCTTCAACAACCAATGACTTTCTACTTCCAAGGGATGGTTCATATAGCAAAACATCCATTTTTATTTTATATTGCAACATGGAAAGCTTTGAAATTGGAGGGGCAAAGGAAAGGGGCTCAGGGTATCCGAGAAATATCCCAAATGGCATTAGGCTCAAAGCTGTTTTTCATGGTTGCTCAGGTCTATAACTTTCCTGTTCCCTCCAGAGCCTCTAAGTGGTTGAAAGTAGTGAATGGGATAACTATAGGGTACACACTATGATCTAACTGATTCAGTAGATGGAGCTCTTCTCCTTAAGTCTGTATTTAAATTAACGTCCCACTCTAGTTTGTGGGGCTCTCTCTTTTAAGGTGTGTCATACTACACACATAAAATTGAGGCCTGCATAGCTAGAGAAGAGATTTCCTGGCGCTTTTCAAGAGACATGAAGCATTTGTTCTGAAATGCAAACAGTGCAGGGGAGCACTAGGGTGGGGTGGGAAGGGAAATGGAGTTTACCTATCTAAATTTCTCTCTGTGTTTGTTGATATTCTTAAGTGTGAAATTAAATCCTAGCAGTTATTGTGGAATACACTTATTCATTAGCTAATTTGTAAATGTAGAAAAATATATTGCACATGCAGGATTTTGGTGATATTCATTGCAAATCTTCCAAGCTATCTGAACTGTGCAGATCTCCTTTCATTTAATTCTACAAAAGCATCTTAATACTGTAATGCAGTTGTTTCATCTAATTAGTCTAGAGTACCTGAATAAAATGTTACAAGTTCTGAATTGTGACAGCACAGTGGAGGGCAAAGTAGTGTGTTAGTAAGGTGCCTTTGTGGAAGCCAAAATATTTTCAGCAATAACTGAAAATAGATTTCCAGTATCTGTTTTAATGGGGGAAGAGCTACTTGTTTATTTCTTTTTAAATTAATTGAAATGAATAATTGCCACAGAATTTTTGTCAGTGTTACATTGTTTTCAGTACCAATAGAATAAGTTTGATCATGTCTCTTCCTGGTACCAAGTGGAGAAATATATGTACACTGTATGTAATAAATTATCTTCCTTAGTGGAATGTCTTCTCACAGATTGGAGATATTACTGAATATCTCTTGTTAAATCTTGATAAGATCATTTGGCCAAAGTAGAACTGGTCTTGGCTTTAGTACCAAAAGAAATAGCATTTTTAAAAGACTTGGATTTCCTTTGCATACCACGTGTCTGAGTTTGATACAGTCCAGGAAAATAGAGAGGATGAGATGAAATTATTCCTAAGCAGCCGCCGTAGGCCAAACACTGAAACAGTGCCAACCTGGACCAATCAGGCCGGCTTCTCAGAAGATACATGCTTTTGTCAAACACTTACATGAAGAAAGAGAGAGAGGAAGTTCGTGAAACTGTATTTGTATGAATATTCTTCACTGATTTCAATAAAGTCCAGGGTAATAAATTCGATGATTTTTATTCTTTTGTAAAGCAGAAAATCTGAGTTTTTCTGGGCAGCTAAGGTTCTCTAAATGTTGTACTGTGACATCTTTTAAACAAAACTATCCTTTCGAATTTAAGCAGTGCAAAACTTCTCACAAAGAGCAAAGAGTAAAATTGATGGAAACTCAGAATCAATTCCAAACCCATTTCTGGCATGATGAGAATAACATTTGTGCTGTGTTTAAAGTAGTTTAAAACAAGAAAATGATAAAATGATCAATATACTTAAAGCCAAAAATAACCAGGAGAGAACAATCTGTAATCCATTCTCAGTCTGAAACCCCACACTACTTATTTATTGAACATGAAAATAAACAACTATATATTTTATAAGGTGGCCCTGCAAACCTTATAACATATAAACAGTAATGATGAGATGCCAGGCTTTCAACCCTTTATTTAAGCTATGTGTTTAGAATTTAGTCAGGCAAAAACTCCTGGACTTAAACTATTATACATTTATTTGTTTCTACATACCATGACCATAAAAAGAACAAACGTTAAGGAATATATAGATTGTCGCAGTGAACTACATTGCCACCTTACAGTTTATGTACTCTGTTTGTTTTAAAAAGAAAAAAAGGTTTTAACTACAGCAAAAGAATATTTTAAGTTAGAAAGTCAGTTAATTGATCAATATAGAACAGATTTAATATTTCTTTAAAAATACCTTGACTCCTGACTAATTTATTAAATTCAACACATACATAAATGTAAACCATATATATTTTATACTTATTGCTTTAATGGATTGCTTTAAAAGACTAACTTGACACTAATAAATTTTGAACCTGTGGATTCAAGGTCAGTGAATGCTGCTGTCCAAGTTTACAAAAATCTCTCTAGACTTAAGATTTTGCTCTAATAAATAATTTTCTTACCAATTTTTCAGAGGCACTTAACTGGATATATATTTATCGATCAGATAAAATAAAATTGTCCATCTAGATTTTTAAAATTCCAGCTGAAGAACTTAAAATAACAACAAATTGCATAGGCACACAATTTCATTGCACTGAGGTGCTGTAGGAATGATGATAATTCTAATGAGCACTGTGACGAATGCAACTACAATGAAACATGTTTGATTACATCAGTAAGAGTGAACTCAGTGGGCAAGGTCAGAAGGGTGAGACATAGAAGTCATGACTGAGTGGGGGCTAATGATTAAAGTTATGGGAGCTATTTAAAGCCCTATAGCTGGGTGCAAAATTAACAGATGTGGAAAATAAGAGTCAATCAATTCTAAATATGGACAGTACTTTTTCCTATAGGTTATAATTAACTGTAGAATTTACTATTGCAAGGATTTATAACAACATCATAAGCTTTGGTTGTCCAGTGTGATAGTAGATGTAAAGAGCTGTTATGCACATCTGCTTAAAGATTTATGTAAGTGTAATTGTTATAGCAACTTGTTATGCTATTGTTTGAAGTTTAAAAGCTCTGCTTTAAGCGTTGACAAAGCAAATGTCAGCATCAGAGCATCATAATCACTGTATCTTGGAGCTTGAAGGGGCTTTAGATATCTCAATATGGGTGAGTGGGTTAACCAACTCTTCAGAATGGAATATTGGAATATCTGGTCGAGGACCATGTAGAATTTGAAAATACATATATATTACAATGTTTTATATTTGGAAAACAAAATTTACGAGAAAAACTTAACAAAATAGAGAAAGTAAAGCTCTACAAAATTATCTGGACTAATGGTACTATATATTGCATTCTGTGAACCAGGAATTTTAAATAGAGAAGAATAGAAGGATCTACATTAAAACAAGGTTTTATTTTTATCAAAAAAAATTTGATGAGGGGGTTGTCCAACAGATTAAGAAATGATATTCAGGCTTAAACTACTCATTTTGCCAATAAGAAAACTTAAACACAGAGAAGAGATAAAATGCTTTCAAGATGAGCAAGGCAAAACTGGGACCAGAACTCAAGTTTTCTAACTCACGTTTTCTTGATGTACTCCTATGCCAAAAGGCTGACCACTAAAACTAATTTATAAAAATAAAAAGTAAGTGATATCCCACTTTGAAGAAGTGGAAGAAACCAGACCCTCAGGGTTTCTATTTCTATGCCAGTAACCTCACCTCGGATGTGGCAGGGACAAATATGTGTGATGAGGATAAGGCATTCTGAGGAATGAAGGAAAATGCACCCAAATGCATTGTACTCCCTAGAGACTCTGGAGTTAACACTGCTGCCCAGACCTCCATAGCCTTGTATCTCACATTTTTTCTCCCTCTATCGCCACCAAAAAATAAATAACAAGAAAAGTTTTGAGAAATTGTAGTCAGAAGATCTTTTGGAAAGAAGTATTTCTTTGTAGAAATATTCCTGTACAGATTGGTATATTTTACTATCTTATCAAAGTATGAGTTCTAATGAGACATTGATGATTCAACAGGTTTATAACATTACAAACTGGAACAATCCTTGTTTCCTAAGCACACACCACATTTTCCCATCCATGTTCCTTTTCTCCTAGTATTCCCAAATAGAAACACATTCTGCCTCCTTTATTTCTACAACACTTTGTATCTTTTAATGAGCCTTGCCATATTTCATTTTATATGCAAGCTATTTATGTATTTATTTGTAATGTAAAGAACAGGTCTACATAATTTTAGGCAATGTACTTAATTTTACTGGGCCTCACGTTCCACGTCTGTAAAGAGAAAAACGATATCTGCCTTCCTAGGATACTATAAGAATTCCATGAAATGTAGTATATAAAGTGCTTAGCAGAATGACTAGCTCAAGGTTATCACTCATCATTGTTGTTATTGTTATTGCTACTATTACTTATTAATATTCCCCTGCCTCTGATTCTTTCCCATTTATATACTTCTCGAGGTCATAGATTGACCTAATTCATTGTCTTCTCATGCAATGAACACAATGATTTTTGTGTAACAGGAACCTAATAAAAATATATTGAATCTTTTTATAAAAGTCCATATTGGACCTATTATTTCCCTACAAAGATCCTTAAATCCTGTCCTGGAAGTTTAAAATAGTGGTGGTTATGGCCAGTGCCTGACCCACATACATTGTAAAATGCAGTGGTGTTGCTTGCTGTGGACTGTCAGAGCCACATGATTTTTCAGGTTCCCCACAGACCCCCAACAGCTTAAGACTGCTCTTTGCAGCATCCCCAGAAGTGTCAGCTTATATTTCTGGTTCATGTGATTAATGAGCTTGTTACACCTCTGTCTGTAGCCTAAACTAGAAACTTTCACTTTGGAGAGCAGGTCAAGATATCGAATTTAATTTTGGTTGCATCTGTTATAAGCCAATTGTGTATTCATTACATTTATAGATTCCCTCTTCAGCCATATATTTTCATGGCTGTTGAGAGCACCTGAATCTGTGTTGAATGTCCTTAGATTTTACTTTGGAGACCTGAAAATGAGACAGTGAGATCTTTTTGATAGCTAGCTGTCATCTTTGGCATTTTCTTCCCTTTAGTGTGTAATCTGGTCTAAATTTGAAGAAGAGGGCAAGTATAGCATTTTTATCTAGCTTGAATATGGCATGGTAATTCTGTATTAATGAGGTCAATGGTAAATGCAGTTCAGCTACACATTTCTGTTTTTCCAGACATACAAACACATTCTGTGGAAATAGAAAATGTCTAAAAAATGGAAATGATGAAATAACTTGAGACATGTAAGGGTAGAGATATAACATTAAATGTATGGGTTTAGCAAGCAGAGCAACATACAAAGTGGACTCTGAGTATGTATGGATCTTGCCAGTCCTTCAAGGTTTCAGTGGATAGCAAGAAAACGAAAAAGAGGTAGATCACATGAACATGGCAGAAGAGAGACTGACAGCAGGGTGTGCTCAAGTCAGAAGGAATGTTACATTTTAATCAGCCAGAAGTTCCATTTATTTGAGAATAAGCTGGTATTTGTGAGGGGAACAAGGTCACATTTAGTAGAACTGATAATTCAATAAAGGATTTTGACTTTGCCAGAGTAATGGTGTTGGCATCAAGAGAAGAAAGTTTTGCAGATTTCTGTGTGTGCACTTGCTGTTACTGGTGTTCCTGGTGGGTGGCTGAATCATCCTGATGGCATTCAACAGGAACCAGCTGCTGAGAATATTAAAATGCAAGCATTTATTCCTCTAGAGAGACAGTAGCATCTGCAAAGTTTTCCTATCTTGATAGTACAGATAATCCCAGGGAGCATTCTCTAGTAGTTTTCACTCTCTATTCATTTATACATTTTCTTTTTATCATTAGCATTAATATCTCAAGTTCTAAATGAAGAGAAGAGTGCCTGAGTCCTGAGTCCACAACAGGCTGTAGAGATGGATAGTTAACACTTGGCCAAGAACTTGGTATTGCCTCTTGGGCTTTACCTTGAATTGTTATCTAAAAGGGGGAAACTGACATTTCCCTCCCTTGGCCTGTCTTCAAAGCAAAGAGTCATCCATACTCCTAGTCTTCAGCGAGCTCCATCAGTGTAAATCCTGCCCCCAACAACCCCCACCAAACACGAGCTTTGGAGCTTTTCACTTTACTTATAAAATTTGTAAATTTGTTGCTTTCCTTGTGTGTTTGTATTTTATTTGTTTGTTTGGTTTATTTTGTTTTGTTGGTGGTTTTTTTTGTTTTGGTTTTGGTTTGGATTTTTTGAGCTACCATCAACAGTTAGGGGAAAGGGAGTTACAAAAAGGAGGTTTGGACTCTGTAATCTTCCAGGTCTTTCCATCTCTAATATTTATGAATAATGTATTGAACTGATGGAAAAAATGTTGAATATGTTCATTATGAATTATATTCACCGGTGTGTTGCCTAGAATATAAAAGAGCAAAGCAGTTGCCGTGTAAGTGGTTGCTTACAATAAATGTAGTGGTACAACAGAGCTCTGTATCCCTTCTCATTCCACCGCGCGTCGTCCCCAAACACACGCTTTACATGTCTGAGTGGCAACTGCAGATGAGGTGCTTGATGGGATGACAGCCAGCCAAGGTTCTGACGGGTACAGGGACATTCGTAGTGCAGTGGGTCTTAAACAGAAGCAGCCTTGATGAAGGTTTTGATAGTGCAGTTTCCTTCAGGAGAAATCACCGAAGCCAGTTTCACATAGCAAACATTACTCAAGTGCTTTCATGCTGCAGGGGTTATAACTCCTATTAGGAGAATTGAAACTTATAATTTTGCCCCTGATTTTTAAAAAACAGCATGAATAACTAATTTGTCAGCAATGTTACATTCTAAATGAGCCGGAGTGGCAGAAAATTCAGAACTATTTATTATATTTAGCTTCAAAATTCATTATATACTTGTCTCTGTTGGTTTTTCTTCATAATTATGTTTTGTTTAGAATTTATCAAAATAAAATTGTATTTTCTAAGCATTTACCAGATGACATTGAGAAACAGTAACCAGAAGCATGATAAGAGACAAGAAATCTTTTTAGTCACACAAATAATCGACAAAAGAGATAATAAAGAGTTAAAATAATAGCAAAATAGTTTTTCACTGGCCAAAAAACAGTGAGGCCCATTATTTATCAAATATGTCACCGTAACTGATATGCAAATATGTGCCAAAATAGAGAAAGACCATCTAAGGTCAGGGACTCAGAGAGGACAGCCCTAATGTAGAGAATAGTTCCAAGTTAAAGCAGTTCAACAGGAAGGTGCACAGAAAGCTCTGGCTTTTGTCTGATATCCCAGGAGAATAGCAGAGTGTTGATGAGCAGGTTCTGCCTCCAAAAAGCTCTTCCTTCCCATGGTATCACTTCAGAGCCTTTGGACTAGCTCTTGCGAGAGAAGGGTCCAAGACAGTACTCGTACCAGTATCCACTTTATAGTGACATTAATTCAAATAAACTGTCCCAGCGTTATCTATCCTTTTAAAACCTTTTAGAAATAAGCTTTTTTCTCCCCTATGCTCTCTTTAGAAGCTGAAACCCATCAAAGCCCATGAAGAGCAAGTGTAAATTTAGAGCAACCACATTTATCAATAGTTTATAATAATCTCAGAGGAGAAGCAGAGAGAAGAAGAAAGTAAGAGGGAATGAGAGAAATAGTGAAATTTTTTTCAGGAAAATTACATTACCCATTATTTAGATCAAGTCACTCAAAAACAATAAAGGATACCCAATTCCATAGTGGTATCATGTAAGAGCAGATGTGGGAGGATTTTTTTTTCCCCCAGCTCCACCCTTCCTTACAGGACAAATCGCTTAACCTATCTGTGTAATAGTGTATTTGTCAAATAAATAGAAAACCATCTATCCTCATCTACTTCACAGCAGTATTGCTAAGGCTGATTGTGCACACATATATTAATGTATATATCGTAGCTATCTATTTACAGCAGGGGAGAATGGTTTTAAAATAAATGAATCAGAGTTTTATGTGTGCATCCATTGTGAAGGTCAGTCACTTTTTAAAAAAAAAAAAGTAAGACCTTCTCTGCTGATTACCATTTGTTAAAACACTTGAAAATGATGGCTGAGCCTACATCACCTCTGTGAAATGGAAGACTTTTGAAATCTAAGCATGATTATAGAGATTCAAACACATTTCCATCTACTTATGGACCCTAATGGCCTTATGCAGAGCAGCAGTACAAACCTATTAAGCCAAATAAAAGATTAGCTTTGCCAATAGATATCTTTTAAAAAATCCTAAATCAAGGATGTAGCAATTGGTCTAGTGTCAAAGTATAATTCTGGCTGTAGGAGTGAACTGGTTCTCTATATTAGATATTTTTCTTTAATGGGACAAAGATGTATAGAAAGGACGGAATTAAGTTTCAACCTGTACAGACATCCTAGGCATCTGCCAAGCTACTGGTCTATCCACTCAAGAAGTAGGCTAAGTATATATAAAGTCCCTAAGGTCATTGGAAAAGAGGCCACATTCATTTCACTTTGGACTGCTGTTATTCTTTTGATGTTGGTCTGAGCTCTTTAAATCTCTACTTTCTTCATACATACATACATTTTTTAGACATGATGTTACCCTCCAATAGCTTTTCACCAGGCCCATTCCAAGCATCCAGGAAAGAGAAACTTAGCTTCCATGGAGAGTGAAGTCATCGCTTCAACTTAGCATAATAAGAAAGGGAGAAAGCATACTGTTGGTGAAATGAGGGAGTTTCTGCTAGGCTATGACCAGATTCTTCTGTTTCTGCTATTTTTTCTCTAACTGAAAAGAGTTATTGTGGTAATTCACCTGCACTTCTGAACCTGTGTGCATACACCCAAGACCTACTCAAGGTAAAGCCAGAAAGAGATTAAGAGCAGACTTTCATCCAGGGGACTCAGCTTCTTTTTAGTGACTTCTGCTTGTTTTGTTGTTGTTTTTAAATAAATTTGTGTTTTTAGAAAATATGTTTGAATTCCCAGACATTGATATCCTGGGCATCCTTAGGTTGTGACAGAAACACGGATTAGTGACTGTGACAAATGTCGCAGAAGCCAGTGCAGTTGCAATCTATCAAATATGTTGGCAGACCCCAGGATTTTCTGATCCTTGTTGCAGAATTCAGTTGTGTCCTTACCGTAGGAAGACAGGGTTAACTGAGAGTTTTGAGAGTTGTGGTATGTGCTTTTCCATTTGGGTCTGGGTAGCTCTGGGACTGGAATACCTTGGTAAAAACAATAACTAAAACTAGGGCCAGCTTCATGGGTATACAACCTGTGCAGTTGCACAAGGTCCCATGTTTGGACGGGCCCTATGCCTGGCTTGATGTGCTTCTGTTGCTGTCCTGAAATTCTTAATAATTTTTTAATAAGGAGCCCTACTTTTTTTATTTTTCCTTGAGCCCCACAAATTATAGAGCTGGTCTTGCCTAGAATTTATCTTTCCCTAGCATACCAATTGAAAGTATCAGTCATTTTTTCTCTTACTGAAAATGATACCTTTTTCAATTCCTCAAAAGTTAATTCCTCCATTAAACTCTTTGAAGATTTCTGTCCACATAATGTGGTTCAGAAGAACTCATCTCTCCTTCTTTCCTCCAAGCACCTTGAGATGATTATGATCAAGGTGATCTTGTTTTGTAATCAGAAACTCTATAGCTGTCTCAGCCAAGTTTTGTTTTGTTTTTTTTTGGTTTTTTTTGTTTTTTTTTGGCAAGGAGTGAATACTAGGGAGAAATAGTTGTATCATAGTAGTGAGGGCTTTGGCCTTTATTGGATCATTAAAATAGGCTTCAGTCATTAAATTGATGTTTTAAAATGAGCACCTAACATTAAGATTATCTTAGCCTAGGTACCTCCCAACCATCATGTGATCAAACACATCCGTGTATGCTAAAAACAAGCTGATCTCTCAGCTCTGGCCCTGGGCTTCTGCCTCTCTCAGACCCCCACCAATGCCACTGCTAGCTATGTGTTCTGTGGCCTTCCCCTCATCTTCCCTTCTGCTTTCAGCTCAGATCAATCCTTTTATTCTTCTTACTCAAAACACAACTGGCATTAGCAGGAGGCAGTTCCTCGCTTCAGTCTACATGTAGCATCTAAGGAGACTACTTCTTGCTGAGTTTTGTACAAACACACTAATGCCTGCCACCACATTGATGAGTGTGAATTACAGAATTGTAAGGCCTGGAGCAGACCCCAGAGATGGATGGGCCTGTCCACACTGACAGTTTGTTAGGACCAAGCCTTAATCCAGAAAATGTAGGCCTCCTGACTCCTAGTCAGGTATGCTTTGGATAACTCAAGGGGTGTTCGACATTCCTGAAAGATAAATTCCACATGACTGGCTCCTAAACCTGTTTTCAAGCACCCATGAGTGAAAGGAGGAGGAGAAGAAAAAGAAATATATACATATAAATAAATATTTTGTAGGAGCTGAGAAAAGAGTGCTGTGTAACAAGGAGCCTGACTGGCCACCTTGAGCTCTAGTTAGCTGCTTCAACCCTATAAAATACTTCCTATTACTAATAATATCTTCAGGGCTGTTGGAAGGATCTAGAGAGATGCTTACCTAACACAAAGCCTAACTCACTTGGAAGCTGAGGAAAGGTTAATTTCTTCTACCTCTTCCTCCTCCTTCTTTGCCCTTACTTTCACACATTTTTTCCTCCCTGCTCTAGGAAAGGAAGGAAAACAGAAGGGATCTGATGGAGAGATAGTCTTTGTGAGTTTAAATTATATGAGATTAAGCTACTCTCACCTCAACCAAGTAGGCTGTAGTTTGCTGACCGCCTGTTGAGCAACAGCACAACCATGGAGCAACAGAAGAGCCAAAGGCATTTTTGATAAACCATGACATCTCTCAAGGGATTTTTTTAGTGGTTCACCAGCTCCAGACAAGGCCCTGGGCAAAAACTGCAATAGAGACTGGGTTCTTTTCAGTCCTTGTCACCCACTTCATCTTCTCCTCTGCCAGCAGAGCCTAGGGTCCTTGTGTTAGTTAATCTGATTGCTTCCTTCACCTTCCCCTGTTCCAGAATTATCCCTATCCCTCCCTCCAGCTCCAGTTCAAAACTGCTTTACACTGAGATAACTCTCTTGGAGTTGAAGTGGTTATAGCATGAAGGCATGAATGGCTTGACCCCTCCGTGGTATGTTTGCATCTCAGAAGAAGTGCTGGAAAACCTTTTTTAGCAAGGGGACTTTTCTTCTTGCAGGCTCACAATCAGCTATGTTCCCAATGTGACTATACCCACCCCACCCCTTTCTTTTTTGTTTTTTAAGGGTTGAAGTCTGGCTCAATCACCCAGGCTGGAGTATAGTGCCACAATCATGGCTCACTGCAGCCTCAAACTTCTGTCTTTGCTGTAATCACACATGTGATGTGAACTCAGAAAAGCAAACTTTGTTCCTGGAGGAAAGAGAGGGAGGGAATATAGGTTTACATAGTGAATAAAACCCAGTATGATAGCAAAGGGTCTCTCTTACGAAAATATAACACAATATTACTTTTTTTGTATGAAAATAAGTTTCTATCTTGGATAGCCAAGGCCTTAACAGGTAACATTATAAGAGTACTATAAACAAATTTAAAACCCAAATGTTTTGTGATAAGTCAGGGCTTCTACCTCCTGTGAACTCTGGGCATTTTGCAAATTTGAATAATCAGTCATCTCGAGTCTCCTCTTTTTACAGATGAGAGTATTGAGGCTCAGATGGGACACAGGTTTTCTTCTGGGTCACCAAACTCAACAGCAGAGCTGAGTTTGGGGCCCTTGGGCCTCTAGGGAGATCTAGCTTTTCTGTCTGATACGGGAACTCCTAAGAGCACCTCCATCCACCCCAGCCAGCTTTCCTTTCTTCTGGTCATTTCTCTTTAACAGTTGTTGCTCCTGCACTCATCAAAAAAAAATGTCAGCACAAGAATCAAAGGGAGGCTATGGAGCATTAGAGAAATATTAGCAACTATTGAAAAGACATTTTGACCTATTTCTGTAGTTATCAATTTAATAGTATTTGTTGCCAGGAAATGCACCGTTGGCGGGTGGGAAGGTGGATTGCACCAGCAGCCTGTTCTCAGAGGCCCTCCAGTTACAGGAGGTGGTAATTCCAGTTAATAAAAGGGTGAACTTCAAACACATTTTAACCAAATCAAATTGTAGCGGGAAATATCATATTACTGATGTTCAAGCTGACTCACAGCTGGTAACATTAGTCAGTATATAGGCCCCAAATTCTGACTTTTCAGCATTTTCAGATGAGTTTCTGGCAGTGAGAGAGTTCCCCAGGCACATTGTTATGTAGGAATAGGAGATTTTTAGCTAACATAGGAGCTAGCATAAATGAAGAATTTTTTTATTCTCGTTAGACTTTTTATAAGATTGTCAGATATTCAAATAATATGTAACCAAGCCAAACTTCAGGTTGATAGGAAATCTAGAGCCAGGAGTTTTAATTTTTTTGTTGTTTTGTTTTTTTCTGTGACATGTTGGCAAATGATAAAAGCAATTCACTCTGCTAACCAGAGATGCTGGGCAGAATTCCCCCAACACTGATTTCATGCCATGAAAAGCACATGAAGTCTGGCCTGGCAAGGCATGGTGAGGAGCACAGGCTTTGTGTCCTACTGCTCCAATTTGAATTCCAGCTTAGTCCCTACTAGCTGTGTGACCAAAGGATATTTACGTAACTTCTCTGAACCTTAGGATTCTTATACAAAAAAAATGGGCAAAATATCAATCATTCGTAGTTGGTATGAAGATCAAATGAGATAACATATGTAAAGAAATCCATGCATAAAGAAAAACAGTGCCAAACGTGTACCAGGTGTTCAGAAGTGATCACTGTTATCTTCCTCCCTTTTGCTGCTATGGTGTGCAAGTTTTTTTTTTTAAAGAGTTAATTATTTTCCAATAAAATGCACAGCTTTTCATATGATAATAAAAGGAAATGCTGCTGGATACTCCACAGATTAATCTGGTGAGTCTTGTTTGAGTGAATGGCTGTTTGCCACCTCATTTTAGTCCCAGTTAAGCTTAGACTTCCCTTTATTAACCTCTCTCCGGATCATACATACAATAGGATACATGGACTACATGATAAATCAAATGGCCCCCTGATAACACAGTCCCAAGTTGTGTGAGCATTGGTGAGACAATGGATCATATGAATAGCTAGAACCGCTCATCTCTCTTCCACATGTGTCCTACTACACCTCACTTTGAATCAGGAAAGATGCCAGACACCTTTCTATGGGATTGCCTCCCACCTGGATTTTTTCCTAAACTTTTTCCATGCGCCTGAATCTCGGTTTTCACAGAGATTAATTCTGATTTGGTTCGCCTACACTTTTGATGCTCTAAACCTTTTTATTGTTGGCAGATAGTCTCAAATACTGTGTTTGAGAATGGAAAAAGAAAACGCTGCTCAAATGTAAGCACCATTGAATCAAAGAAACCGTATTTTTTCAATTGCATTATTTGAGGATCCAGACAACCTTGAATCCTTTACAAAAGCACATCAGTAAGGCTATCCTCTCTCTTAGAAAGATACACACACACACACACACAAACACACACACACACACCCCAATTGCAGAAGGCTACTCTTCATGAGGTAAAGGACTAGAGTGTCCAAGAGGAATACAAAATGAAAAAGATGTTTCTGTAGGAAGAACCCAGACCTAGAAGCCAGGACATTCAAATTCTATTTCCCACTACCATGGGAAATACGATCTTATATGGATCCTAGCATACCTGCCTCTCCCGAACTCCATCGTCACATCTAGAGAACATGGATTCCAACTCATACTCCTTAGGGGCTATCAGGAAATGTATTTTTTGCTGTTTTGAAAGACATTTTGATACCCCTACCGAGAGCATTTTGCACAGGCCAAGTATTTCCCTCATTTGGAAGACTGAAGCCCTGAATTTTACTTCCCATCACTCTGGAATGGGTAAAAAACTGAACTTTTTACACTAGTGTGGGAAGAAAATGATGTTCTTATAATGCCAACTTCTAGCAGGGTGTTAATAATCATCTAAAATATCTAGAACTAACACAGACCCATTGACCTGGTCTATCATTCAATTGACTTCCACTTTTATCCATGCATGTTTTTGATAAACATTAATTATGGGGTGACCCAGTGTGAGAGGAGCTGTGGACACAGTGAGCACATCCCTCCCCTCACAGCCTAGCTAACCCTCCAATCCCCTAATGCACATCAATTGTAAGTTGACTTAAAGTTGTACAGATCCTTCCTTTCTGTGCATTGAGTCATTTCAGTATGTCTATGGAGGGGTGGTTCTATAGCCAGGAGGACTTGCTTCTTCCGAACTGCTAAAGCACTTATTTGTATGTCTCCTGTGGCACTGATTACATACTGTCTTATACTAGAGCATGTTTATATGTCTCATTCCTCCTGCCACTGCACAGTAAGCTTAATAAATACAGAGACTGTACTTACACACAGTTGTATCCCCCTCAACACCTAGAATGTGCCATCAGAAATAAAAGGTATAGTAGTAAATGTTGTGATTTGAATGAGTGAAATTAACAATGGCATGTGAGTGTTTGGAAAGAAATTACCTTTTCTGAATCCATAAATTTCTACTCAGAAGCAGAGAACATCACTCAGTTACATCAGAAAAGCTTAAGGATGTTTTTTCTTTCCAGTTTATTACTTATAGGTTTCATTCTTCCCCACTCTTGACATTTGCACATAGTAGGTTTTTAATAAATTATTATTGATGTATTTATTAAAAGTATAGAATAAAGTAGAGGTGTCCCACTCCTGTCTTCTAAAATAGTAATTTTGATTTTCATCTACTTCTTTATCTTCAGACCTTGTCTATTCCTACAGCACAGATATCCTGGGATTTCATTCCAAGTGGTTCCTGACTTGAGCTTAGACGTGGTCATGACTTTTAACTTGGCCTCTTTATCAGGCTTCTTACAGGGCAGAAGGAAAATCTTTTTTTTCTGTTTCCTCGTCTCCCTCATAGGACTGTTGTATAGTTGAAAAGGACCTATATCTACGTAAAACTATTTTAATTCCTAGAGTAACATAATAACAGATTCATAATGTCAGATTGAAGAAGCTTTGGCATCCCAGCACACCAAATGGTTTTGTACACCCTGTTTCAAGCTTATCCATGGACCTGAGGGGTGAGGAGTTTATTACTCTAAGCTTTTAGGTTAGGTTCGTATGATCTGTACCAGCTACATTAACCTTGACCTCAGTCCAAATGAGGTAGCTGATTTAATGTGTCCTCTCCAGTCACACAAAAGCTTCACCATTACTCTCCGACCTGATTAGATGCTAAATTTCATCCACACAAAATGATCTGGAACCAGTCGTCTTGGTGTTAGGTCACAGGAAGTGATACCAAAGAATTCCAAAATAAATACATTATTCCAGTTTTCCTTTGGTTCTTCCTCAAAAAGTCTGTCTCACAGCAGGCTCAGAGAGCCAGTCCCTCCTCAGCTAGACATTCTGTTGAGTCATGTTTACTGTCCCCCTCAGAAAGGTTCCAAAAGCAAATGCAAGAGGTTGCCGAATGCAGGGACATGTGGCGTGCATGCTACTGAAGTGAGAGGCATAGCACACACCTGCTTTTTGGCTGTGGCAGGCCATCTTGACTGTGCCATGCCACAAGTTAGCATTTTGGATGAGCAATTGCCATTCTGTTGTTTTCTTCTCAACACATGGTGTTCAAAAACAGTTAAAAGAAAACTGTACCCATTTGCTCATCCCAGAAATCTAAAATTTCAAAGAAGCATGCCAAATTAATTTTCACATAATATTTTCCAAGCTTTTTCTTTGCACTGAGAAATGGTATTTCACTTTTTGAACTCTTGGTGTCCTGGCCTGAGGTAAATGGGTACAGTTTCTCTTTAAATGGCATTAAACATATCAAAGCAGGATTATATCTGTCACTGTCTTTTTTTTTTTTTCTAATGGAATCAAAATCCTTCAGGGAGTGTCCCAAATCCACATTAATGTCTTTGAGTGCTAATGTTTCCACTGGGACTTTTACATTAGCAAAATATAAGTGTGTGGTTTTCCCCCCTCTCTCTGCTGTCTGTATAAGAAAGAGACAACTGCACATCCGTTATTCTCCATGGCCTTCAGCTAACCCATGTTAAGGTGGTAAAAGATGACTAGAGATTTTTGGTGCTAATGTTTCCTTTTCTACCTTTTCACTCCTTTGTGCCACTTGACCGAAAAGCTACTGTGAATGCTGTTTCCAACATGGACAAATCTTTGGAATCCCAGCCATGAATCTTTGAAATCCCAGCATTTGGTCTGTTAAACAGACCAAACTGCAGTAGCTGTCAATGCTGTTTTTACCTTTGGTTCTGATTGTGGAAAAATTAGACAAATACCCAGAACTTTAGGATCTCACTGTAGATATTTTTGTCATTAATATTGGGGTATGAGTCATGTGTCCTTTTTATTGTTGGTGGACGCACTTCCTGTCTACCTTAATCCCTCTTTTTTTGTTCTTTAGCAAAGCAGTTCAAATGGTATTTTGTCAACTCTTGATTATCAAGTGTCAATGAAAGACTACAATGTCATAAATAGAAAATAATTGTAAATAATAAATAACTTTAACATAATGAATCATTAGCTGTCGTAGTACATTTAATCTTAGAATGCACCTTTTTCTTGCATTTGAACATGCTCTGGAAAATTACATTATTTCTTGAATAATCGTTTTTATACGTAATGTAGAAGGGGCTAGAAAGCTCTGCAATATCCGTCTCTGACCCCCTTCCAGAGTTTTTCTTCTTTTAGCACCATCCTGCCTACTGAGGGTTTTAGTTCTGGAGCTGATAGAGACTCTTCATCCATGGAGAGCTGGGAGGTGCCTTGCTCTTGAGGCTCACCCTTTTCATCGTTTCACTTTCTGGAGCACTCTGGAAGACTACACTACTTCCTTAGACCCTCTTCCTATCCTTCCTCCTTCTTCTTCTGTACTTTTTCCTGCTTTTTCTGTTTTTCGTTTTCTTTTCCTATCCCGCGTGAAACTAGAACGTGAACTGGGGTGTATGTTTGTGTGGATGGAGGGGCACAGGGAGGAGGGGACTCTCCAAATGCCCCAGCTTAGCACGAGGAGAAACTCCATGTTTTCATTTAAACAACCTTTCCCCACATCTAGGCCTTCATATATGAGAGAAAAATTCACTTGTTTTCCTTTCCACACTTTACAGAAAACAAGGTAAGTAGAGGCAGTGAGAATGCCAACCCTGGAGTAAAAATGAAGCAGACTATGTGCTCACCTTTAAATATTTTTAAGGATAAAACCCTATCTACTGGCAGTTAACAGGGAATTCACTGTGCCAGGTTTTTGTAGGAGCAGTGCATGATGTTCCCTGGCACTGAAAGAGTTTATAGGGTATTTTTTATGTTTTTAGCATTAATTTTTGCATGATAACTTTGCAACATCAGGTAAATTGTCTTCTAAAATTAAAAAAATACATGAGTGATTTGAATTTTCTACATCAATATTCTATGGTGGATCCAAATGTTAGTTTGCTCATGCTCATATATTTAAACATCAAGGTGGCAGAAAATGTGTGTTTATATTCGAATTAATTGGGCACATAACTTAGCATCATATAGTAGATATCCAATAAAAAGACTGCCAGTGGCATTCATTGTTGTTTCATTTTTGGGTTTCTCCCTTAGCAGGCTTATAGGCTTTGTAGATGGACAAACTTGGATCCAAATATGAGTGCCATAAATTACTTTCTAGCTTTGTATGTCTGCTCAAAACACAATCTTGCTGTGCCTCAGTTTCTTTACCAGAAGAAATGGAAACAATCTCTGCTCTGGGAGATGTTTATGAGAATTAAATGAGCTAATTTGTGTAAAGAACCTAGCATAGTACTGAAATGTAGTAGGCACTCACATGTTATCTTTCTCCTTTCTTCTTTTTAAGAGAAATGCTTGGGTAATATGATCACTTCTTTACTACTAGTGATTTTTCTCCATAACCAGATTACTTAAACTAATTGTATTCATTAGGTTTTAGCTACTCAATTTTTGTTCATCTCAAAGGAAATCATTGTGCTTTGCCATATACTAAAATATAACTGTAAGGGAAATGACTTGGAGATTAAGTACAGTCATCCCTTGATATCCAATCAGCAGGGCACTGGTTCCAGGACACCCCATCCCACCCCAGCCCACCACACAGATACCGAAATCAACAAATGCTCAAGTCCCTAATATAAAATGGGATAGTATTTGCATATAACCCATGCACATCCTTCCGTGTACTTTAAATCATCTCTAAATTACTTATAATACCTAATGCAATGTAAGGTCTATGTAAATAGCTGTTATACTGCACTGTTTCTTTGTTTGTGTTATTTTTCATTGTGGTATCATTATTTTTTATTGGAGGTTTTTTTTTTCCAAATATTTTCCATTTGCGGATATAGAACCCATGGATACGGAGGGCCAGAGGTCTGACTACAAATGTGTTAGATCTGAAAGAAGCATGACTTAGCAACGTTCTCTGCCTTATTCTTAGTTTCATCCCCATCCTCAACCTCAATACCCTCTCAGAGACTGGGCAGAAGGAGAGCAGCAATGCCTAGAGAGCTCTGTTTCTGAGCTACCGAGTTAGGGCATTGAATTTAGGATGGATTCTAAAGGGAAAAAAACATCCAAATGCACCGAATAGCTGAAATCCAATCTTTAGATGTGGGGTACCAGAAACATTCCAGATTATTTCCAGTGTCTAACTAAAATATAATGCAGAGTTTATGCCTTCTCTCAAGATTCAAAATTAATGATTATGATTTGTATTAATCCAATAGGAATTAGTTTGACTACTTGATTATTTAAGAGGTTGTATTGTAGATATAAAACAACTATACTGTTAACTCTTTTTGAAACAGCACAAACTATGTCTAATCGTACTTTTTTACTTTTATAATACTTGCACACAGAGTTCAGTAACTGTTTGTTCACTGAACAAATGAATCTAGTCCGTGGCTTCTTGACCATGGTAGTGAAAATGCTACAACACCGGTCCTCTTTTTACTACCCAGCAATATATTTTATACAGACTTATCTATATCTATAGATCTCTCCCCCTGTATCTTTTTTTGTATATATATGTATAATTGTTTAAATAAAAGGCCTTGAAGGACCCAATTCCACTGGATTCCTCATAGCCCCAAATCTATCTGTAAATTCATTACTGCTAGAATTGCCAACTACAGAATTAACTTCTGTGACCATTGGCAAGTCCTCAGTTTCCTCATTTACAAAATGACTAAAAGATCACTAAGGTAAAAAACACTTCCCACTCCAGAATTTGATTCTTTCTCTCTAGTGAGAAGTCATATCTTTTTGAGAGGTATCCTATTGTTTGAACTTAGCACAAGTTTTTTCCTTGATGCAAGAATCACAAATGAAATTATTTGTATTCTACTAGGGGCTGGGGACTTGTACTTGCTTTTAAAACTGTTTCAGGACAACCATTGAGATAGGTGTCTTTTCATTTCTTTACTTACTTAGACACTGGGACTCAACATGGTGGGGGCAGCCAGACCTCCACAGGAGCCTGCCAGGTTTCTGTCATTCCCCCCACCTACCAAAAAAAGAAAAAGACTAAAATCTACCCAGTTCCCCACTTCTGGGCCCCTTCAGGGCACTTCCTCTTTGGTGCAAATGAGGCCTGTCCCTCCCAGTCTAGCTCCATAGATGCCTTTCTGGTGTGCTTGGTATTAATGACATAGTCTGCTTTCGTCAGCCTTACCATTTCCGGAGTGAGGTATTTCTTGGTAGTTTGCATTTTTTTCTTTTAATACCTGCGTATTTAATGTTGTGTCTGATAGAGTCTGATTGTCCCCATTGTGAACGTGGTTTTTAAGTCATTAATATGTTGATTTGGTTCGTAAAAGTGAGAGTAAACTGCCACTATGGTACAGTACTTTGTTGGGGGGTATGGGGGATTCTCTCTATTTTCTCTTCTTTTTACAAGAAGAAAAAGGCCCCAAATTGTGCCCTTTGGATTATCTTGTTCTCTTTTTACATTTGAATTTCAAAATCCCCTTTAAATGAACAAATCTCAAGGTTTCTATTACGACAGATGCCTTTGGGCATGCCCCCCAGTCCCCGTGACTTTATGGCTGTGGGCACTTCTTCCTTTCAGCTCTTTGTGAATATTCTGTGTCCCTGGCCCTCTCTCAGAGTCACATTGACATTCAAACAATAACCTCTCCCTTAGTTGGTGCTCCTTGATTGCCAAAACGAGTGCTCTGCCTCTACTGCTTTACCTCTGTTAACAATCATTCTCCACGTTTCTGAAGAAAAAGAAAGTCTTAACATTTAATTTCTTATTACACGATACATTTTGATTAACACCCAAGTATTAGATGTTGGTGAGTGCTGAGGGGAAGACCCAGACAGCAGACACCAAATCTTATTTTTGGAGACTATTTACAGTATAAATGTGTAGTACTTGGGGGTGGGCAAGTCTTGCACATTTGAATAAAAGAGGAACAGAGTTGTTGTCTCATCTGTGTCAGGACCTTCTCCTCTTCGGTCTGCATTGCAGTCCTGCTTTGGCTTAATTAATCCATTAAGCTCTATCTTAACCCTAGTCAGTAATGATCGAGGGGCTCACTGGAGCCATCTAGAATGGGAGAAATTAGATGGATAATGATTTTTGTGCTGATGATGTGTTCTGTCTTTTTATATAGTTGATCCCGTGAGGGACATATTTCTTTGGTGTATTCCTGCTGATGTTCTCAAGACAGATATATTACAGAGAAATAAATCAGACTATGAGACTTTGCTAGTGTCTACTTCTTGGTGTGTAAATTTAACGTTTTAAAATCAAAGCTGTTTTTAAAAATATAGTTTTATGAATATAATATTAAACAATCAAGAGGGTGAGAGAAATTTGGGAAACTCTCATTTTGGTATTATTTCTTGTTACACTCAGATGCTGCTATGGAATATTTATGTTCATAGTCTTCTGATTCCTTCCTCCTCTGTGAGTAAACTGTTTAAGATGGTTCCTCCTCAATTCAATTCAACAAGTGTGTGTTTAGTGATACCTATCATGTGCATAGCGGTTGACAGATCTCAAAAAGCATGAGACTTAAATGGCTTTATATATATTAAAGTAACAAAATGGGACTTTTTTCATTTTTGTTTTTTATACCAATTTGAAATCAAGACTTAAAAGTTGCAAGGCAATAAATAAACTGTATTAAATACCATATTTTGCTGCCATCAAAATAATTTATAAACAACTACAATACACAATTAAAAATATAATTTTTTTCTGAAATGTGTGGAAAGGTGGGTGGAGTGGTTCTTACCTTGTTTTAGAGGGTTAACAGTTGGCTGGTAATCATCTTGGAAATCTCTCTGGCATAAGTGAGGTTTAAGTTATCATCTGAATGAAGGAAAGATGTTCTTCAGTGCATGAGGGATTATTCCGTAGATGCAGGCTTATGTGGAAAAAGTTCAGAGATGGAGAGGGTGTATTCTCAGCGGAAGGAAGCCAGAAGACAAAAGCGACTTGCTGTGTGGATTAAGGTGGGCCTTAGTGGCACCGGATGCTGACAGGTTAGACAAGCAGACCTACAGGGAGGGGGCTTTCAGTGCTGGGAGTCTATAATTCACAATTGATCTGAAGTAGGGTAGAAAGCCACTGGAGGACTAAAGAGGGAACTGTGACAGTCAAACCATTGAGAATATGTTTGGAGTGAGGAGGCAATTTTTTTTTTTTTTTTTTTTTTTTTTTTTTTTTTGAGATGGAGTCTTGCTCTGTCACCCAGGCAGGAGTGCAGTGGCGCGATCTCGGCTCACTACAAGCTCCGCCTCCAGGTTCACGCCATTCTCCTGCCTCAGCCTCCCAAGTAGCTGGGACTACAGGCGCCCGCCACCACGCCCAGCTAATTTTGTTTTTGTATTTTTAATAGAGATGGGGTTTCACCGTGTTAGCCAGGATGGTCTCAATCTCCTGACCTCATGATCCGCCCACCTCGGCCTCCCAAAGTGCTGGGATTACAGGCGTGAGCCACCGCACCCGGCTGAGGAGGCAATTTTCATATCCTAGGTACAATGTGATTAGGAGCTGGCCAAGAATATTAGTTTAAAAAGGTATATTTGAGTTAACATCATCATAAGAAAATTTCTAAATTTGATAAGTGGCTCTATATGAGAAGCAATATATTAAAATGTGAACGTTTAGCAGAAGATTGAGGCATTGGATATATTAGACTGTGGTTACACAGAATTTGTATAGCAGAATGATTTAAAAGGAAAGAGAGAATGCTTTTTATTATTTGGGTTTTGAGGGGCTAGCAGCCATCTAAGTAGAGATATTCTGAAGAGAAAGTGTTATCTAAGTTAACTAACTTAGTTAACCCTAACTAAAAGAGGTAGATTATGAGAAAAGATGGATGAGTGCATCAGCCCTTCAGATGCATGAGTATAAGAAGAAAAAACTATGGCCTTAAGATAGTTCTTTGAGGGACAGCATATTTAAGAGTTACAAAAGGTAATATTGAGGAAATAAATGAAGGGAGAAGATTGAGCCAAGATTATAAATTATAGAAGCCAAAGACATAGAAAGAAATCATTTTGAGCGTTTTAGGGTAAAAAAGCAAAAAAGGGCTAGAAGGAACCCTGCAGGATCGTCTCAGTCAGTATTCAAATTTTGTGTATTGGGAAAAGGAGACCTAGAAGACAGATGTGGTCGAAGTAAGCAGAGACAACGTGTAGAAGAAATAGGACTTCAAGTGCCCCTTCACCTCTGCTATGCTGCCTCAGTGGGGGACTTGTCCAGTCATCTCTTGCAAATGTCATGATTTAAGCAAAGAACAGCTAAATTTGTAGAGGGCCAGGCTGACACAAACTGGCTTTTGTAAATCCATTGCCAAGAGTAAGGGAGAAGGCGATATTAAAATCTCTATCACTGCTTCAGCTGTAAACAGGGTGGTCAGCTGAAGAATTAATGGTTTTTCAAATTTCAGAGCGACACCTTGTTGCCTACTAAGTATCAGAATCACGTGCATAAGAGGGCATTCAGATACACAGCTACACAATTATGTAATGGTTTTCAACTTGGTCCTTAATATGGAGGGAAAATTCTAGGGATGTCTGCCAAATTAAAATAATTAAAATTGAACCTAGACTTAATTGATTTAAAAAAAGAAAGAAAGAAAGAAACTGAAGAATCCTTCACTCTGTCCTAAACTGAGAGGCCGGTTTGCTTTACACCTTGACCAGCTTTCTTCAGAATGACAGTAAAAGGACTTGGTCAATGCCATGGTACAAAAGATGTGCCATGCCTTGCTTACTAGATATTTTTAAATTGCTTCTTTTCTTTAGGAAGACCTCCTAAGTTTCACCTAAGTAAAGACCGTAAACTTGAGCCCATGCAAACTACAACTGTAAGATCGTGCAGGGGATGGAGGTTCTGTGCAATTGTGACACGTTAAACGGGGCTCCCCTGCATAATGTGATCCCTGTCTTTAGGAATAGCGCTTTGCTCCCATGTTAATACATTCTGGAAATTGCTCAAGAGGCAGCTTTGGCATTAGAATAGCAACTTTCAAAGCAGTGAACGTCAGCACTTCTATTTCTCCTTCTTTTTGGCGTGCATTACATGAAGCTGGAAGGACTAATTGGCTAAATGAAGGGACTCAGTGTCGCAGAGTTGAAATCCTGGCATGTAAATGGAGAGGTGGGGAGAGACTTTGCATGCATATCTATATGGCCTCCCTTTGTGAATTATCATAATAGAAATGGTTCTGCCCCTTCTCTAGTTTCCCTGCGAGATGAGTTGGGGTGTGAAGTGCATGGCACAGAAATTCACCATGCTTTGTATCTATGATTACTTGTGTCTGTGTGCATCTTTTCCACTCCTAAATTGCATGTTTACCCAAAGTTGCTGAATAATACATTGTTTCAAAAGATGTGTCCCTGAATTAAGGTTGTTATGTGACAATTATAATATGACCGTGTACAGCTGCTAACAACTGTAAAGAAAAATAAAATCAGTAAGTGGCATTTTCAAAAGCAAACAAGGAAATCGCTTATTTGTTTTATAGGTGTTAGATTTACTTCCTTGACCTCTGCCAAGCATTGATAAAGACTGGTCAATAATGGGATCAAACAGTTCACATGAGGTTGGTTCCCTATGACCGTAGTCAACTTAGCATGTGGGATGGCTCAGTCATTGAATCATACACATACATTTTATGAAAGAGTATTTCAAGATAAGCTCTACAGATCATTTTTAACTTTTATGAGATGCCAAAGCCTAGAACTCTTCTGGTTCACCTGTCCTGCCCTCTAGTAGCATGTTAACTAAATTGTCACAGATAAATAGGGATCAAATGTATTTCATAAAACTTACACTGGAACATCAGAGTATTTCATATGAGGATTTAACATCTCCTGAAGTATGTAATAATTTTATAACTCAACTCAATCCCTCATACTTCATAAACCCCCTTTTTAAATGTTTAATCTGAGTTATAGGTAAGGAACATCTATTAACACATCATCTTACTAATGACCATTATCAAATTATCTCTTTAATATTTTGGGCAAACAAGGAAGGAAGGTTCTTTGGCCTTTGCTCTGAACCCTTGCTAAGCTTTCCCCATTTCCATTAAGTATGGAACTTTGAATTCCAAGGTATAAAACACAGGGTGAATGTAAGTCATCCACTTCTTTGTTAACTTTTGTTAACTTCTTTGTTAACTTTTATAAGCATTTTATTTGTAAAGCACATTTTATGCTTAGTTAAGTCTATGAGAGCTGAGCCTGACACACCAGAGTGATGTTCTGTAGTATAAACTCCTTACAGACTAATAATTGTTGATCAGTGAGAAAGTCATTTGAGCTCACTAGGTACCATTGTACAAAATTTTGTGGTTAAAGAGTGTTCCATGGAAGCTTGACAGTGAAAGAGGGAGTTAGTGGCTCAACTGAAAGCTCAGTGAAGTTTAGACATTGGTTAAATCAAATTTGAGAATGCCATATTTGATTTAAAGATTAAATATTAAAATGTTGCCCTTTGATTATGGGAGAAAAGGGCTTGCCTGGGGAAGAACATGGGTAGAGCTAGGCCCTTACTGCCAAATGATGGAAAATACCCTTTCCATGTTGCCTTCTACCCAGGAGGGGTGAAGTAGACTTTGACTACTTTGCCAATCATTGGTCATGCTGCTGTAAAGGTAAAGGTGACTGACCCAAAATATATATAACACCATTTTTTTCAGTAGCTTATGATATAATTTCATCTCATCCATCAATAAATAAGAACACACAGGTGTCATTCTCCCCAAATGAGAAATGGAAAAATTGAGGCTCTGTAAGGTTCAGTACCTTGCTTAGTGTTACCTAAATAATCAGCGGTTACATCAAAACCAGAACTAAGTTTGATGTCTAGAAGCTACAGAATGTAATTTTCAGGACCAAGTGGAACAAGTTATGTTCAGTTTGATTTTAATGCATTTCAGAATCTGGACAACATCTTACAAAATGTCTGATTATATCCTATTTTTTCTGTAGATTTCTAGAAAGGGAATTACAATTGGGGGTGCAGGGTAAATCTATTTTCTGACAGTGGTATGCCTTTGCTCTTACAATCTTATCAGCTGAATTGAGGGAAAATTCATATTCCATGTCAAATTCATGTAAGGCGGGTAACGTCCGGTTGCAGTATATTCACAAAATATACTTTCTTGCTGTGTGTTCATAAAGTCCTACTTCACAGCCACAAGGTTTGTAGATCTTTGACACAAGAGAAGTGGCAGCAACAACTCCAAAGGGGACTGTGTCCTTTGTTGTCTAAGAGTGGCTTCTAGGTGAGCTTTGAATCCCATTGTGAGAATTCCAGGAGTGTGGAACAAAATAGGAAAGCTATAGACTGAGCAGACGATGTAGTGGTCTAAGTAAAATGTAGTTAGTCTTTCATTTCTCTTCATTTTACCCTCTATCATGCCGTAGTGAGACAGAAGAGCTGATTTAAATAGTGAAAGAATTCTTCTAAACTTCATCTACTTGTGTGTTCAACGGGGCTGGAGGGAGGCTATAAAAGAAAGTCATGGAACAGAGCTATACTTGTGCTTGTTTCATGCCTTGTAGCAGATTAGTCTTTGGGGCCATTCCATGGGAGATTGCACTAAGATACAGCCCGAAACAAAGTGATGTTGAGTGAGAGGGAGAGACAGGGTGGTGTCAACCAGATGAGGGACACTGGAGGAGAGGGAATATTTTCCCTGAAAGGCTCACCACCCACGCAGAGTTAAAAAAAAAAAAAATCTGTAGTCTTAAAATGACTTTAATGTCTTATTTTTTCCTTCACCAGGAAATTAACATTCAGAAAGTTATGTTTTTGAATGTGTCCTGATGTATGTCTAAATCAGGAGTACATTTTTATGGCTAGGTTATAAACCCATCATAATAGTGAGGGGTTAAAATGGAATGCCTTCAAAAGATAACCTATACCTACTGCAGGCTTGAAACTCGATTAGCCCAGCTATTAAAACCAGGAGGACAAACTGTTTCTTCCCTGGATTCAAAAGCTGTTAGGCTACGGCATGACCCAGTACAAAAGTTTTCTGAATCTCTCTCCACTTTACAAAACGTCGGCTCATTGCTGCCGTCTGCAGTGAAGCTGTTTACAGCTCTGTGCTAAGTGGAAAGTTCAAATCAATTATTGTCCATTAGAGTTTAGGTATAACTGATGAAATATCCCCAGAGGAGTATTGTAAATGTATCAAGACGTCCTTCCCCATTATAGAAATGGGGACGCATAGTGAATTACTTACCTTCTCTCTTACCCTTAATGCCTCTGAAAGGCTGCTGGGCAGACAGAGCTCATCTTGTCTTGCTGGGCTTTAAAGTGAGAACTTTACCATTTGGTGAACATGCATAGTGAGCTGGCAAAAAGTAAATTTCAACTCTCTAGACTATCCTGTGGACATAAAGGTCTAAGAAACAAAAGATAGGAAAAGCCCTAAGAATTGATTAAAGCCAAAACCCACAAGTTCCCTGGTAATCAAGATATTTTAGAAATATAAGCTTCTTATTAACAATCAAATGAGAAAAGCTTTGACTCCAAGTCTTTAGCAAATGATGGTATGGTTTAATGCCAAATAATTTGTGCTAGGCTACTTTCTTTCATAAAACTGGTTCTCTAGATTTGTCTGTATCTGGCTTCAGCAGGACAGAAAAGGAGACCCACTGACTTCTCAAGTGCAAGAGAGATAGTTCTAATTTTCCAGAATCTGTTATTCAGTTATAGAGTCTAATAGTGACTTCCACCTCATAAAGGCCAGAACTGAGAGGAAGAAGAGGGTCTTATTTGTAATCTTCTATAACATGAGATGGAATAGAAGGCATTTTACTTCCTTTTAGAGTTGTCTTTACTTATTCCCTTTCCCTAGTTGTGCCCCAGAGCAATCCCTGTGCCCTAGAGACCCTAAGGCTGAAATGCACAGGGACTTGTCTTGACATGGGAAAGACTGGATAGTATTCTTCAGAGTGCTATGATTTTTCAAAAACCAGAGAAGAGTCAGACAAAAGTCAAGGAGACATCATTCTCCTGTATCAACCTTTCCTTCCTGTATGTGCACAGGCGGGCAAGACACCTTTTTATTCGTTCAGCTCCAATGGGTGCCCTACAGGGAAGCACTGGAACATAATTCCAACCCAGACTGCCAGTCGCAATGGGGATAAGAAGCATCTTTAAAATGCAACACTGATTTCTTTGTGTTTCTTTAACACCAAGGATAACTCCAAGGATGTTTCTTTCTGCTGACAGCTCTGTCCGTGGTGCTAAGTAGGAAATTGGCTGTATTTCCTCCTTTTGGCCCATACTGCTTACCCCCAGCTCTCCTGGGCTTCCCCATATCTATCTATAGAGATGCTAATTGCTATACAGTAAATCTAGTTGAGATGAAAACAATGCTTCCAGGATATTTATCAAGTTAGATTTTCTTCTAGATCACTCAGGTAATGAGAGTTTTCATGTTGCTTTGTAGCTCTATCTAGATAAGTCTGTTGCTCTTTTTAAGTTTACAAGGAGAAGTCCATTGGGACCTACCTTTCATTACTAAACCAATACTTTTTTACCAAATTATGTACTGTAAAAACTGTCACTAACTCAGAGAGCGATCTGGGCCATGCCCACCCAGTTCCCCTCCCCTCAAGTGTACATCTACTCACATATCACCAGCTTCGAACAATTTATGATATTTAAAGATTTAGCCAATTTATTTCCCACATTCATAATAAGGGCCATTGCCCTGGTGCACTCAGCATGCACACGGTATGTTTCTCTTCTTTCGGATTTCATTTATTCTCTTTGGTATGTCAGTTGTTTTGGCAACGTAGATTGTATAATTGTTTCCTCTTGGTGTTTTAGGAGAATTATTTTATATGCTAAGTGTGAGACTAAAACTTAGTGATTAAAGTCTAAATCCTGTAAAATAATTAAAATTATACAAAGAGGATGGCCTTCAGATTTGTCCTGTGTCTTAATGACAAAATGCCAAAGAACTGTACAGGTCCCTATCTTTCTTCATTGGGAGTACAGCATCTGGGTGCTACACTTGAAAAGCAGCCTCAATGTGACAGCATTAAATATATACCCACAGTACCAAATGTGTGTTTAGAGTTATTTTCCTGCCCTATTACTATGTGTTTAGTCAGTCCTTTCTCAAATCAGCTTCCCTGTTCTGAAACCCATTTTGCTTGCCCTCTTCTGACTACCAGCCAGCACACCCATAGACTGCTAATACGCTTGCTCAGAGTTAAGGAGCAGTCCTGGTTTTCAAGTTTCTTGTAGCCATTATTTGTGTTCCAAATTATGTTACTGTGTCTGTATTAATTTTATGTTTCTGAAAGTGAACTCCGTGTATTTCAAGGCAGCACGGTTTCTTTTTTGTATTTTCCAGGGAACTGGTGTTTTTAATGTCATGTGAGGACAACATTACACAATGGATCTTTGGCAGGGATACACAGAAATGAATACCGTGTGCGAACAAACATTAAATGGCAGTCTTAATTACAGAGTTTGATTCTGTTGTTTTTAATGCCCTTCAATTTTATAATTTGATGGAAAATGCATCAACACAGCTATTTTCTTTCTACCCTAAATGATTAAAGATTGATATACCCCCAAACCAGTAGCTTGTTAGATCTGGTTAATCAGGTAGGTCTTACATTTCATCCACTAGAGGGCAGTAGGGATACACATCCACAGCAACCAATATGTGCAACATATGGTCGATGTGGAAACATAGTAGCCATAGCTTTCCTGTGTATGAAAAATTCCCATTACAGTGTTGCTTCACTTATAATTATATTGAAAGTAAACACTAATTCACAGACGGACTACGCATATTTTATTTCAACATACCCCACTAGTGTTTTGTCTATTCTACTTTAAAATGCCCTGAGTAATGAAACTTCTACTACTTCCCTTGGGAAACTGTATCAAAACCCAACTGTTCTCACTGCTTGATTTTTTTTTTTTTAATATACTCAAGATCTATTAGTCTTTCTTCTAGTTCATTTATAACTCTATTGAAATCTATTCCATTTTTTCTTATGATAAGGCTAGTTTCATTCTGGAAAGCAAATGTTTATTGAGAGCCTATTGTGTGTAAGATATCACTAAGTGAATGTATGGCCACAACTGACAAGGGTTGCAATACAGAATTTGAATAAATTTGCATGACTCAGAAAGCTAAAGAAGAAACTCTCCCAGGTCAAATGTCAGAAGAAAAGTTGGTCTCAGTTCTAAAATGAGTAATAGCCATAAGGCTGTCACAGCTTGGGGAAATGTTTAGTTGTACTTAGATTTCTGTATTGAAATTCAAAGGGCATCAGGAATGCTTGGTAACATCAGATAACACCTAAAGAATTGTGAGGTATGCAGCTAACACATCAGTGGGTTCATGCCAAGCAAATGACCTGGAAGTTTACTAATCAAGGTTGATCCTTCTTCCTTTCACAGCTGATGGCCAGATTAGCCTAGAAGTTTCAGAATCTATACTGAGAATCATTATATGCATTTATGAAGGATAGGAAATGGGTTAGTGAATTTACCCAAGGTGGGCGTACCTTGATTATGTTGCATTGTCTATTTTCTATCATCGACTTTTTGGGTCCAATCTTGGTCACTACACACACTACACAATGGGAAAGCGATCCAAGTTCATGTGCAATACTCTGGTTTGCATCATTAGTTTCTTGGCATATACTTTGATTATTAAGTATCTGAAGGGGAGGGTAGAAGAAATCCAAGCCAAGAAAGTTCCTTTAAGGCTAGAACTCACAATTACACACTTGTTTAAAAGTCCTTTTTTCCTTTACATTAAAGACAGAGCAAGATTTTTTGCTCTATTGAGTATATTCATCTGGAAGGATTTCCATAAGGCTGTCCTGATCACTAAGAGCAATTCCCAGATAGACGTGTATGCAAACAAGAACTGTTCAGACTCCAAGAGCAAAAATTGAACACTGCAGAAATTCCAGAAATGATACTACCTTTTATATTAACGTCCTTTGAGCCTCTGTAGGAAGTAAACTATTCTCCAGAGTTTTTGAAATAAAGCACTTTCTTTTGCCAATTAAGAGCGCAAGAATGTGGTTTCATAGACTGTGGTTTCATTTTCTTAAGGAAAATAGTAGGGACGGTTACAGAATCTTCGTGGAAGTCTACACAATACCATAACCCAGGTTTCTATCACAAACAAAGCTTAGATTTGAAATTTATGTCACCTGTAATAAAGTCCACATGAGTGTTTTCTGTGGAAGTAATTAAGTGCAAATGTGCAACAGCCATTTTTGTGTTTTTGTTTGTTTCAAAATACCAGAGGTGATTAGGCCATATTATGAACTAATTACTTACTTAATTTATTTAAGTTGAAACGAGTTTTTGAGTTATACGAGGGCCAGAAACAAGAACTCGTTAATCCATTCTGCACATCACTGAAAAGAACAAAACAAAGAAGTTAACGCCTTTATTTTATTATGTTACAACACACTAATATTTTGAACACTGATGAGGACCCAAGTGGTCAAAACATCTGTATTTGGTAAGAAAATAAAACAAACTCTTTTTTTCCACCACCATTTGGTTCTTTCAGTGGTGTGCTGAAATTCAGAATGAATCACCAAAGGTATTAAAATGGTGTGTCCTTTTTAGTACATTTTCCTATGGCATTTAAAAGATTCTTCAAACATATTTGAAAATAGTAAATAAATGACCTACAAAACTCAATATTTTCTTAAATTTGGAAGTAAACCACATTCATTCCTGGGCTTGGGACTCTATACACCAAGTTTCAAACCGGAGCATATTTTGGTATTTTGATAGTTGAGTTATAACCCCCTGAAAAGAGGGACTGATTATGTGCAGTAAGGACAGCTGCCCATGGAGCTGCAGCTGAGCTGCTAAAATAAAGCTAGTGTTTACCTGTCGCTGCTGACCAAGAGATGTGAGACTCAGTAGATCTGTTCTGTAGACCCTAAGAGAAGCTCTGTCAGCACTCTGCGATTGAGTTTCACCGTCTGCGTCTATACTTAGCCAGCTTCTAGAAGGGGAGAAAGTGGGGGATACAATACACTCATGGAAGCAAAACCAAAACAAAACAAAACCCTGTATGTTGCAAGCAAATTGAAAATGTCAGAGAATATTTATGATCCAAGGTTACTTGTTCTAATGTTTGATTCTTTATCTTCCAGGTTCTAATCCCTCTATTTAGTTAGTTGTTTTTTTTTTTTTTTTTAAGTATTGCTAAGGAATTGAAATTATCATATGTCTGACCACAATGATCAGGTGGTTGATATTATTAAGTGTCTCAATTTTTATTTTCACAAGTTCTTTTATGACTTGATTCTCATTATCTAAAGCAAAATTCTGGCATGTGATTGCCACCTAAATCCCTGGGTGTACCATACGTGGGCAAATTCTATGCTCAACTATAGTATTTACAAAGAGGTAGTGGCTCAATCTGTAATACTGGCTAAGTCATTTCCCACCCCTGTAGGAGATGGGGTGACTGCAATGGAAGCAGACTTCTGTTTTTCCATGTGAAAAGTGAAGAGGAAAAAAATATCTGTAATTTTCATATCCCAACTGAATGTTGTAGGGATTTGATGAGCTATTTATGCAATCTTAAAATCAGGGAATTCTCTCAGGATTGGTTATCTCTTTTGGGAAGAGGCTACTGGCAAGAACACTTTCAGGTGATTCAAAGAGTCTGAATAGTAAGATTGTTCTTGTAGCACAACTACTATATGGTGATACCACTGACTCAATGTCAGTGAGACCCACGTTTTAAGTTATTTCGCCCAGGAGTTCAGATGCATTAGTATCAAGCCCCGTGCTCTCTCTTGGCCCCACTCCATTTAACCCTAAATTAGAATCCTTGACTATGAAATAGAGTTTTTCTCTATTCCAAGACATTTATTCATTGAGCAAATATTTATTAAGTACTATGTGCAAAGTATTATATCAGGCCATCTGATTTATATGAAAACTGAATCTCTAATGTTAACCTTATTAAACCTATGTTCTAACCGAGTAAGCCAGCCAAACAAGACACAAAATCAGAACTTTAGATTTGAAAGGAGTCCCACACTTTACAGGTGAAGGCATTTAGGCCTAGACAGTGTAGTGATTTTGTACCACCCAACACATCAAATTTGTATCAAGAGCCAGAAGCAGAGTTCAAAGCTGCTGGTCATCAGTCGAAGATGTCTTCCATCCCTATATGCCCCTTCATCAAGTTTTTCTCTGAATCTAGACAGTCATTTCTGACATTTTTCTCTTACTCTCTTTCTTCTTTGGCACTGATAGTTCCTTTAGTTCAGTTAACAATGACATAGCTTTACCAGGTTCAGCAGTGCCACATCCCTATGCCTTGTTTGCAGCGAGATTGTCACATTGGTGTTGAGGGAATGTAAGGAAATTCTGCTTAGAGGATTATTTTGACCTTGTCCTAATGATATCAAACCACATTGATTTTTCATTAGCCAGTGAGAGTCACTATTTGGTCACTATTTGGGTGGTCCCTAGCCAAGGGAACATTTGTGAAAGCTATGAGTTGCCAGTGTTACAGAAACCCATTACATCTGTGGTTAAAATCCTGGGTGGGTGCGGGGGGGCGGCAGAGAAAGGGGAGCAAAAATATACAAAAGGAAAGGGAAGAGAACCCCAGAGAAAGGAGTATAGATGACTTTACT
The DNA here is from genome assembly GCF_000001405.40 of Homo sapiens. NCBI lineage: Eukaryota > Metazoa > Chordata > Mammalia > Primates > Hominidae > Homo > Homo sapiens. Next base: position 114,414,867 of record NC_000003.12, on the reverse strand, counting down.
TTTACCTAGACTTTTAATAAAACTCACAAATAGCTCCTATTCACATGTAAACATATATAATAATTTTATATAAAATATATAGTATTTTATATACTATCATATAGCATTTTATATTTTATATATTTTATAATTATATTTTATATATTTTATATAAATATATAGTATTTTATGTATTCGTTGTTTCATATAAAAATAACTTTTCCCATTTTACAAGGATAGAAATTAAGATACAGGTATTTTGTATTATATTTCAAGGCCACAAATAATTTTGAAAGGTTTGTTACTTTTGTTATGAGGGACACAGAGCTCCTAAGATATGTTATCACAGCCTTTAGGCTAGCAACACTCTTGCATTACACAATCTCCTATTACTAAACTTAAATTTTCTTCAAAATGTGGAGAAACAAAGCTCATTCAGATTAAATTAGAGTCTGGGAAAGTAAACTCCGGATTCTTCTCTAATGTTTCTTCTCCTCATCGTGCTTCTCCCCCAACCCAGCTATTTCTTGTGTTTCTCATCTTCCATTTTGATATCCCATTCAACATTAGAGTCACCAAAGCAAGGAGGTTGTTGGAATTCATCATATTCATTCACTTCTTGGATATTACTTCTATTGTAGTACCTGAGTTTAGATTAGGAAAACTAAGAATGAGTCTTTAGATTAGTTGATAGAGAAGAGTTTCTGTTAATATACATTATAGTCTGAGGTACTCTATAATAATCCATAGCAGCATGCCTTTTACCTCCTCGTGATCTGTTTGCTTCTTTTGTTCCCTCTTAATGAGAGCTGGAGACATCTTTAATGTAAAGCCATAGATGAGCACATGATTTGATGACAAGAAGCTACTGCACACACAGTTTAGATATCAAGGCAAATGAAGAGCAAGACTTCATATCGCTTTAACAGGTTAAATTAGTCATCTTAAGCTGTTAATACATCAGGCTACTGGGCAGAAAACAGCAGCAGTGTGGTAGCAGAGCTTCAGAAGTAGATAATCCTAAATTCAAATCCCAAATCTGCCATTTACCAGCTGTGTGACCTTTGTTAATTTACTTTTCGTCTCTGAACTTCCCTGATCCTTACTTCTCTCATCTGTAATATGGAGATGATAATAGTTGCTGCAGAGAAGGAGTGGCATAATACAGCTTAGGTAATGTGACATATGTGACTGCAGGTTCAAGAATTTGTGCACCTTCTGGCCCCAGCAGGCTTAATATCAGCACTATAGTTAGTCCCTACTTTCTTACAAGCATGTGATTATAAGAAAAGCCCCTCTGGTTCAGGCTTATGGTCCTTTCAGTTCAGCATTCATTTTCTGATCACAGGGACAGGAAACTGTTATATAAGACACAATTGTCCTTGTTGCTAACTTAAAGAATTAGAGTTATTTTCCTCCAGATAGCCTAGTTTCTCTGAATAACCCACTATGGACTTATCCATGAATTTAGCTAAACCTTTGTGATACTATTTATGTCATCGACCTTTAATGAATTTTATAAGTTGATTGCCTACTGTGTAAAGTAGTTCTTTAGTTTGTCATAAATTGTTTCTTTTGAAAAGTAGTAAGATGACTTCCAGTTCACGTATACTAGAATTTGAAAAAGAAATCCATAGTCAGTTTCCCAGACCTTTTGTTTCTTTATAGACATTTACCATATCCTTGCCTGGATTTTATCATTATAAATAGAAATCTTCATCTTATGTCATGATTATTTTAATTAATACTGAACGTTCTCCTATTCTTTTTATTTATTTATTTTTTGAAGTACTTCATCCAGAAAGTATCCCACCCATGAGTTGCCGTTACCTTTTACTAGAGCTGATCGTAATTTAACTCTCCCCTTCCTCTATCAAAATTACACTCTATGCTCTGGGCTCAAAACAGAATGATCTTAGTGTGACTGCAATTGTATTTAAGCCAAAGTTCAGCTTAGAAACAGCTGGCAAAATGTTCAACAAACTGGACCATAGAGGAAGAATCATAACAAAAAGATGTGATTCCGTTTGTAGCAAAGGGAGAAACTTGTCTTAAGGAAAAGCTAGAGACTGAAGTTTTTGCTCATTTTGGATATCCTAAAGAAGAAGTAGAAGGCGATGTTTTCTGAGCCAATTTGTTCCACTAAAAGTGACCAGAATCAAGTCTAGGTTGGGCTGGCTGCCCTAGGTTGCAGTTAGAGGTTGGGGCTACTGTTTTGACAATGGCAGCAGAAATCTGTGACCAAAAAAAGCCTAAAACTGCTTGCCTCTGTGCTAGCATCGCTAGCATGAAGTAAGATTTGAACTTTAAATGACTCATTATGAGTGGGTGGCAACCTACTGTGGAGTTAGTCTATGAACCCAAGGTCAGCATCCCGGTGAGAAATCCCTTCAGGTTTGAGTGAGCGATACACCCAGTCACACTGAGATGGGAGATCCTTGTCCTCTTCAGCTTTGTCAGAGCATTCCCTGCTTTGTTTCCAATCCTATTTCTGAGGATATTTGGCACACTGCTTGGCTCACACTTGGCACCACTGTCTTCAGAAAATAAATGTCTTACATTTGTACAGTGCTTTATAGAACACTTTCACATAGATTGTCTCAGTTGATCCTCACAACTCTATGGTAACTGTTCATGTTCCCATTTTATGGATGAGGAAAACTGATTGAATTACTTGTGCAAATGGTGTTAGTAAGTTGTAGAGCAGGGACTGGCCTTATGATACTAAGTCTATGTCCTTTCCATGTCACCGCCACAAAGATAGCCAGGTCATTTCTGGACATCTTCCTGAAAATATACCTTGTTTCATTTTCCCCTGAATGTACTGCATTATACTTGCTTGTACTGAAGTTGCCCTGACCTCTTGTGGATGACAGCAAGCCTCATGAGATCATCCTGCAGACTTCGCCTTTTAATACCCCGAATACTAATAACACAATGTTCTACAACTTCCATATCATGTGGAGATGTTCCGTAAGCCTAGCACCAACCTTGCATCTGGACATTCAGTCTCAGAAGAGGTCATTTATCCCAAACTTTTCTTCTTTTTGTAAACTTTCCATATTAAAATCGTCCTTCCACTCCTTAATTTAAATGTGCTTCAATATTATTTTAACAAACTCAGTAGCATCTGTACCTTACATCTTTCTGTACCCTTCCCTCCCTTGTGAGGGAAGAATCCCTGAATGATCCTAGTAAGTTCTGAAAAGCCTTAGCAGGGTAGATAATGGGTAAAGATCATTGTATTTCAGCTCCCTGATCCATTACACCCCTGCCTTTCACCAGCATGCAGAGCGTTGTGTTTTTTTCTAACAGAATAAATTAAATATGAAAGAGAAGGACTAATGTAATTCAAATAAACATGTTAATGACCCTATTTTTCCATTTGGTAACTAGACCGGATGTGGTGGAATGCCAGTTTTTTACTGAGCCTGTAATTTAAAACTTTCAACAAGGACACTTTTTTTCCCTTTTATTTCCATCCTCCATTCCCACCCGCTTTTATTCTTACAGACACTCCTTACTGTCCAATTAGTTTTGGAACATGAAAACTGTCCTCACTGATGCCTGGAGCCATGGGGGACCTGGGATGGTTTCTCTCTGTGGAATGGCTTGTAAGAATCCAGTTTTACTGGTGATGACCCTGCCAGAGCTCTGTGCTGTTGAAGGGTGTGGGGAAGGAGGTGACTGGTGCATCCTGCACCTCCTCTGCACCCCCACTTTGTGTATTTTTGATATTTTGCATGTACATGTTTGCTGTTCTAGGCAGCACTTCAGCATTCAGATTTGGGAATAGAAGAGCTCTCAGTTTGCTTTTAACCCTGTAAGTAGCCATCCATCCCAGCTACATTTTTTATGAGTCAAAGCCATGTTTTAAGAGCTTGTTATCATCCAAACTAAAACCCTCACTAACTCGATGTGTCCCTGGATGACTCCCTAGTTTATTTCTTCCCTTCCCTCCACTAAGTCAGTTGTCTCCCTATGCACCCCAGGAGTAGCCATTTTCCACAGCGGCCACCACCTCTCCTCCAGAAAATGGGCGGCTCAAAATGGAGCCCTTCCTCTCCTCCGGACCTCAAATCTGCCACCTGTCTGCTCCATTCATCATTAGTTAGCTATAGAGCCTGATTTTTCTCCAAACTGTATGTATTTAATCCCTGATTTCTTCCTCACCCCCACGATGTGACATCCTTTCAGCATTTTACCTGCTGGAACCAGCGCTCTCTTGTTTCTTTTACTGTGGTCACTTGCTAGAGTTTGAAGGAAAACTTTTTGATGTGAACACATTTCAGTTTTTTTCCAATTTACACTGGAGAGAGGAATGAAGGGGAGAGGGGGCTCTGGCCCTGTTACTTCCTGTTTGTTTTTGTTCTGGAGAATGCAGACCATCTGTGTCTCTCAGAAGCTATTCTTCTACAGCCACCGTGCTGAGGCTGATATTTAATTTCTTAGTTTTTCCCTCGTTTCTCTCTAATGTCCTTTTCCTCTTCCAAAAACTCCTAAGCCCCTCATTAAATCTTTCTTCCTGAATTTTCTTATCTTAATAGTACCTCTGGATACGGTTCTGTCCCCATTAAGGCCAGAATTTCAAATTAAGTAAATGATAATTGGAGAGAGAAAACAGGAGAGAAGGGAACAAGGAATCAGTAAGCAAACAGAAAAAAAAAAAGTGGGTTGACTTTTTAAACATGGAGTTCGCTGATTCTCAGAGCCACTTCCCATGTCCTGGCATCCATTGTTCAGCTGATGTCTCACCTGTTAGATGGACCTTGTCTTTCTCAGAAGAAACATCTGCTGGATGTTGGGTCTCTCTCTGAGTTGCCTGAGAAGGTCCCTCCCTAATTTATTTTTCCTGCCACCCAGACTTCGATAAAGGCTATACTTTCTCATGATAATCAAGATGGTTATTTTCTAGAACTAGTAGAGATATTCTCCCTCTTCTGAGAGCTGCCTGATGAATCCCAACATATAGTCACCCTATATAAAAGTCCTATTTTCTTTCTGTTTCTTTTACATGCAATTTCACTAAACAAAGTCTCTAAACAACTAGGTCCTCTTTCAGTAGATAATTCTATAACTTATGAAATTTCAAGTGTTTCATAAGAAGCATCTTTCTGAGGCACATCTTCATTTCAGATGTCATTGCAGTTTAGGACACAATATTTCCCTCATTTGTGTTTTTTAAAAAACATAGCTTTGATTTTTTTTTATTCTTAAGGTCAGAATTAAAAAGCTAAATGAATTCCAGGCTTCAAACTCCCAGAATTATAGCTGGTTCAAGCCTAAAATGTGCTATATCAACTGTCTACGGGGGAAGTGCCGAGTAGTTGTGGCCTTCGTGGAGTGTTTTTTGGAGCTCTCGCCTGTCCCCCACCCCCTTCCTTCAGCTGCTTCTGTTTGTTCCTGCTGTAGTGCCTTCAGCCATGAACATACCGTTTAATCAGTGGTGTATTAAAATGGACCTGTACAGTCAGCAATAGCTAGGCCAAAATCGATTGGCTATTTTTAAAAGGAAAAAAGGAAGATAGAAAATTGCTCTTTTAATCTAGGTAAATCAAATCGTGCCTGCTTGCTTTCCACCTGTAGCTAAGTGTAGGCAAGAGCATTCTGATTGATGACAGTGTTTCTTTGTGCTTCTTTATTCATGCTTATCCACTTGGGGTAAAAGCACCAGGGTATCTTCAGAACGGAGTTTTCACATTCACGTCAGAAAGCTTGTGCTCTTTTTCTCTCAGAAAAAAAAAAAAAAAAAAAAAAAAAAAAGTCTTCCCTTTTTCCCCCTCTTAGAAGATTTGAATAAAAGCAGAGTACGTTCAACCTTTTCTGCCTTTTTGGTTTTTTCCTGCCATGAAATCATATCTGACTGTGACATCACAGTGTGTTGCTTTGGGCAGCTTTGTGATGTATGAAGGCGAGGACCTTAATTGGGTTAACAGAGCACACCAGGAGCGGACGGCGGACGAGCGCTGCTCTCCCACTAGGCAGTTCTTTGCTCCAGGCAGTGTGAGAGAATCAGAGACCAGCTAGAGAGGAGCTCCTTCTCCCGGGGATTTTTAACTCTGAGGCTTTGTCTTCTTTTAGTGTATTACTAACCAATGAAAGTAATTTTTAAAAGAAAAAGTATATAAATGTGCTTTGTTTTTAAACTGCAAAAAATTGGGGGTGGGGGTGGAATGTGCTGGCAGGTTTGTTCTGTAGCATTGATTTGTGACCAACAAAGGAAATGTCTACTTGTGAGACACAAATCAATGCAACCAGACTGCGAAAGTGCAAACAGAGATGTGAGAAAATTATTCAATCGTTAGTCTTCTATGGAATTTAAAAACATTGAATCTTTCGATTGTTCCAATACAAAAAAAAAAATCACTAGAAGAAAGGAAGGGAGGGTATGAGGACTTGTTCTAATTTCGTCAAAGGTTTTCTCTCGTGATTATGGAAAGGTCCGGCAAAGCTATAAGATTCCTAAACATTAGCAATGTTGTGAATGATTTTCAGAACTCATCAACCATGTCCTCAGATGCTGTCAACAGCAAAGTTGTGGAAAACTGGTAGAAGACAAGTTTATGCCTGAACTTCTGCTTTAGTCTGCAGTAACCTTGGCTGCTGTAAACTGAAGTTTCTTGCAAATTCTCTGTATCCAGAAATAATCCATAACAAGCAAACTCAGTACTTACATAGTATTTTTTATCATATAAGCATGCTACAAAAATTAACAAATAGATTACATGGGTAAAAACGTAACTCTAGAAAGCTAAAGAAGTTTATTTTGTAAAATTTCATCAGTTCAAATAAACTGGGAGACAGACGACTAGAATGAGCTGAAAACGTGATCATGGAATATTTCCATGTACTTTGAACTGAGATTTCTAAGTTTTAACAGATAGAGTTTCTTCAGCACTAACTTCAAAATAAATAAGAATTTTCAGTAACTTATCAGATGTGTGTATGTTAAAGTAGTTAAAGATGTTTCCCCCCCCTCATATAGGTTACATTTGGTTTCCCCCATCCTTCCTCCCAACAGTTTTAAGGTTATTAGTTTGCTTAGAAATCCTATTTTCAGAGGTAATAAAAAGGCAAATTTCGATACAATCCCTATCCTATCACAGATTGCGAATTATTCTGACTTCTCCTTTTGGAGAAGAGGAAAAAAGATGATCAGATGTTACTTCTCTGAACACTGAAAATTAATGTAAATAACTTCACAGTTTTTAATGTTTTCCCAGTGTCTAGTCAGGCCAGAGTTCCCATTAGCAGTCCAGGGAAGTTTTCTAACTTGACTGTATATTTTTGCCTCCATCACTATGATGAAGTCAGTTACCAAGACTCTCTCACCTTATCCTAAAAATGTGCTATTTCTTTACTTCCCAATTGTCATTATGTTAGTTACATTGCTGGAGGAAATCAAGGGAGTGAAATATAATGGATCAGAGACCTATCAAGTAAAGTAATCAAGAATGGATTTCTGGACAACCCTGTTTAAAATAAGAAGCCTTGCAATAAAAGTGCATAAATGTTTCACTCTGTGTTACACAATAATACCTCAAAATCCACTTTCTGGTAGTTCAGATCTCTGAGTTACAACCCTGAGCAAAGAAGTAACTGAAGACCTTCAAGTGTCCAAATGAGTTTCCCCCAAATCTTCTACCAAACCCTGCATTCAAGCAGTATTGTCTCTACAGTTCTTATTTATTTGATTTTCTAATCCAAAGCACATTAGAAAATACATTTAGCAGAGAGGATTTAGAGGCGATGGGTCTGAAAAACTGGGACAGTGACGCCAGTTGGCTATGGCAGTGGCTAGTGGGCTATAGCTCAGTCTGTGGCCGTTAGGCTGAGCCAAGGGATGAGGCCAGTTCTCACCACAAGTAAGAAAAGTGTATTCCTGTAAAACAGGAACAATGAATAGTCACAAGGATGACCCTGTATCATAGAAAAAAATTAAATTACATCAACATACTGTGTTTAAGAAAACAAAGATATGTAAAAGTTTTCTATGAAAAACATGTGTAGAATATATTTTACTGCTTAAAAAGGCAAGTTTATGTCATTAAAAAACATTTTAAAATATATGGAACATTTTATTCCTCAATATAGCTTGCTTTTTTATATCCTTTTTCAGTTTGAAAAAATATAGGGATTGTTTTGTAGTAGTGACTCTACAAACCTGTCTAGCCAAAACTACTCAGTACAAACACCTTAGAAGGAGTACAAACACCTTAGAAGGAAGGATGTTTATTCTTGAATATTTTAAGTCCAGGTCTCTTAAAATAAAGATGTTCTTTTTCATTGATCTTAGTTATATAATGTATGTTGTCATCTCGAGTAAGGCGCAGTTGCTCATATTTAGCTGGTTTACTTTGTAATGCGTCATTATAAGTGACCAAAAACATGGTACAGGAAGTTGTTTGTGTGTTTTTTCATTGCTTATGCAACTTCCAAGCAGAAAATGTTCTTGAGACCAGATGGTAAAGAACAGTCAATTGCAAGTTCTATTCTCCAGATGTATTGATGTTTCATGTCTTCCTGAAGCCAGTTCAAACACACTTGTAAATTCAAGTCTTAATTTTAGTAACTCTTTCACTTCTGCTAGATCCTATTTCAAATGATAAAGAATTAGGCTAGAATATTTAATAACAGGATCTCTGAAGCCTGCTGTACTATAGAGTGGCAATGCCATGGTCATATAATTCAGTCGGATAAAAGTTCATTACATGTGCTTTTGGACGTATTTGGTCACTGTGCTACAATGACAGCTAAGTGTTTACAGTACCAAACGTCTTTTCAACTTTATCCTTTCCAAAAGTGCACTTTGTTAAGACAATTTTAAAAAATAACATTTACCCAGTGTTTCTACTTGGCATGTAGGGTTTTTTTTTTTAATCTGCTCAGCAATTTGGAAGTTTGCTTGGAACACAGATGAGTTAAGATAAAAAGCTGTTTTTTAAAAAAAAATGCCTCTAGTAAGTAAAAATGAAGATACTATATCTGAATGAATGTGAAAAGTTGTCCCTTTGTATATTTTTAAAGCTTCCTAAACTATCCCCAGTTCTCAGCCAAATGCAGCCTACCCAGATTGTCTTTAGGAAAGTAGCAATTCACAGAGATTTGCAGTTAGCCATGTATCAAACTACACTCTCTTTAGTCCCTGCTTACAGCTCCACCATTTTAGAATATGGTGAGATATGCCAGAGCCCTACCATCTGTTTAATGGGCTAATTATGTTTACCACATGCCTACTTCACAGGAATACCATGAGTGAGGTTGCCAAACATCATACAAATATATATGTTTGTATATATTGATATATAAATATACACATAAATAAAATTGTATACATATATAAAAGCATTCAGCATTTCTGAGTTTCATTCCATCTTTTACTCTCAAGATATATCATGGCCCATCCCTTAAACCCAGCCAGGTGTTGTCAGAGTTTGTGAAGCTGTTGATGATAAGACCGTCAGACTGAGAGGGATCCTCTAACTGAGAGATTTGGAGGAAGTGAAACTCAAATTGTATACACATTCCTATGTCTTCGCCATTTAGCTATGCCCCATGTTCTCTCTACTAAAATGTAGACATTTTAGCTTCATAATTAATGCAATTAAACTTTATGACACTGTATGTTGCTATATCCAATGACTAAACTTCTTTTAAGAAACAGAGGATCTCTTCTCCTTTATTGGAAAAAAAAAGTCAGACTGTTTTAACACAATTCCTCCCGTACATGGCTACAACTTTTCTCTTACATACCACAGCTTCTATATTGGGCTTGTTCTTAAAGCTAGGATTTTTTTTTTCCTCCTATGAGGACACTGCAACCCTTGAAAGTTTTTCTCTGGTATTCTCTGAGTGCTTCCTAGATACCTGGTTTCAGTGACTCCAGTTATCACAAGGACTAATTTTCACTTGCTATCCATGAAAATTTTCGCTGGGTCAAACTAAGTTGGGTCAAACTAAGCTGCTTCTTGGAAATGGGGCTTATGCTAGTCGTGAGTTGTGTCCAGAGGGAATTCTGAGCAGTAAAAGGAGGCAAACTGAGGGCATTCTAGGTGAAGGGAATTAAACCAGCAGAGAATCAGGGCACAGATGGAAAAGAGCGAGTCATGGGTAACCAGAGTGCCTAGTCAGGATATGATATAAGCTCCGGGTATTGGGTTTTCTGTGTAGCTCCTTTGTTTATGTAAAGCTAGCTCGGCAGGCTCTGGGCCTTCTTGGCTTTGAGGATGCACTGACCTGAGAGCTATGGGGAAAAATAGCCACGTCTGTACACCAGACTATAAAGCCAATATGTACCATTCTCTTTGAAAATGAAAGACAATAACATATGAAACTATTATTGATATAAGCTTTTATTTAGTCTTTTCTAAGATACCAGGGTATTTTTATGACCTGTTTTCTTCCCCTCGGCGTTAGGATGTTTTCTTATACTGCTTCAACTGAAGTAAATTATTCAAACAGAGCTGTTTTGTTTTATTTGTTTGTTTTTGTTTTTGCAGCTTTATGCTTACCAGGGACTTCATAAACAAGTTGAAAGAGAAAAAATAGCCAAGACATAAATATAGAAATAACCCAATCACATAAGCTTTCATGAGCATGGGTGAGGGCCTTGTGGGAAGGATGAGGAAAAATCTTTATTAGTACCAGAATGATCGTGATTACCTTAGGCATAAGTCTGATTTGAGAAGAGACACTGATATACAAAGAAAGGAAGGATTATTCCCCTATGATTTGTCCATGTGTACAAGGAAAAATAGCTTCAGTATTTACTATTTGACTTCTTGAGTCCAGAAACCTAATACTCACTGCAAACTGCATAGGCACGGAGCAGGAGAAAGCAAGTATTTACCAAAACAAGAGGAAAGAGGAATTACTCTTTCATCTCTTCTTACTTTAGAATCATCAAATGTTATTACTGGAAAGAATCTTAAAAACCATCTAATCTAACACTCCCACATTATATATGAGAAAAATGAGACTCGAGAGAAGTTTCATGACTTGCCCAAGGTCACACAACAGATTACAAACGTGGCTGGGGACCCACATATGATAAATAGGTGCCCTTCATTTCTTCAGTTTCTCCATAATCATTTTAGAGAATTATTTGACTTATCCCACCAATGTTGTTTTGTATATCTGGATTATCATCTGGCTTCTCAGTTAATTTTTTTGAAGTGAAGTTTGCTTTATAATAACTGCCAGATTCTATAGCTGATTCTAAAAATTAAAATGTGTTCTCAGACATATCCTGAGTGTTGTACAAATATGGAGACGCTCACTAGATCAACATGTATGCCTCCTTATTTTATATGAATCCTATAATACCTATAAACGTGGCCTGATCATATTAGACTCTTGAAGTTTCTAGAGTTCCAGATATTTGTTGGAGCATATAAATAGGTGAGAGCAGATTTACGCATTTACCCACTCTGAGTCCCTGAGACGTTCCTGAACTGCTGTGCCTTTGTAAGTCAGTTATTCCCACTGCTATCGATATCACCAGTTCCAATTATTACCAATATGGCCCATTACTACAGACTGATTTCTTACTAGGTTCAAAACCAGCTGTACTTGGTGTTTTACTGATATTTTGTTCAGTGTTAGAGGAGAAAGAACATGGTGAGAGTCTGGCATAGCCCAGCTCCCTTCTGTGAAGAAAGAGTCCATCACTGACAATAGACATTCAATAAGTGGTTATTTAAAGAGGTCGAAAAAAGCATCCACCATTTCTCTATTTCAAAATAATCAATCATTTAAAAATATTAACTACAAGCTTCTGATGCAATGTTGTGTGGTTTGTTGTGCCACATATGGTTATGATGATCTACACGTCAGCTACAATCCAGAAATACTCTCATTGTTACAATGCAAAATAATATAATCATCCACTTTTACATTTTAAATGTGTCTGGCCCACCAAGTCCTTGCTTAGGTGCCAGACACACCACTGTGAAGGAACTGTCTGACATAGTATCCTGAAATTTCGGGTAAGTATAATCATCTCCCAGATGCATAGAATAAGCCTGGTTTTTGAGGCAAAGAGAAGAGGCAAACCTCCTGCCCTTCCAGAAGTCAGAACCATTCAGCAATATATTCACAGTAGCTAGGGGGGAAAGCCTTTGTGAAGAAAACTGTTGTGTCTCATGGCTGTTTTTATTAAAACATTTAGTCCACCAGCTTTCCAACTCTACGAACAATTTAATTCACAAAGCACATGAAATAAGCAGAAGAATCTAGTCCCAACAGCCATGTTCCACCTCTGTGATCCTCGTCGTGAGTTAGGATGATTTAGTCGTCAAGATCCCTGCTGTTCTGTGCTTGGATATTTGTGAGGAAAACCTAGAATTCATCCCCTTTAGAAGCCATGTCCATATGGCATGCAGCAAAGACCATTAGAGAACAGTAGTAGGAGTTTTGTTATCAAATCCAGCCAGATTTGCAGATAGGAATACTGAGAAATTAGTATTTTTCCTTCCTCTTCTTCTCTCTTTTCCTTTTTAGCCTTTTTCTTTCTCCTGTTTGCTTCTTCAATTCAATACTCCTTTGTTTATGGATTTGGAGAGTACTCCAAAAGCAAATAAGCCAATCAAATCCTGTTTGGAGGGAGAACAGCCATTTTGACATATAACCATCTCATCACTCCTTTTTATATGCCTAAACAATTGAAGAGCATGTAGCATAGCCAGGTGCTGGTCCTCAAAGTGGGTGTGCCCTAAAACATTCTTTGGTTTGAACTAGTCTAGTCCACTGTTTCATGTTACTGAACAATCAAAAGAGAAAAGAAAGTTTTTCTTCTCTGGTTCTAGACCAAATGACTGGCAGGATGTGATTGCCATCTGTAATTTTCTGCGAAGTCCTTCCCCAGTCCAATTTACATGATATGTACAGCTACTTCACTCTGAGAATGCACACTCAAAAAATACAGCCTTTAAGTGATTTTTCCTAGCATGGGCAAGGTGAAGCAGTGAGGAAATGGACGTATATATGTTATACATTTATATTATTATTCCCCATAAACTTTTAAACTTCCTATCCAGCATTTGTATTTGTTCTCAAACAAATTGGTAGTTTAAAGAAAATCCTACCTTTGTGATTTTTCAAAAATCATTTTTCAGCCTCTCCTATTATTTTTTTTTATTTCAGTAGCCACCTTAATGGGTAGCTGAGTGGGGATCAAGTATAAAAAGACCTCATCATGTATTACAAGCCAGAGAGTGTACTCATGGGAAAAATGTAAGTCCTCAGATGGAAAGTCATCTCCGTCAAAGAAAGTGGCTCGGGCAAAAGTGCCTGACATTACATAGTCTGCATGGTGGAACACTGCAGCCATGTTTTCAGTTGCCTTTCACTCTCTGGAATTTTATGAAATGATCTCGGCCAAGAACCTTTGGAATATCACTCTCTGGTCAAACAAAAAAGAGGACAAAAAAAATCCTTTGAAAGTTGAAGCTAGTTGGTACAAGCTAGCAGACAATCCAGTGAAATTTTCACCCCACTCTGTTTTGGGGGTTTGGGGTTTTTATGCAGTATAAGAGTGTTAGAGAAGGTGTCTGTCTGGTATGGATTGGGATACTTTCAAATACTTTAAAGAAGAATTCTTGTTTTCTACAGTTTATTAAACTAGCTCAGCTAAGTATATTGGTTATCAGATCCCATGATGCATGATTATTCAATATATTTTAAAACACAAAAAAATTCAATTGTGCTGTCCCCTTTCTCCTTCTGTCTCCTCCCTGTCTGTCTCACTGTGCTGTGAAGCATTGGGAGTAGTGTGTGTGTGTGTGTGTGTGTGTGTGTGTGTGTGTCTGGGAGGTAGACAGATTCCCTACCTGGAAATGGCTTGCTATTATTAGACGTTCAGTTACCAGGGGTTATGTAAGACAATTGAAGCTCTGTTTTTTAACAGAGACATGATTCATGCTGCTTGTAGTAACAGTAACCACCTCCAAACGAGACAGAAACCAGACACAGACAAAGGCTGGAGAAATCAATGCCGACTCGGTACAGCCATTCTCCTGATACCCTCTGCCTTTCAATCAGAGCACTTAGGTTATCAGGAGAGGAGGCTCCTGCTAATTCTGGATCCTTTTTGTCTCTTGGGGCTGCCAGGTGAAATCATGTGGGCTGGAGCTGTGTACAGGAGAAAACGGGTCCTCAGGAGCAGTGACGTCTGACCTCCTTCCCTAGGGTCCCCCAGTGTTTCAGACACACCTGGAGGAACAGTGATTGTCACCTGTGTTGTGGCTCAGGATTCACTGTGGCTTCTACTCAGAAAGGTTGGAACTTGAGCATTTGGCTCACCCACTCAAGTAACTTTCCTCAAGTGATTCTCTGCAGCGTGCTGGGAGAGGAGAGGATGGAGTGGGATTTGAGCTGCTGCCAGTGCTTTATTATAGCTTCTCCTAAAACCTGAATGGAAGTGGACTGGCTGTCAGTTCCCACACACATTCGGGACCCTTTCCTAAATCTTCCAGACAACATTGATTCAGTACTCCACACTATACAAAGCACTTCCACATGGATCAGCTTATTTTAGCCTCACAACTTTATAAGATAGGCAAAGCATACATTATTGTCAATACCATTTTACAAGAGAGAGATTTTACAGCTTACAAGTATTATGCCATTCATTGATTCCTTGCTCATGACTTTATAAGTGAGAACAATAAGACTCACAAAAGTTAGTGACTTGGCCATGGTCACACGGCTGGTTCTTACCAGATCCAGGAAGACAAGGCAGATCTTCTGATTCTCCATCTAGTGCTCTGCCCCAGATTTGCTACAAAGCTTGTTGACAACCATGGCATTTTTTGGGGAAAAAAAGCATTTTCTGCTGAAAATCTTGGTTTTAGATTAAGTTCTACTACTCATTAGCTAGCCCGCTTAAACTGCCCTTTCCTTCCTCTTCACCCCATCCACCTCAATCTCCTCATCTATGCAACTCATGATAGGGAGAACTCATTTTTAGAGTGTTCATGAAAGTACCACATAATCTTTAACATGTCTAGGTCAATATATATAAAGCATTGCCAATAGTATCTCCCTGCCCCCACCAAGAGTGAAATCCAGCAAAGAGATCCAGAGATCTCAGGCTTCACCCAGAACATAAAAGTAAACTATTTATTTTTACTACAAAAAGAAGAAACTCAGATACTTTATTGCAGAAACTGCCCATGGCTCTCAGAAAATAGCAGTCTTGCCCCGGTGGCCTGTTACACACCCAATAGGCAGGCCACCCTTCATTTTCACTCTCACATGTGTAAATTGCCCAGAAAGACAATTCTTAAGTATTGACATGACAGGAAAACATCTAGGCCATTTAGCTTCACCCACCCAATAATCTCCTGCAATAAAAATTCCAATTTAAAAAATACTTATTATTGATTACTACTAATAACCAACACTCTGATACACTGTTACGAATTTTAACTGAAGACGGACACAGAATTTTATATTTATGAAATTTTACCATTATCCTTCTATTTCACATGTTAAATAATACAAGCTATACCTATTTTAAGGTAAACACAAGTAAACATTCTTATTTATAAAATAGCTTTTTATTAAATTTTTTGTTTGTATACCGCTTTATATCCAGGAAGGTAGCAAAATACTCCACAGGTTATACTCTAATAAAATGCACTTTCTCTTCTGCTAAAATATGAAATTGCTGCAGTTTTAAGAAAGAAAGCTATACTTTTCTCTCTCACATAATAAAACTCCCTGACTAAGCATCAAGAGACCAAACTTCTAGTCGTAGGCCCACTAAAAATTCACTGTTAGGGAACCTGCTGAGTCCCAACTTCAGATAACATCTAATCTGAAAAACTCAGGGCCCCTTAACATCTAGTTATTACACACTAGCCCGAGACAACCTGCCCTGCGCTGTTGTATGTTGTGTCAATAAAAGAGCTTTATGGGAAAGATGGAATTCATTATTTGGGGTTTTATGTTGTGCCAGTCGTTGCCAAGCTGCCTTGAATTCACCAATGTATTGTGTCTCCAGACTGATTCAAAGAGATAGAATTTGGAATGTGACTAGAAGGCAGTAGCAGATTCTGTAAATAGTTGCTACACATTCTGTATACCAGGCACAATAGCACACAGTGGAACCTCAGACAATACTTACCCTGACTTCCTTAAGTAGGAAAATATCCTTTTTCTTTTCATCAAGTTACCATGATTTAATGATTATGAATGGTAATTTTACCATTGGTATATTCCAGTGATTCCTTTCATGGATCACTTGATGTTCCTAGATTATTTTAATCTTATCGCCATTTGGTGTTAACTAATGCAAATTCTTACTTTCACCTAAGAACGGAGCTGCCTTTGCTCTTCTGTATCTAGCCTTTATCCACATCCTTAGACACACATGGTATCATTTTCAGGGCAATGGCAGTGATGGCGGGTAGTGTTTCTTCCCAATATTGTGATGGAACATTTCACCTGGGCTGTTAGCATCTTAAACTATTCCAATAGCTACAGAAATTGGGTTTTAAACCATCATGTCTTAATGCCATCCATTTCTGTTTATATTAACCGATGACATGGTTATAACATCCTACTGTGCTCAAAAAGCTGGGGTCTCTGTAGTGTATAAAACAAGGTTCCTACCCAAGAGGATGTACACCCTCGCTAATAATATAGCAAACAGGCAGTAAACCATAACCATTTATTGAAGTACTTAAAAAGTGGCAGAAAACATTATGGGCTAAAGCAGTCTTCACAAGGGAAAATTTCATAAAGGATACATTTTTATATATGGACCCTGAAGGAGAAAAAAGTCCTATATAATTTTTTGAAAGGTGATAAAGGTATTCCAAGCAGCCAAACTGGTATATACAGTAGCTCAGAGATAGAAATGTGCTTAGTCTTTCTGACACCCTATAAGTTAACCAGTTTAGACCATGTGGAGTATTAATGGAAAGGAAATCTGAGAGGACTCATTTGATAGGGAGTCAGTGAATTTCCGAGCCCAGGCTTAAGAGTTTGGAACCAGGGGAATCCCTTAAAGCATCTTTTCCCGAAGCATATTCTGAGGTTAAATAAGTGTTCCATTAAAAAGGGGGATGGGGGAGTCTGTAATCCGGTAAGCCTGGACAAAGATTAGGCTTCCAGCACCTTAATATCCTGTGTACACTTGCGAGTTTGAAAATAGAATATATAGTTTTCAGTGTTTCCTAAACTTACTTGACTGAGGAACTTTTTTTGAGATGCATCTTGAAGTTCCAGTATGAAACACACTTTAAGATACACCATCTGAAAAGATTTTTGAAGGGCAGGAGTTGAATGCGGGACAAAAAAAAAAAAGGTATGTGGTGATGATTAATCTAGTACTATTAGAAATTGATATGCTATCAGCTACAGAGAAAGTATCCCTGATGAAACCAAAGGAAGATAAAGAGAAGTAGAGAGAATAACCTTCAAGATACGAAGGGAACATGGGAAAAGATATATCCTGAGGAAATAAAATAATGAAAATTCAGAGATATTAGAGGAGATGAGAGCTAATAAGCTTACCACACTGCATGGTGTAGATCCTTTTATTAAACTAGGATGCTAGCTCATCAACTGAAAAAGAGAATGGGACTTCATAAAGGAGAACAAACTAAGAAAAACTGCCATAGGTTGTACCTGGAAACAGTGGGCAGGAGCATAGGTCCAGGTAGCATGCATGTGTAGCCTTTTGTTCTGAGAGTGGGAGCAAATGGAGAATGGTGATACAGATTCACAGTTGATGAATGTAAAAGGAGGCACTGCACATAGAAAGTTAGAAAAGGAAGGAAATCTGCATGGTTACTGAGGACAGTGTTGAAATGGTTGATCATGGGGCAAGATCAAACTGGACAAATACATCTGGTAAGGCCAACTGGGGCCTACTAATGAACCAGCTGAAAACAATAGGTTCCTTGGGCTTCTGGGAAAGTGAGTTCAATAGCTGGGTGTGGAACATCTGATGTCAAATGTGAGGCCTCAAAAGAGTAATTTAGAAGGAGTATGAGAGCTAAGAAAAGGGGTGATAAAGTCTGTTGAAAAGAAGTGTTAATGAGTTTTTGGATTAAATTATTAATACAGGGAGGGAAAACATAAATCAAGTGTAGAAGGTTTTGAGAAATTTCAAGAAATATTCAAGAAGACATGAGAGAGCCATGAAGAAGAATCTAGCCTAAGCCAATGGTGGGGATCACAAATGAAGAGGAGTGGAATGAAGGCAGATCAGTGGTTTGGTGATTGTGAGCCTGGTATAGGTTAAGCTCTAGAACATGTGGTTAGAACCTGGCCCTTAACTCTGCTTTGCTACCCTCTGCCTTCATGACTGATGACCAATAACTGTACCTTTCCTGAGTATCAGTTTCACCTCCTTCGTCTATAAAATGGGAATATAATTCCCAACTTCAAAGAGTAATTGTAAGAAAATAAAGTTATCTGTGAAAAGGCTCAATGCCTGCCACACGGTAAGCATTTAGTCAGTAATAGCCAAAGTTACTATTGAAGTGATGGGAGCAGGAAGAGGGAAATGATGTTCACTTTGGGAACAGTGACAGAGTGTGTTATCTGGAGTAATGCCACTGTGATGTTTCTCTGTACCTTTTTTTCCATTTACCACAAACTATAATGGTTAATTCAGAACACATACTCACTGTAAGAGGTAAGGTATAGGAAACTCTGATAATACCAAATAAAATGCTGTGTCATAAATCATGCTCATGTTAGAATTCTCATTACAAAGTTTAAAACGATCTTATTAACATGACCTGTGGCAGGCTTTCTGGATAAGAAGGTTCCAGTATCCGGTGACATAATAGAGGGGTTCCCATCACCAGGCCAGATTCATTAATACCAGAAATTCATGATTGTGTGTGTGGGTGTGTGGGTGTGTGTGTTTACATGTACTCTGATCCAAAAGATCTCTTATTTTAAACAAGAATCAACTGTATCTGATAATGCTAACGCTCATGGCATGGGATGTGCAACTTATATTAACAGAGTTTATGAACTGTCAAAGAGGAATCAAGAGGTCTCTATGGAGAAAATTAACATAGATTTAATGTGACAAACAGTGGGATTGTGATTCCACCTTGTGTTGGCAGGGCCATCCCAGGGGTCTTCAAGCCATCAGAGGTGTTTCTTATGGACATGGGTATTAACTAGTGGTTAATTAAGGAACTAAAACCTAAAAAGTAAAATAGTTATCACAGCATCAGTAAGCTGACGATGGTGTTCCTGATTAGTTTATCTGGCCGTGATGTCTTTGGTGCCTTATTCATTAAATGGTTTTCTCACCACTTTCCAGAGAGGTGGGGCTGGTGACGTAGACTTGGGAATTTGTTTCGGGTAATTAGCTAAAAAGTTAAAAGTCAAATAGACTTCCTTAACATGTTTAATGGTTTAACAGGTTGATGAGCTACTTAATTCCCACATCTTCCTTCTCAGGGGACTATTAGAGTTTTAAGGGACCTTAAAAATCATAAAACCAACCTCCTCTTTTTGCAGATAGAAAAGCTGAGCCACCTAGAGGTTAAATGTCTCATCGGAGGTCATCAGCTAGTCCTGATTTTGCTTTCTCTTTTCTTATCTTACACTTTCTAACTCTTTTTTTTCTAACATTGTATTCCCCACAATGACCTCTCTGCTAAATATTTCTTAGATGTATCCTTTTTATGAAATTTGCTGTGCCTCAAATTATGATAGTGGGCCTTTGCCAATTAGTAACCCGTCCCCACTAACTCACCACTACATTTGGGGCAAAGAAACGAGGGAAGTGGAACAATTTTAAATTTACTATGATCTTTGAGACAGCTTTATCTTCACCTGGGAATTGCTGTTAGACAATTAAGGTTAGTAAAGCTCATTGAATTTCTCAGAGGGAAGGTGTTATTTGAATTATTACCAGATAATTATTGTTAAAAATAACAATAATGTAAAAAAATAGGAACTTTACATGTTAGAGACATTATCATTTTGAATTTCCAGAGAGAGGGGAAAACCCTTGGGGATCTAAAAACAATTTTTTGACAGTGTGCTCTATGCTAAGAACTCCTTGAATTCTGTGTAATGCCTGATGACCTGACAAACTGGCCTAGAATCAGAAGCCAGTCGGCTGGCTGTGTGAACTGTTAGCCAAGTTATTTGGCTTGAACTGCTCCTTCAAAAACAACCCTAGTAGAAAGGAGAGTGTCAGAAATAAGACCTGTGGTCCCAGACCAGTAGCATCAGCATCACCTGGGAGCTTCTCAGAAATGCAGGATCACAAGCTCCACCCCAGACATGCTGAATCAGAAGCCCTGGGTGATTCGTTTGTTCATTAGAGTTTGAGAAGACTGTTAGAGGACATTCTCATCTGCAATTAGAAAGGAGGAGGGAAGGGACTATACTTATTGGCAGTTTCTGAAATAGTTCCTTCTCCTGGAGTCTGTGCTCCCAGATCTTTCCAGTGGCTCTGAACCATCGTGGAAATAAGCATCTTCCTTGTACTGTGATCACAGCGGGAACTAGAAATGTGTCCCGTGTCCATGCTGCATTGGAACAGTTGTTATATAGTGAAAAGAGTACAGATTTAGACTCAGAGAGATCTGGGTTTGGATTCTGGCCTCACTATCCAGTAGCTTTCTAAACTTCGACCTGTTACGTAAGCCCATTAAGTCTCACTTTTCCTTATCTGTAAAATGGGTATACTAAAACATACACCATAGCATTGCTATGAGGGTTAAACAAGAACATACTCATTTATAAAAATGCCTGGTGCAGTCCCTGATAAAATTTAGACATCCAATAAATGCTAGCTGTTATTGTTACTATTACCTTTCTTGTAAACTTTAATCATGAACCCCCCATCTATAATTTTAGAACGATGTGGTGTGATTTCCTAGGACTGGGACAGGCCATACTCAAAGTAGACATCTGCAGAAAGTTCCTTACATTGATATGTGGCAGTGTATTTCATAACAGCTCTGCTCTCTAAGGGCTTCCAAGACAGATCTGCAGAAACGCCAACAATGAAACGGGCTGTAGAGAAGTGACCTACTGTCTGTTCGCCTCTGACACCATCAAGAAACTTGCCAGCTGGGTTCCAAGAGCAGATTCTTTATTACAGTGATGATGTAAGAAGCAGAGACAACAGCTGGATTTTCAGGTTCTAGGGAGAATTTGTGGCATCAGCAGCCCCTCAAAATTATCTTTTGACTTAAAAACCGAGTACACTGGATATGAAAGTCATTAAAAGAGAATAAATGTGAAACCCCATGAAGTCATTCTCACCGAATCTTTTTTAGAGTGTAACCACCCTTTAAGCAATAAAACATGACACACCATGCAGTGGTTCTGATTAATAGACGCTCAGGTGTGTACTAAGGCAAAAGGGGAAAGAAGATGGAGCTAGGTGACACTTTGCCAAAAATGAAAGTAAGATTATAGCAGCAGGATGTGGGACTGAGAAAGAAGGATTTAATTAAAGGACAGACATACTATGGTTGTATTAATTATAAAATGCACAATGTAAATCAGATTTTAGATATATTTAAAATGTACATTTATATAATTACACAAAGGATTTGTAAATTTGCCAGATAATTTTTCACTGCAATGTACTATTGATGAGTGATTTCCTTTATGATTTTAATGTAGTTGCCAGGGGGCAAAAGGAGAAGTAAGTTCTATCTGGTGAAGTGTCAATAATCTGTCCAGCCTTATGATGGGTTAGAAAGAACAATGAAGAGCTCTTGAGCCCATTTTGCTGTTTGTGTGGCTGCTGGGGTGATGCTATTTAATGGATGTCTCAATGCGTAGCATGGCTCCACCATACTGGCCAAAAAGAGTTTGATTAATGCTACCTACCAAGGTTTTCCTCTGGTGAGTAACAGTGAGTCAAGCGCTCACCTGGGAGATGCAGATGAGGTCTTGTAGTATTGGAGCTAACATTTAAGAGCTGAGCTTTTCTGGCCAAGTAATAATTACTGAGATTCCCTGGAAAAGTCTGTTTTCCTCACCTAGGTAAACACTATTATCCCCACAGCATGTTTTGTTGGGCTTTTCATCTTTGGGTGAGAGAAAATGATTCTGTTTGAGGATAAGGATAGAGAAGAGAAACAACTAATGTTTCCTCTACTACAAGAGAAGAACAAGGCAAGAAAATTTGAACAGACTCAGAGGCAATTGTCTATGCATTTCTACAAGTAAATTAGTAATATAAGGAAAGAAAAACAAGTAAACATTTAAACAAACCTAGAGAATGAGTACTAGGCTAAGCTAGGTGGAAAAAGAAGTGTTAATGTGGCATAATAGCAGATTGCCAATAGTTTGTTTCTACAAAGTAATGAATTTAACCACGGAATTACTGCATGTTTTCACCAAGAACTCCAGCTGAACACACAGCTTTTCCAAAGCATGAGAAATTTCTTTATTCTTATTTTCAGCCTGAGTTTATCACCCCAGTGGTATTTTTAACATTTTATTTGTTTTTAATTTTTGTGGGTACATAGTAGGTGTATATATTTCTGGGGTACATGAGATGTTTTGATATAGGCATGCCGTGTGAAATAATCCCATCATGGAGAACGGGGCATATATCCTCTTAAGCATTTATCTTTTGTGTTACAAACAATCCAATTACCCTCTTTTAGTTATTTTAAAATGTACGATTAAGTTATTATTGACTATAGTCACTCTGTTGTGCTATCAAATAGTAGGTCGTATTCATTCTTTCTATTTTTTGTACCCATTAACCATCCGCACCTCCTCCCCAGTGGTGTTGACAGTATTGTCATAATTATTTCTGCTGGTAATGTTAGAAAACTTTGCTTCCTTGTTTTTTAAATCCACCCTCATTTTTTAGACAACATTTAACTATAAAACATATTTATTAGTTCGGTTTGTTGAAGCAAATAAATGAAGCAAATTTGTTATATTTTGGAACACAATATATTTTTGCAGGTTACACACCCCAACCTCCCTCTCTCTGGTCTTGTCATTACTGATGATCTGTTGGGCCTATTGGTGCCAAGTAAGCACTGATAAATATTAGTCTGTGGCCTTTTATGTCTGTTATCCTTGCCCAGCCACTAACAAGGATGCGACCTTGAGCAAGTCAGTTCCCTTCATCTCTTCGTCTGAAAAATGAGGGGGTTGAAGCAGATGAGCTTTTAGGTCTTTTCAATTTAGTCCCCGTTTCTATGACTCAAGGCAAGAGGGTTTATTCTTTTTAAATTCAGTTCAGCAGATTATCAGCCTAGTGCAAACTTAACGTGCAAGAAGTCATGGCCCACTATAGGGTACTCAGAGTAAAAATTGTCTCAGCTTTCAAAGGGCTTATGAAGAAGGAAGACAAATTACACAAATAACCATTCTAATTGGTAGAATATGCAAAGGGAGTAGTACAGAATGTGCTAATAATATTTAAGAAGGGCACTCTCCTTTGTGAAATGCTTCATAAATGAGGTGGCATTTGGATGGCCCTTGAAGAAGCTACATGTAGACATTGAAAGAAAGGAAGAAATACCATGAACATGGTAGGAAAGAGTAGGACTTTGCTGGAGCGTAGAATGGAGTGTAGAGATAAGAGTGAGAAACTAGATTGGGCTACATTGTAGCAGCTTTGAATACCAAACTGAGAAGTTTGAATTTAATCCAATAAGCAAGGAGGACTGTAAGCAAAGAAGTGATATGTTTAGAAGGGCACTTTAGAAAAATTAATGTAATGTTTGTGTGAAGGATGGACAAGAGGTAAAGAAAAACTGGAAAAGTGAAACCAGTCAGGAGCTTTTCATAGATGTCCTCACAGTAGGTAGCAAAGGGAGAAATAGGGGCTGGTATAGAAAACAGGTATTGATTCAGGAATCACAATCAGAGTAGAATCTACAGGATTGGGTAGCTAATTGGATATAGGAAGAAAAAAAAAACGGAAGAATTGAAGATGACTCCCCAGCTGTAGGCCCACGTAACTGGATGAAGAGAATACCAATGGCAGGAAATGGGACGTCTAGAGAAGGAACAGATTTTAAAGGAAAGACAATGAATTAAGTTCTAAACTTTCTGAATTAGAAAAGCCTGTGTAGTATTTGATGGCGATGTGAACTTCTCAAAGTTAGAGACCCTGTTGTATTCATCCAGGTGCCTCATAGATGCTATATAAACACTGAATGAATGGACAAAGGAACGAATGAACCAATAACCAGCTGTTATTTAGAATGTGGGTGTGCAGCTCTGTAGAAAAGCTAGAACTAAAGATAGCAATGTGGATGCTCTCCATGGAGAAGTGATTGTTGAGGTCAGGGAGGACTGGGGTAGACAAAGCCTGAGGAGAGGATCTAGAGGAATGTCTACATTTAGAGAACAGAAGAAAGAAAATAAGCCAGTGAAGAAGGCAGAATAGCAGACTGAGGTATAGGGGAAAAAATAGGGTAATTCGGTGTCCTCAGGGTTAGAGCCTATGGAAGAAAATGGAGCCTTTGCAGTGAAGGACAGAGGGAATGCTCAGAACATGCCCAGATCAATGGGTGTCACTAGAATACATTAAGAACTAAGCAATAAAGAGAGAGACTGAAATGAAATCAAGAATATCAGAAATGTGGTAAAAGTACACAATGGAACACTATTCAGCCTTCAAAAAGAAGGAAATCTTGTCATTTGCAAGAACATGGATGAATCTAGAGGTCATCCATGATATATGGGGAAAAAATAGGCTTTTTTTTGTACTAGAAAAGCCAGGCACAGAAAAACAAATACCACGTGACCTCACTTATATGGGGAATCTATAAAAGCTTAATTTATAGAAGCAAAAATTAGAATGGTGGCTGCCAGACGCTGAGGAGACATCAGTCAAAGGACACAAAATTTCGGTTAGACAGGAGGAATAACTCCAGAGATGTACTGTACATCCTCATGACTATCGTTAATAAGAATGTAGTATATATTGAAAATTACTGAGAGTAGGTTTTACGTGTTCTCACCATGAAAAAGTGATAAATACATGAGGTAATTCTTTTTTTTTTTTTTTTTTTTTTGAGATGGACTCTTGCTCTGTTGCCAGGCTGGAGTGCAGTGGTGCAATCTCGGCTCACTGCAACCTCCGCCTCCCGGGTTCAAGCGATTCCCCTGCCTCAGCCTCCTGAGTAGCTGGGACTACAGGCGTGCGCCATCACGCCTGGCTAATTTTTTTGCATTTTAGTAGAGACGGGGTTTCACTGTGTTGGCTGGGATGGTCTCGATCTCCTGACCTCGTGATCCTCACACCTCGGCCTCCCAAAGTGCTGGGATTACAGGTGTGAGCCAGCACACCCAGCCGGTAATGCATATTTTAATTAGTTTGATTTAGCCATTCCACAATGTATACATGTATCAAAACATGTTTTATACCATAAATATATACAATTTTTATGTGTGAATAAAAAATAAATAAATATAATAAATGAAAAAAAAAAGAAAAGGATACTAGAAGAATCAACTGTGGGAAGGTTGAAGGACACTGTTTCTACTTCCTTCCCCCACTGTCACCCACAACTCAGCTTCTAAGTCAGAACCACAAAATCAGCTCCGCCCGCACTGACAGGGTACTGTTGATGTCCCAGGCTGCACAGGCAGTTAGGTGAAAGCACTGAAAATGGAGCCTGGACAACATCCTCTCCATTCTCCCTTCCGTACCTCGCCATTCTCTGGTGCAAAGATGTAGAACCAAACAACCAACCTCTCACTCAAGTCCCAAAGTTCTTTCCTATCAAAATAAATAATTGCCATCACCATCACCTGTTCATTTAACAACCTTATTTTTGTTTTTTGTCTGATCTAGATGCAGCCGCTCTCTGCTCCCTGCCCCAATGAACATCTGCACTAGGCCCAAGCCTTGGAGTAATTTACCTGAAGAGTGACACCATTGATTTTGAAACTACTGTGAGTACATTATGTCTCCAATAAAAGGCTTCTTAGTTCACTTTGTTTAATACACACACACACACACAGAAAATTGTGAAAGCAGGCAAAATTTTAGATGGCTTCATTTCTTGGATCAGCAGGGTAACCAGACTCAGTCCTGAGGTGCCCACAGCGGTTCTCAACTTCCCGGCTGCAGTGCACACCATGTGCATTATCATTCCCTCCTGGCCAGATGGCTGTGCTGAGCTGTATCTGAGCACACCTTGCAGGGACTGGTGCTGTTCTGCTTGGTCATCTGTGCCTCTATGTACGGTGGTGGCAGCTTCTCCTAATCTGTTTGCTTCTCATCATCCTTCCGTGCCACTGTTGAATCTCATGGTAGCTTGTCATTTCTTGCCACCCTGGTCAAATCTGTGACCAGCAGCTTTGCTTGGTTTTATTTACCTGTTGTCTGAGCTGCAACCCATGCTGTTGTCTCCTTGCTGCCCTTCCCTTGGAGCTCTGGCCTCCTTCCACCACATCTCTAAGCCACTTGTATCCAGCTCACCTCTGCTCTCTGGATGTATGGGTCTGTGTAGTTGATTTAGTTCCCGCCATGCAAGGCATTTATGTAGGAGAAGTAGAGACCTTGCAAGGAAAAGTACAGAAATAATTTGGGGTAGGGGATATGATACCTATGGGAAAATACTGATGAAAGTTTGATATCAAGTATTCATTAATCATTGCTGAAATAACAGATGAATATATGCTATTTTCCAATAGAAAAGCCAGTCATTTGAATTATTTAGAAGTTCTGCATGCAAAGTAACTTAATTACACATTTTAAAACAATAACTAGTTGTTATATTCACAAGTTTTCCTATATGTTATGAGGCAGGTAATGGGATGGTGTTTTACAGACTTCTATGTTACTGGAAAACGCTAAACCTGGGAGACTAACATCCCTCTTAGGCTTCAGGTAGGATATTTACATTCATATTTCTATGTCTTTAGCTATTCTGGTATAAATCAAACCTAAAGGGATGAAGCCAGAGTTTTGCTTTATTTTGTGTTGCTTTTTTACCTTTAATGCTTCCAGTCAACTGAATCATAGTTGATGGGGGCTGCTGTGTAGGTGATAGACAGGCCTGCCTTTCCCGGAGGGGAATGTGTTCTATAGTACTAATAGGACTGAGTTACTGGGGACTAAAGACATGACAGAAGATCAAACATAGTTTCTTCAGTCCACACCCACACAAGGAACTTACTTGTATATACCTTCATTCATCCTTAAGTTCAAGTGCAAGGAATACCCGAGAAATTCCCACATCTGGATAGTTTTCTGAGTTTTTCTTCATCACAGAGTAACTATGCTGATACAGATAACACAGCCTTACTATGATGCAGATGGGTTTAAAAGTTTCTATATCCTTTAAGAGGGAAAAGAGTTCTTATCACTCTTACCTTCCTGTGCTACAGAGAACCCAGATCCAGACCTAGAAATCAGGAGCTGATGTTGCCTACAGATTACAGAGAAGTCCACAAGTGAGCATGTATTCCTGTCGTAGGAAGTATTTCATCTGTGCAGAATGCCAGTGCCTGCTTTTACTTCTCATGGGCCCTAGAGAATGGACAGACTGGGTTATAATCTTTGCAGTCTTTGCTATTCAGAAACTTGGCTTTCCAATGCATAAAAGAGAAATAATAATAATAAAACAGAAACTTGCTAGGTGCAAAAATCAATAAAGAGGATAAAAAATTAAAATGTGAATCATTTACAGAAGTATATCTCTTCTGGTGGGTTGACAATGCTTCGGGCCTAGTCACAAGGCTTGGAAGTGGGTTGGGGAGGCACATATTAAATTTTAATACCTACCCACCCCCCCCATACCACCTGCACAATAATGCTCAGTGGCCCTGCCTACTTAACCAGATTATTGTGATAAGTCAATGAGATGATATATATATAAAGTCTGTCACGGCAGAGGTGAGTATATTTACTCAGTCATTTAAAATTTGCTGACCATTTACTATGTGCCAGACACTGTTCTAGGAACTAGGAATATGGCAGCAAGCAAAACAAACAAAAATCCCTGCTCGGCTGAGCAGCATTCTCTTTTCTTGCTCTGTGAATGGCAATTCGACATAATAGGTACATGGAAGCTAAGACAGAACCTATTTTATTTTGTTCTGTCTTTCCTTCCAGAAAGTATAATTGAAAGTATAAGAGAGAAGAACACATATGTTGATTAGTCTTGCCACCCCATTCTACCCCCAAAAAAACCCCAGAACCATTCTTTTGCCCTGATGTGTGACCCAGAAGACTGGCCTTCTGGACTACATTACCCAGGCTCTCTTGTCCTTGGGCTTCCCTTTGAATTTGGCCAAAAGGAGACATCAGCAGGAGATGTGAAAGTGGGGGAAGAGAGAGGTCAGGAAATGTGTTAGTTCAGCCCTCCTTCCCAACTCCAATTCTGACTGGACTCAGAATTCATCACCATTTTACTTGCCCCTTCAGTTTAAATGGTTTAAAGCTTTCCACTACTGCTAGTACCTGGCAGTCTCTACTATTGCTAGTACCTGGTGCTATCTCTCTTGAGGTCCCTTAACCTCATCTGCAGCTCCAAATACAGTTTTTTCATTAAATCCTCTTTAGCTAAAAACTTTGCATGTGCCATCTATTTTTGCCAGGATCCTGACTGATACAGTTAAGAGGAAATTATACTGAAAAAAAAATTATAAATCAGCCCTGCCAAGGTTAAAAAAAATAAGATTGAGAAAATAAAATGTGTTTAATCACTAAAATATCTTAAATTGATGTGAGGACATCAGACCAGGTAGAGAAATGATAAATTGCAAGAAAACACGATAAGCCAGAGTCCCATAGGTTGGTCTCAATGAATAGACCATAGTGTCCAGGCTTGATGGGCTTCTATAGGCTAAGTGCAGCTTGCTCAACCCTCAGCTTCAAGGAGCTCATGGTGTAGTGTAGCCACAGCAATGACAAACATGTGAGCAGAAAGGAGATGTCAGGAAGTATACAGCAAGATCAAATGTTGAGGAAGAGATTGCTGGTCCTAACATTGTTTCTGCCTTTGCTACAATAACAATCCATTTGCCCCTACCCAAAATCTAGATATCTAAACAGATTACTGAAATGAAGGGAAATGTCTTCTTTTTCTTTTGTTTTTTTCTTGCTCCAGGCTGCAGTGCAGTGGCGCCATCTCGGCTCACTGCAACCTCTGCACTCCCGGGTTCAAGCAATTCTCCTGCCTCAGCCTCCTGAGTAGCTGGGACTACAGGCATGCACCACCATGCCCAGCTAATTTTTGAATTTTTGGTAGAGACAGGATTTCACCATGTTGGCCAGGATTGTCTCGATCACTTGACCTCGTGATCCGCCCGCCTCGACTTCCCAAAGTACTGGGATTACAGGCATGAGCTACCACCCCTTGCCCGGAAATGTCTTCTTAAAGCTAACATGATGAATATCACAGAACTAACAATCCCTATGAGAGGAACTACCATTATTGAGCTCTTACCATGTGCCAGCACAAGGCAAATCACTTTACATGGCTTATCTCATTTGTTCCTCACAATAACCCTAAGCGGTAGGTATTATTATTCCCATTTTACAGATGAGGAAAATGAGGCTCAGAGATGCGGAGTAATCTACCCAGGACATACAGCTAATAGGTAGTGGAGCGCAGTTCCGCTACCACCCTTATTGGGGTGGTTTGTTACCACCTACCCTTTCTCTCCTGCCCAGATACTAAGCCTATTTAATGTATTGTTGGGGAAAAGAGTAGGGAAATTGTTACGACTCCAGTAAGATTGGGGGAGGCATCACTGGTCTAAATTATCATGAGCCAATAGGAGGTTCCAACTAATTTTTTCCTATCTGATAAGTAACAGGCACATTACTTACCAGATAGGAAAAGACCAAGCTGATAAGTAAAAGGCACATTAACGTGCAAGAGAGGGTGGGAGCCCAGTGAAGAGAGAAAATTGGGATAGGGTGAAAGAAGAGAGCACTCTCAACACCCTGGAGACTGCTAAGAGCTCACACAGATAAAATATTTATTTTTCCATATGTTGCAGAAAGCATTGCCATCACTGTATGTGTGCAATATGTGCAAAAGAGTGTGAAATATATACATCAAATGCCGCCGATCTGGTTAATTTCCATGCATTTAACATGCTTAATACCTACCATATCATCAATATGTTTTAATGCATATTTCTTTCCACATACAATATGGTCTAGTTAGGAAAGAGCCAACATCCTCCACAGCCTTACTCACTGCTATGTTTCAGCCTAAAACTTCTTGCTGGGGCCAGCACAATGAGAGTTAAAAACCAGAAGGCTCTGCTGGCTAACTCGGCCGCCAGTCTCCTTAAAACACACTCCCAATTCTTGAAGCAGCCTTTTCTCATAACAGAAATGTTTGCAGTGAGGAGATGAAAATGTTTTTGTTCTCCTTGGACAATTGAGAGATGTTCAGTCAGAATGTCAGAACTGACCGTTGAAAGGCGGGTGCCTGCGGCCACGCTTTTTTGCCTTTTTTTTTTTTCTTTTTTTGAATGCAGAGCTCCACCAGTGTGGCGGGAGGAAGTGCACAATGATTGGTCTGTTTCTCTGTGGAAGTGTTCAGGGTACACCCAGTTTTGCTTTGCATATATTTGCGAAACATCTGCCCTTTTCTTATTCTTAAGTCCTTCCCTGTCACCAGCCCCCTTTTCCTTTTTCCCTGGTTTCTTTCTTTGTTGTTGTTGGCTTGTCTAACTTTTTCATTGGAGCTTTCATTTTCCGGTTGAGGGGCGACTTCATCAGAGTGTATAATTTTAACAGAGAGAGAGGAGGAAGGGGTTGGAGAGAGAGAGAGAGAGAAAATGAGAGAGAGAGAGAGAGAATGAGAGAGAGAGAGAGAGAGAGAGAGAGAATGAGAACTGAAAAGAAAGAGACTGAGAGGCCAGAGCCTGGCAAATCAACCTTTGGCATGGTGACCAGGAGGAAGGTTCTGGTCGGGAGTTCGCCTCTCTGAAATCCGCTGGAGTCAGCCAGTGTGCTGCTGCCCTCTAAAGGCTCCAGGGAATAGTGCATCGCCACAGAGGCTTGAAAAGACTTGCCCTCAGATGTGCCATGTTTATAATTCTTTTTATACAGCCTCAAAATGTATTTTCAACTAATTATGACAGGGCTTATTCTTTCCTCCTTAATAAACTATGAACTGCAAAAATGGGGTCAATTCACAGCACCTGTGCATGTCTAGACGTAAACGGGTGCTATGTTTTAGGGTTTCTCAGCTCCGGAAAAAGGAGTCCGAAGAACCATTAGAGAGGGTGAGACAGGACATGAATTGCTTCTGAGGATGGTGAGCAGTTCTCTATTATCTGGACAGTTGGGAAACAGCCCAGTGGTATAAGGGTAAGTAAAGTGATATAAGACAAATAAGGGGGTGAGCCAAAAAGGTTGAGTTGCTAACATTTCCTGTTTATAGAGGTAGCTCCAATGCCTCTGTGCTATCAATATTCTCCCAAAGTGATCACTGAGGCAACAGGAGGGTGTGATACAAGATGTCAGGTAGGAAACAAGAGCGAATCTAGGGAAGGAAACAAGGGCATTGATATGAAGAACAATATAATTTTTGCAGTGTTAAAAATAAAAGAGTAATATATTGGTGGTTTTGCTATGTCCTTATGTTTGAAAGAAAGCTTTCTTAATTTTCTGAAGCACACATCTGAAAGTATCCTAGGCCCTGTCTATGAATATCAAAAATAAACACTTTTTTCTGCTAGGTGACATATGTCATTACTGTTTTGACCCTATATTTAAATGAATCATGAGGGCCAGCCTAGCCTTACTGAGCAAAATAGTCCTGCTCTTATTAAATACCCCTCACAGACTTAAAGCAAAAGCAGCCAGTCAGGTAGTTTTGCTACCTTGCTGCATAAAAAGTAGGAAACTTAATTGGGATTCAGACTATGACCGTTCTTAAAATACACTTTAATTTCAGCTTCATTTCATTCTGTCCACAATCAATTATTGAATGACAGCTTTGTCTAAGCTACATTGCTTAATAGTATAGACAAGGCAGTAAACTCTGGGAGGGAAGGAACCAGTCCTGTTTTATTCTTTAGCCCATGTTGGCACATCATGGGTACATCATAAATATTTGTAAAATGAATATGTAAATGAATGAATGACAGGAGAGAAGGAAGAAGAAAAGAATAGGTGAACACTAGGAATACTAAAATAACTAAGACATTTCCTTACCTTCAGAGAGCTTACAGTCTCACAAGAGGGATATGCACATAAATAGCCATTATTGAAATAAAATTGAGTGAGTGAAATAAGATTAAGAAAAAAAAGAGCTTAGGCATTTCGGAGAAAGACCTAGGGAGGAATTCACTGTGGGGAGTGAAGTCCTACCTGGCAGAGAGGAATCAAGACAGTTATAAGATGAAGACACCATTTAATAAGTATGAAGGATAATAAGTATGATTTCAACAGGGCAGAGATGAAATATGGGATATTCAAAGTAAGAGAAAACTTGAGCAAAGATGTAGAGCCCAGAATGTAGATTCCCAGGATGTTCTGGAGGATATTCAAGAAATCTGAGGGTACAGTATGGCCAATATACAGGACACATGAGAAAAGTTAGAAGAGATACGGAACTGACCTTGAGTGTCAGGCTAATGTAGTCATCTTAGATTTAGTGAATGCAAAGAAACAGGACTAGAGGAGTGAAAGAGGTTGGAGAGCCAGTTAGTAAACAATCAGCTAGATAAAAAGCAGTAGGTGATTGCAGTGAAATTGGAATGGAAACACAGATGTGAGAAAAAATATGAAGGAAGCAGAACTGTAAGAACTTACTGATGAATTGGCTTTAAGGCAGAGGAAGGTGTATAGTGACCCTGAGGTTTCCAACCTGGTGGTAGACAACAGTGATAGAGATATGGACCTTAGAGAAAGCATTGGTTTTAATAAAGGAGTTGGGCTTTAGCAACTTTGATCTTGGCTACATCTTTAAACTGAAAATCAGAATACCAGCTCCTTCAGGGTCCATGTAGACACTCAAGATTTGGGGGTTACTCCCATAGTCACCATTCAAAAATCAATTGATAAGGTCTTATAATTTGTTGCTTCTCTTGTATTGGCTTCCTCCATACTGAAAAAGATGTCTGAAAGCCTCACCTCTATTCTAATCTTTGCCATGCCATCTCTGCCTCCTGCCCTCTGAAGAAACAGATTTTATTTCACAACCTGTTGGACTGAAAACACAGCATACTAATCATAACACCATATTCTGCGAGGGCAGATTTAACTACCCAGCACAACAAATTTAAATACAAAATATTCTGCATAACAAGTACATTACCATGCTCACAGAAACAAGGGAAACATGGAAACAAATCTACTTACAACAAATTCTGTACCACACATAGTCTTCTACAAATAAAATAAATGCTTTTTCTGGTCATGTCCACATAATGATAGAAAAAGACACAAATCCAAGGGAATTGGAGAAATGTTCAGGAACTATTACTAATAAACCAGTTTGGCTGTGGTCTAGGGTCTGTGTAGTATAAGCTAAGTATTTGTTAATTTCATATCAGTTGCATTGTCCTGGGGAGAGGAGACCTGAGCTGACTGATAGCTGTGCTGTTTTACTTCCTATTCCTGACCCCATATAACAATTAGTAACAATTACTTTCTAATTCCCTTCACCCTTCTCTTCCTCATGTCCCAAACACACAATCACACCCTAAACTCCAGGACGATGCACCAAATCAAAAATCTTAGGCGTAGGATGAGTAAAGAGTTGGAGTAGAAAAATCTCTGCATGACACCTTCCCTCTTTAGCTACTAGAATCTAAGCTCTTCTTTTCACTTTTCACTTGCTACTCTAACAGAAACCTCCCATCACTACCCCCTCATCCGTACAGGCTGCAAATTTAAATTGTGATTTGAAATTTTATTTAAAATAAAATCTTAATAAGAGCAGGAAAGTTGAATGTTCCTTAATGTAGTCCATGAGTAGAAATTTAAAGTTGGAAGGAACCTTTAAGGCCTTCTAATCCAAGCCCTTTATTTTACAGATGAGGAAACTGAAGCCCAGAGAGGTGAAGTGAGGTGCCCAAGGCCACACAGCAAGTTAGAGGCACAGCTAGTACGGTAGCTCAAGTCTCCTGACTCCCAGTCCAGTGCTCCTCCCATTACTCCACGAGTCCTGTCTCTAAGCTTCCTGACAAATGCTAGAACGGTAAAACTTCCACTAGTATTTTTCCAGACCATGTTAAAACTCCTAAGGGGGGAAGAGGGATGCTTTCTTGGATAATGTCAGCCATACGTAGCTCAAGCTGTCTAAAGTTCTGGGACAGGGTCTTTTTATGCAGCCAACAGAGTCCAAATGTGGTGCTGTTTGCTTGGCCCATATGCTTTCATGTGTTCCCAGTTAGGCCATTACTGGAGGGAAAAAAAACAAGAATCAGCTTGTTTTAAAACAAGGGACATACTGGACTCCCTCCCATCCCCCTTCAGAAAAAAAAAATCAAGTTATCTTTAACAGATTCTAAAAATGCCTTTTCCCAAATATGCAGTCAGTTCCTTCAAAGGGCCCTTTGTTTATTTTCAGGAAGAAACCCAAGACAGCTGAAAACCAGAAGGCATCTGAGGAGAATGAGATTACTCAGCCGGGTGGATCCAGCGCCAAGCCGGGCCTTCCCTGCCTGAACTTTGAAGCTGTTTTGTCTCCAGACCCAGCCCTCATCCACTCAACACATTCACTGACAAACTCTCACGCTCACACCGGGTCATCTGATTGTGAGTACACCACTAAGGTGATGGTGTCTTTGCAGTGCTTGGAGTAGTGCTTCTACCCTGGGTTCTGGCTTTTCTACTTTCAGAGCGAGCTCTTTGCATTTGGTCTTCTAAAGCAGCCAAAAGTAATGTGCCACCATTTTCATTCAGCCAATATCTATAAGTTTGCAAAGCTAGAGTGTATTTAAAAGCCAGGTGACATGCCATTTGGCCTTAAAGGGCTGATTAATTACATAAAACACGTTCTTTTCATAACACTAACCCAGAAAATGAAGTTTTGTTGCTGGTATCCATTTATTCTTGATCTGGATAATGGCACTTCCACAATTACTAAATTGAACAACCAAATGTGGACCTCAGAAGGCCAGTTAGACACAAGGAAACATCCATTTTGAAATTACATAACACAAGTCAGATTTGCATTAGTTATTGGAGTCTCATGTAGCTTGGCTGAATTTCTGTCTTTCCAGTTTTTAATTTATTTTGAAGTGGTTAAAGGATAGCATAAATTTACAGAAGAAAAGAGAATGGCTTCCAAGAATTCAGAAGCCACCCAGACTTCACACAGCCAATGAGAATCCAGGTTAAAAATATTTTTTAATTAAAAAAACTGCCTAAGGGCTAAATTTGGAAATGGGCAGCTTAATGAGATCGTCGCTATTGAAATCACTTCTTTGCTGTTTATTTTTGCCATCTTCCCACTAATCTGGGAGTCACTTCTTCTAATTCTATTTTAAGCAAGTTGATAAATCACGTTTAGGAGATTTTTTTCTTTTTCTGAAATGTAACCCAATACTTCAGAGAAAAAGAAACATGTGTGTTGACAATGGAAAGGAATGAAATAACTTTGGAGTCGAATCCAAAAGAATATTCCTTTTAGTCTTAACATACCCAACAACTCTTCTGAACTGATCTCCATAAAGGATGTCTGGTAACATGCAAATAACTGGCATATTCTTCTTTAAAATGAGTAACATAAGACCTGCAAAGTTTTATTTCAAAAATAAAATTTTGTCCACAAAGACAAAAATTATTAGGAAATGAGATTCTAAATCTTTTATTGTTATTTTTCTGACAGAACAAATGTAAAATTCTGCAAAGAAGGCAAGAGACAATGGTCCAGGAGATTCCATTCTCTACTTGCTTCATCATGATAGTCTCTAAAGAGAGGGAAATGAGCTGGCGGCAGGATTGGGGTGAAGAGAGCTTGTTCTATTTAAGGTTGGGCTAAGACCATATTCTAGCCGTCACTAGAAAATGAAAAGGGAAGTAACGTGAGACAAATCTCTGTGGCCTATGTGATTTGAACAGTCGAAGTTGAGGCTTCTATAGAGAAACCAGGGGGCAGAAGCAGGGACTGTGTTCTGAGGACCGTCCTAATAGTCACATCCTTGGACCTTCTTGCCTGGCAATCTTCAGTGTAATAGTAATGACAGAAAGAATTGGAAAGTAGAGTGGCACAGTGCCCATAGGCATGTGCACACTGTCCCTTCCCACCAGGAAAATAGCCCGTTCCTGTGGTGAAGGGCCTGGAGTTTCTACATGCAGGTCTTCATTACCCAGCTTTCTGCCACACCTTATGGGTATGGATTACATAGAATTGCCTTAGGCTAGAAATCTTCTGTTACAGCAAAAATGAATGTTTTGTGAATAGAAAAAGCATTGGGCTTCACTTATTGTGCTTTATCATAAGCATCCTCTGGCCAGGCCTTAGCATTGGCATGAAGTAAGTTTCAGGAACAGCGTGAGTATGGTGTCACCATACATCTCCTTGGTGGCCCTGGGGAAGCCAGTGGATGTGAGCTCAGTTGGAAAAACAAACCAGGAGGAGAAACCTGATCTCCAGCTGTTTTTAGACAGTCACTTTGATTTTGCCATTAAGATGTGTAAGTCTTCTCTGTTCCAACCTGTTGTTTAAATTGATTATACTTTTCTCCAAATATATTTGGATTGTAGTTTGTCCTGATTTGAGCCTACACTTAGAAGAAAATTGTTTTTAGGAAAGATTCACAGAAATCTGTCCATTTGGAGATTGCTTGAGAGAAGACAGGAAAAAGGTTTATTTTAAGCTGTTAAAATTTTTGGATGCTCTTCTTGCATTCAAGAGGATTTTTTTTTTTTTACTTTCAAATGTCATTCTTACCATAGATTAATTTAAAAGCCTAATTTCTTTAAGGTAAAATATTCAGTTCCTATTTAGAACTAACAGATTTGGGGCATTTAAAAATAGTGCCCTTGACTTGTTAGTCTCTTTAACTTCAGAAACATTCCACCAGTGTGTGTTGTTCCAAGCTTTCACAAGTGCTTGAATTTTTATAGCACCTTTTTATTTGTCATGTGTTTAGCAAAATTATTCTTAGTCATGATTTAATGCCCATATCCTGTCAGTATGATCCTTCCCAATTTACAGATGAGAAAACTGAGAAAATTGACACCCAGGTAGATGGAAGACTCGCTTGTGGTTAACTCATTTGGGTACCGAGGGGTGTTTATGGATTTGCTCTCATTGTGAGAGCATTTCTTATTGGAATTCTCTGTTCTGAGCCCAAAGACGGCATTCCTGGCTCTGAACAGGCATCTTGAAAATGTGCAACTACTCATATTGGTGACTGGGTTGTAAAACATGATGGATAAAGCATCGCCACAAAAGAAAAGTCAGCTCTGCATATGAACTGACATGGGTGGGTAAGCCACCATCTTTTTTGCATATGAAGGACACAGGCTGTGTTTTACAGCAAAGATGACAAGTCTGACCCCCTAAATTCTCAGTTGGCTGTTTAACCTCCTGAGCCTCTTCAAATTCGGCAAAAGATCCCAGTGGTATTCAAAACAAGAAGAAATATAGTTGAGATATGCTTTCTTTTGTGAGATGATGAGGTTAATATTGCTGCTAAAATGTATGTTGCTTTGCAGTGCGCCTACTAACACAATTTCCTTTTAGCAATATTCCCCCATTACCCCCTAGCTTACCACCTCTTCACCATTGCTAAAAATCTAATGGTAAGCAAATTCACATGGTGATAATGGAAGGCATTAAGATGAGTTATGGAATCTGAAGGGTAAAAAACACCCTAGGTGTTTGATAGAGCAGTTACTCACTAAGCAAGCTGAGTATGAGCTGAGCCAAGTGCTCCCTTTAAATGCTTAAGCAGGACTAAACCAAGTCAGTAAAGCAGACGAAGCTCTCCATATGAAAAACCTTTCTTGACAGCTATCAAGCTGTAGCACATCACAGTCATATACATGTGATAGACGCGACCAGAACTTTTACTTGCATATTTCTTCCATTTTGTTTTCCCCCAAATAAGGCTCCCATTGAAAGAAGTGATTTTCCTCCCTGTGGCCGTCCTCCCTACTTCTGCTGTAGATCCACCTATTCTGATGTCTTTCTTTTGTTGGAAGCTGATATCCATGGTGACTTACCTTCCCATGTTTTATACCGGCCTCATCAGACTGTCTCATTTTTTGTGTCTTTGCCAAGATGCACTTACGCATGAACAGTTTTTATTTATTTTTCATTGAACCTTTACACATTTCCAAACTGTTGTGTGGGTGGGTTTAACTTTAGCTCCGTAGGTAGCATCATTCTGCTGGGGCTGGACACTCACAGAGGCCAATGGGCTCTTCCTTTTCCAACTCTTGCCATCCACCTTCCTTGGCCTCCCCCTCCCAACCATTTGCTTCACCCGCCCAAGTCTGTGTGATTAAAATTTTTAGTACACTTGGCTCATTTTGAACTTTTAAGCAATTTTTTAGAGAACAAAACAGAAGATTTTTATGGCAAACTCCATTAATGCCACATTAAGGCTGACATTTTAATTACCCCAAAGTCAGGAAATGCAAAGTTCAGGTTCCCACAGCAACAGAAACTGTCCCCTTGAGTGCTGGCATCACAGCAGATTCTTTCATTCCCTGATTACACAACACTGGGTGTGGGGACATTGTTTTTATCCACGTATGTGGAAAGGAGCACAGCTTTTATCCTTTGATTTTTTTCCTGTAACTACAGTTGAGGATATGGGTCTTTAGCTTCCCTCCCAAAACCATCTATACGTATTATCCTGGAACGGAAGACTATTATAGCTCTACATGTGCACACGGACAGAATTAAAGTTGCTGTGGGAACATTAACTCTGATTTCCGGACTTCCGTGCCAGTCACATTTAAACCATAATGTTGTAATTTTTGGCATGTAATAAATGTGCATTTCATGTACACAGACAGAAAGAAGCATAAAATGTATTTTAAAGAGCAATTAATTACTAACTTTGTGATTAAAAAACATTTGGTGCATGTTCCTTCCCATTTAGCATCAGCTGCTGGTCTTAGCCAGGCCTAATAGATGACATACTGTGTCTCATCCTGTAACTCAGATGTACTTACTGTATGTTCCTGTTCTTCCAGATAATTAATTCCCTTAGTAAAGCTGTAGGGGGAAAACAAAATGGAAGGAATATGCAAGCATGTAAATAGGGTAAGGGATATTTCGAAGGAAATTATTCATTTCTGTGAATAAACCTTTTAGTCCCTGATAACGAGCCAGAAATCTGCTAAGTGGGTGTAGACAAAGGTTTCTGGCCATCTTAGAGCATCTGGTTCGGGGCCATTAGAACAACTTGAAAGCAGATTTCCCCTTGAATTGCAGGCATGCCCACTGGGGGAGTGATTTTACTCTGTAAAAACTTATAGGCTTAAGGCTTAAAAAGTTATTTTACTCTATAACAACTTTTTAGTCTATGCTGTATTCAAACTGGAAAGTAAAAGTTATAGGGAATCAGGTAAGATGAGGGCTTTGCTAAAGAACCCCTGACTTAAAGAGTAATTTTTTTTCTTCCTTTACATTTAAATCTGGTTTACCCATTTGTGTTAGAGAAGGCAGTGTTTCAAAATAACTGTTTGAACGGGTTTGTGATTGAAAGGCGTTAGTAGCAATACTCTATGGTGCCGTGTTTAAAAATGCGAATGCTTGAGTATATATTTGAAACCAGATGAAATAAAAAACTTTACTGAAAGGATGTATAGCTTAAACTCTAGGTAAGGCTTTAAGGCAGACACGCTCAATGAAGAACCTCGTGCTATCCGTTCATTCTGTCTCCTGTTGTGTATTTCTTTTTGTTCAGTTTGGTTGCATATGATATTTAACCTTTAAGAAAAATACTTCAGTTTTACAGGGCTCTGATTTGCTTTTACTTGGGCTGTCTGTATGTGTGAATGTATGTCTGTATGAGTGAAAACTGCTCAAGCAAGTTTGAAGGTCTCTTTGGCAAATTTGACTGCATGTTCAGAAAGTTTCCAATCGGAAAGCTGATTCAGTGTAAAACCTTCCAAAAACTTCCTGAGGCACCTGTTCACATGAAAAGATTGGATTTCTGTTGGAGGTGCTCAGAAGGCAGTGTTTATAACTGAAGATCTCTGTTTGGTGTGCCAAAAAATGAAAAACATTTTGGCCCCAGAAAACCTCCATAAATGTTCAAAATGTATAATCAAACAAAAGCTTCATTTGGATTCAAATGCATGTATCTCAGCAGATGTGTCTAAACTAACTGGAATCCCACAGGAGCAGCTGAACTGGATTTTGGTATGTCTTGATAACTGAAAGAGTTATTCTTAGACTTTGGAAGGACAAAAATGGTCCATCTGTGAAGAACCGTAATAGAGACATGGCAAAAAACAGCATC
Organism: Homo sapiens; assembly: GCF_000001405.40. Classification (NCBI taxonomy): domain Eukaryota; kingdom Metazoa; phylum Chordata; class Mammalia; order Primates; family Hominidae; genus Homo; species Homo sapiens. Next base: position 114,374,541 of record NC_000003.12, on the reverse strand, counting down.
CTCTGAAAGAGTTTATTTATGGAATTTAGGACAAGTTGGACAATCCTGAAAACATTTTAGGGTCACACTAATTTGCAGAGAAAATATAGCCAAAATGGAATGGAATAACAACCACAGACAGTTACTATCCAATGGCTTGTTATTAATTTTCTAATAAATTCCGTATCAGTTAAGCAGTAATAGAGTGTCTTTGGTACAACTAAGTGCTCTCGTTGCCCCCAGTGTTCTGCATTCTGCTTTATTCTATGTTCTGTAAGGAATTATATATTTATCTTTTCATTTAAACTGTTTTTCTGTCATTTCATTGCCAAGTAAGCCCCTCATCTGTTAAATGTGGATTTCCTGTCATTAAAGATAGTCTTTCCCGTTTTAAAAAGTCACCTTTCTGCCTCTTAGTTAATTGATATATAATCTCTTTGGAATTTTTTCGTTACCTTTTATACCCTTTATTTAGAGATTTTAGTGCTTAGTCCAGCACTTATACATTGGAAGGCCAGTTCGTTTTTTTTATTTGCTCTAATTTCCTAGAGTTTCCACTTTGTGCATTTGGGGACACACTTATTTTAAAAAAGCACAGGTCTTGAAACTTTGTATCTTAATCTACCTCTATTTTTTAAATTGGCCCTCTTTTTATAAAACTTATTATTTCCCTACAACACCAATTTAACTGGGTTTCTTCCATAGTCACTTAATGCAGTAATTTCTGGTAGTCGTTCTTATTCATTCATTCATTTAGTCATTAATTCAGTCATTGATCAAATGTTATCAGATCCCTCATTCTGCACCAAGTCCTCAGCTAAGATTAGGGACGAAGATAGGAATAAGACCCCATCCCCACACTTTGGAACATAACGGGGTAAATATAAATGCAGAATTAAAGTGTTCCAGTATGCACAAAATGCTACAGAGCCCCCGAGGAAAGAGCCTCTTGAAGTGGAAAGAGCTCCACACCAAAAATGAAATTAAACTGGATCATAAAGGAGTGGGCATTTGTAAAGTAGAAGGCAGAAGTAATGGCATTCCAGGCAGAAGGAATAGAAAGAAGCAAAACCATAGAGGCACAAACAGAGCGCAGAGTTTTCAGAAAACAGAACAGTTCAGTTATGACACTGAGGCCTTCTTATACTTTGCCTCATTTTAATCATGGGAAGATTTGTATTTGGGTAACATTGTCTATTGTTATAATTCAGCTGAGCTGAATCCTATATCCATTTCAGAGACATTTGCTTTCCAAATATATAATAAAGCAAGACATCTACTTATTTTCTAATAGGCAAAAGAACCCTTCCTTCCACACAGCCAGTCAAAGTAAGAAAGTATTCTGAGGGGGCAAGGCGCAGTGGCTCACGCCTGTAATCCCCGCACTTTGGGAGACCAAGGCGGCCAGATCATGAGGTCAAGAGATCGAGACCATCCTGGCCAAATGGTGAAACCCTGTCTCTACTAAAAATAGAAAAATTAGCTGGGCATGGTGGCACGTGCCTCTAGTCCCAGCTACTTGGGAGGCTGAGGTAGGAGAATCGCTTGAACCCAGGAGGCGGAGGTTGCAGTGAGCCGAGATTGCACCACTGCACTCTAGCCTAGTGACAGAGCAAGACTGCATCTCAGGAAAAAAAAAGAAAGTATTCTGAAGGACCTAGTGATGATTTTGATCAGTAAATCACAAAATAAATTTTCTTTTTATTTTTCTTTTTTGTTTAAACAGGGTCTGGCTCTGTTGCCCAGGCTGGAGTACAGCAGTGCAATCTCAGCTCACTGCCACCTCTGCCTCCTGGGCTCAAGCAATCCTCCCACCCAGCCTCCTGAGTAGCTGGGAACATAGACTTGTGCCACCACAGCCAGCTAGTTTTTTGGGGGGTTTTTTGTTTGTTTGTATTTTAGAGGTGAGATTTGATCATGTTGCCCAGGCTGGTCTCGAATCCTGAGCTCAAGCAATCCGTCTGCCTCGGCCTCCCAAAGTGCTGGGATTACAGGCATGAGCCACCACACCTGGCTCAGAATAACTAATTGTTGAGAAAAGTTCATTCATGGAGCCAGAGTCACCTACAGGTGTCATGCTGGAACTTTGTCATGGATTTGTGGCCCTTCCCGACTCTAACAGTCTGTCCTCTTATAAAATCCTCCCAGGTCCCTTGGCAAGTCTGGTCTCAATGCCCATTGGCTCAAGTTACACTGTGTCATATTGCTCTCCCAAACAGTGCATAGATATGATTATCCACATGTAATTGTTAGGGCCCAATGCTGATTTTCACGGTTCTGTTCTTCATCTTGCCATCTCATCCCATGCAGGAATACATCTTTAATTCTTATCTACAGCTGCTAGTGACAGTTTCATGTGTGCTTCCTCTGTTCATGGCAGATTTCATTATATAAAATTAGTGCTTCTCCATATCTGTCAAGACTTCTCACATCCTTACTTAAAATAAAAGAGGCCACATGCACTACTGCCCTTAGAGTTGGATCATTTAGGATTGATTGAGAGCAAGCATGAGGATTCTTTAAGGACTTCTTGCTTTAAGGAAATTTCAAGTCGGATCTTTCCACCAGTCACCTCACACTAGGTACCATAATCACATACCTTATTACTTCATCAGCAGAATCCCTTTTTTTTTTTTTGCTTTCTTTTTTGCTTTTCTTCTGCCTCTGAATCATTTGTTCTCTCTGAGGAATGTGTGCCAGTTCTAACTTTTTATCAGCAGTGCAAGATTAAAGGTTACCTGGTCTATACCCATTATTGTACACATGAGAAAACTGAGGCCCAAATAACACAAGTGTTATAACGAAAGTTTCCCAGCATAATGAATGACAGAGTCAGAAACAGAACCCTGCCCTTTCTCCCACCATTTATGCTGCTTGTTACTAAGTCTGCTTCTGGACAAACTTAATGTTCTCTGAACAGAAAGGAGTCAGGACTATTCATCCATCAATATAGTGGATGCTTTCAATGTGGAGGACCACAGGCTAAGTATTGTGCAGGACGCAGTTTTATAAACTGGAGCCCTAGGCTCAGAGACTTAGAGTCTTGTAGAGAAGATCAAATAACATTCACAAACAACTTCCATGCAGCGTGGTTAAAGATATGTCCCCATACACAGAGACCCACCGGAGCATTGATTCACTCACTCAGCAAGTATGTATAGAATATATCTTTTGTGCCTGTCACTACAGTGAGTTCCATGAGGACACAAAGGTGGAGAAAAACAGACCCCACCACCAAGAATCTTAAAACAATATGTATCCTCACATCACCAGTATCTGAGAATTTAGAAAGTTTGTAAAGTATATTTTAATCCAGTTAACAGTAATATCTAGGTAGGTTTATTAGACATGGCTCCATTTGAGCTCTTTTGAAAGACTGGAAATGAGGCATCAGGACTAGGTATGAGGGGTTTGCACCTCTGTTGCAGAGCTGTGGAAGGGTGTTAAGTAGGGCCTACCATGAGCAAGATTTTGAGAAGATCTAATTTGGCAGCCTGGATGTGAGAAGGAGCAACTGGAGGAAGGAGAGGGTCCAGACAGCACTGTCAGTATTTCACACTATTGGTGACCTGAAGGGGGCGGTAATAGGAGGAATGGGGAGGATCCAGGTGCAACAGATTTTGTGGATGAGGGTAGACAGCTCTGGGAGCTGAGTGTTAGTTACAACAAAGGCAGTTATCAAAGATAACTCCAAGGTATCAAGTAAAGATGAAAAGCATTTAAAGGAATCAAATTGAATTCCATTTTATATAGTGCCGAGTATGAGCTACCACAGGTGTTCCCAGTGGAGACAACTAACACTGAGTTACAAACAGGGTCCTGGGGCACAGCAGGAATGCGTGAGATTAGGACTAGCAAACACTTTGGCCAAGAGCACTATAAGCCATAAATATGGGAGTAAACTTCAAAGAAGTCTTTGTTGAGAGAAAAAAGGAAAGCAAAACCTTGGGAAATATTTACATGAGTGATAAGAAAGAGAATGAAGAATGAATAAATAGAGGAAAAGAAAAGAGAGTTCTAAGGGATAGGAGAAAAACCAGGATAGTGCAGAGAGACCATCAGGGAGAGGAAGGATCAGCAGTCAGTATCAGGTGCCACAGACACCAACGAGGGAGAGACCTAGGAAAAGATTACCTTAGGTTTTGGGATTACTAGCCTCCTGATTGTTGTCAAGAAAACAGAATCAGATGTGTCACAAAAAAGACCATAAAGAGGGGTTCAGGAGCAAACATAGGATAAATGGGAAAGCAACTATTACAAAGTACAAGTTTAATGTTTTAAAAAGAAATAATGAATGGGTAACTCAAAAGTGGAGTAATGAATATTTTTATGATACAAGAGTTCCTAGCCCATTATAGACTGAGAAAAACCAGTGTTAAGGGAGACTCTGCAATTAAATAGGCAAAGTGAGAAGGAATTAGATCTTCCATTTCACAGGGCAATTGGAATGGTAAATATATGTGAAAGGAATTTGAAGGCACTACCCAAGCCCAGTGAGGCAGTAATTATATTATACTGGTTCTTTCTCTACTTCTTCTCAACATTGCTTTCTATTATTTTTTATGAGAAATAATGTTTTACAAGTATTATTACTTCACAAATATTAACTCAGTTCCTTACCCTCAGTAACCTCTGAACACTAAGCAGAGGATAGGTGTCATACACTTTGAACATTTAAATCATCTTAACAATTTTTAAAACAATTTTTAAAAACAATTGTTTTTGAAATGACAAAGCATAATTCTTTAAAAGCCATGTTCTGTGTACTTCTTTCATGATATGCCCAATTCAGGTAGCTCTGTAATTACTAATAACAAACCTATGTGTTGTTCTCAAGGCCACCTTCATTGTCATGGGACATCCTCAAATTCATTATTTGTAGGGAGGGTTTCAATTTGTTTACTTAAAGTATGCTGCTTTCTGTGATGGTCCAAGACATTCCAAAGGCCAATCCCACCTGTACACAAAAGTATCTGATATACTTCTACTGTAGGATGGTGATCTGGAACCAACTGAATCAAACGATACTTTGTTCTACTATTAAATTACCTGTAAAACTAAATAAGGAGATTATTTTGTCACTACTGAAAATTATATAAACAACCACATGGAACAATGTTGAACATGAGTCTTTATAATTTCACAAGGCCAAATGAATTTATAGTTGATGTCAAAATTGACCTTGAGGAGTTTTTTCCTTTCCTCTCCAATTCTAAAAATGAGTTTCCTCCTACTTATTTATCCTCACTAGTTTTAGCTTGGTTATGTTATCAGTTTTATACCAAGATATTAGACCAAAGAGTACAGAATTTTTAAAAAAGCTTGGTGTGGCATGTAGAATACTACAAAGAATTTCAAAAAGCAGTAACTGAATTAACTTTGTCCTTCAATTTTTTACTGTAATCACGTTCTTCCCTATATAATCACTGATTATCTCTTTGCCTCATATCTTAACCAGGTATTTAGATGTAAAGGAGACAATGAAAGAAAGGTGCATATAAGTTTGAACTACAAAAGATAACTCTGTGTCTAATGGAAAAGACACATGCAAATTCTAAACTAAAACTTTTAGAAGTTAACCCCAGGGTAAAGGATACATGTCATTTTCTCAGGGAAATACTGTAGGTCTTTATAGGTACACCTGACTGGATTTTTTCCAATTTTCATAAATCTAGCCCATTCCATTTTCTTCCTGACCTAAAGGTCCCAGATGGGTGACTAGATCCTGGGATTCCTGAAGTGGCCTAAGTAATCCTGGGTTGACATGCTAACAGGCACTGCAAAGCAGGCCTGGTTTCACTGGGCAGTGATACAGGCAAAGCGTGCCCCCACTTCCAGCCCTGCTCCAGAGCAGGAGTTCTTGACCTGGAGGCCTTGGACTCTACTGGTACCATTACTGGGCCTTTCTTTTAGAGGTTCATATTCTTTCCTGCGTGTTGTTCTGGGACACAGGTTTAAAGATTTTGTTACATTAGGGTCAGAGAACTAACAGAAGGAAAAAGCCACTTCCCCAGGACATATCCTAATCAGAATCTGCACCCTCAAACCTGGCACCCAAGAGTGAACTTAGAAGCAATGAGGAGAGGTCCCTGTGAACATCCCAATGCAGAATGGCTCCTGATGTCCTCTCGGGTCCCTCCGATATGCCTTCAGGGTGGGGGCAGGTATGATAACAGACTGCTAAAGCTATTTCTTGAACATGTTGCTAATGGACTAAGACTGGGGCTATGTGTTGTTTTCCAATATTCAGAAAATATTTTCTCACCCCCATGGTCTACTTATTTGCTCTTTTTAACATGAACTTCAGCCTATGAATGCATTTTATGTGCCTTTAATTAACCTCCCTATGTTTCCATTTCCTCATGTGCATAATTGCATAATGAGAATAAAAATAGTATGCATCTCATAGGGTTATTAGAAGGATTCGATGGAACACTACATGTAAAGCCCTTAAAGCAGCACCAGAAAAACAGCCAGCGCTCCGTGAATTTGAGTGTCGGCTACAGTTTTAAGTGCTTGAAAATTATTAATATGAACTAAAATTGATGCAGCCTAAGTGAAAGTTGTTGCAGGTCCCCATCCTTTCCCCCTGAGAACGACTGAGGCTGAAAAGCCCTAGATCTATGGGAGGAGATTGTGTGTAAGACAGTTACATCCTTCACTTCGAGGAAAAGCCAGTGCCCTTCTTCTTGTCCCTTCTTGGATTCAGGCCTGAATAGACTGGGAAGTTTCTCCATTATCTCTTTGCCTTCTTTTATTCCCCCATTTGTATGTTTTTTTTTCCTAAAAATGAAAGAGGACTAATATGCATAATCTTATTACAAAACACCCCATTTACAGATAAGGAAACTGGGGCTGAAAGAAGTTTCAAATCTCTCTGAATGTTGTCTTCTTGGTATAGGGAAGGGTTAGAGTGTTATTAATATTATAGCATTACATTCTAGTGTTAACCTGTTAAGTTCCTTTTTGTCTTCAAGTGCATTCTAGTCAATAAGAGATTTTCACGCTGGGCATGGTGGCTCACGCCTGTAATCCCAACACTTTGGGAGGCCAGTGTGGATTTATCACTTGAGCCCAGGAGTTTGAGACCAGCCTCAGCAACATAGTGAAACCCCATCTCTACAAAACAGTTAGCGGGGCATAGTGGTGTGCACTTGTAGTCCAGCTACTTGGGAATTTGAGGTGGGAGGATCACCTGAGCCCAGGAAGTTAAGGCTTCAGTGAGCCATGATCATCCCACTGCATTCCACCCTGGGTGACAGAGTGAGATCCTGTCTCTAAAAAATAAAAAAAGAAGAGAGATTTTCAAATTATAGGGAATGGACTTGTGTGCTCTCTTACCTCAGAATACATTGTAGGAGCTGTACATTTTCCTGTGTGCACCCATCTACAATCTGTCCATTCACCTTAGGTGCCCTTTCACCGTAGCTCCTTCCAGCCGGGATACCCGAAGAGGGCAAAACATCAGATCCTTAGAATGTGCAAACTTCTGTGCTACCATATCAGAGAGCCCTTTGCAAAGACAAATACTTACAAGTAAAGAAATGCATCTTTTATTTTTTTGAAAGTCCGTCGGCTTGATGGCATGAGAGTTGTCTGAAATAATTCAAAACAGAGGTAAACTTAGAAGAGTGAGTTTCACTTCCGAGGAGGATTGCTTGTAATCACCCTGCTTACTTACCTTCTTCTATTCTGAAGCAGTCTGCAGTAGTTGGGAAAAGTGTAATCTTAAGAAATTCAGTAACAGTCACTGGCTCATTGTACCTGGTAAGTTTTCCCCGTGCCGTGGTGCCCACGGTTTTTGGTAATGCATGGAGATAATTTCGGACGTCTGCTTCTCTTAACTCCTGAGCACTTTTGCTTCTCACTGTAGAATTCCAGAGACACATGGGTATGGAACTTGATCTAAAAGCCTCCTAGTAATAGTTGCAGATTAGATTGAAAGCCAAACTAGACTGTACACAAGTCTGTATAAATCCCAAAATAGAGCTTTAAAATAATAACTTACTGAGTCATGATTTCTGCATCTCATATGCAGTATTCCTTAAATCACATGTTGATGGCTAATCAACAAAATCCAAAGACGCAAATTAGATGGTACAATATTTACAGAGAAAATATATGTGTAGTTTGAAAAGCAAGGATTCTCAGGGTTACAGTCCCACCCCCATTCCCCCCAGAAATGATAGCAGTTGCAATCTGAACTCTCCACATTGTAACCAAGAAAGGAATGAATATAACAATGGAAAGAGAGAGATTTAAGATAGAACTTCTTAGTTAAAGGAGTCTGGACCTTCAAGAAATATGTTTAAGAAAGATTCAGAAGAAATACTAGGTAAGATGAATTATTCCTTTTTCTCAAGTAAAATTCTAGCAGCGTACTTGTTAAATGTTTATTTTGGCCAGGTGACAGAATTCAGGAGGGCGGAATCTTGTTTACCTTGTCCACTGCTGAATCCCTAGCACCCAGCAAAGTGCTTACACAAATTAGGAGTAGGTGCTCAGCAAATGTTTGTTGAATGAATAAATGAATGTTGTGGGGAGAATGAAGCTAAAATAATGATGTAGTGCATTTGTAAGCATTATGCCCATTTGTGAAAATATAGGTACTAATTTTTTACCCGATTATTTTTTTCATTCAGCAGACCTACAAAACAAAGTGTATCACAAATACCCTCTGCTTTTCATGCTGGGGAAACAGAAAAGCTTTCTTTTGAATGTAAGCTGCTACATGTTTTAATTCTAATAGCAATATGGCAGGTCAACTTTGTAGTATAATCTGGTGCCTGTTTTTGATAGATACCATGGAAATAGATACTTATTTTCAAGATGCTCAAACAGATGATTAGGCAAAAGCTCTAGCAAACCTTGAAACAACAAAAAGGAAAGGTTTTCCCACTCCCACCTCCCGTTACTGTAACATCCTGCACAGTTTTCTGCAACCCCACATCCTCCTCCTTGTTTCATCTTTTTCCTGGGTCTAATCTTTGTCTAGGGAATACAGCATGTGACTGTCAGTCTAGCAAGGAGATAGTTCTTGAGAAATCCACCCCCTACACACTGTGTTCCCAAGCTCCTCTTACAGGAATGGCATGATTTGATCAGCAGCAGGCAGAGCTGGCCCAGGGAAACAAGAGCTTGGCATAGAAATCTTAGTGCCCTCCTGCTGGAAGGGCCCTCAAGAGAGATGCTTCATGCCCACCCTCCCTCAACTGGCTGGACAGTAGATGGATGTGTAGGAAAACAAATTCCTGGCTGAATGAATAGAGGATTAAATGAATGAGAGATGAGTTCACTCCTCCAGAAGTCCCCGCCATCCCACTTGAATAGAAAGGCTAACTTTGAAGCCACTCTGTTCTCCATGGCACTATTTTATGTATACTCAGCTTTGGAATATGGTTGCCATCTGCTGCCAGTGCTTAGGACTAAGGAAGTATTGGGGTGGGTAGGAGGAGGCTGGGAGGGAAGAAAAGAGACACTTAAAATGAGCTAATGATCTCCTTTGTGTTAGAGCCTAGGTTTCAGAACATCAATCCTGTACTTCAAGAACAAAACACCAGTGTGTCTTAGACCACACCAGGCGCCGGCACATCAGATAAAGCCTGTGCTGTGTGGTGTTTAGCCACCGAGCCTAGAGAAGTTCTAAAAGTGAAATTACAGGTGCAAACTGAGGAAACTAAAAGGAGAAAAGGCCAAGGGTAAAATACAATCAGGAGGGCTCTGCCGATATGTATCTTTGGGGCTACAGTAGTTGAAAAATGAATCTACTAATTAATCAGTTGGATAATACTATAAAAGCAAGGAATTTAAGGATCTTTAGAAGAAATGAGACACTTTTCCATACACTCTGAGCATATTGTGAGCCTTTAGTATAATCTCAGGGTGAAAGTGACCTGGCTATTGTGTATTGCTGTAGACGTAACTGTTGATTAAGTGTTAGAGATTGCTGTACTAGAGGCATGCATGGTGGTCCTTTAAAAACAGAAAAGGCTGTTAAGCTCAGCTAGTAAGACAATCGAACATATCTGAACGGCAGAGAATAGCTCATAGAGCTTCCTAGCTTCCCTGATGTTGTTTGCATAAATTGTTGGGGGATGTTTGTTTGTTTGTTTGAGACAGAGTCTCACTCTGTTGCCTAGGCTGGAGTGCAGTGGCATGATCTCAGCTCACTGCAACCTCCGCCTCCAGGGTTCAAATTATTCTCCTGCCTTAGCCTCCTGAGTAGCTCGAATTATAGGCATGCGCCACCATGCCCAGCTAATTTTGTATTTTTAGAAGAGACGAGGTTTCACCATGTTGGCTAGGCTGGTCTCAAACTCCTAAACTCAAGTGATCCACCTACCTCAGCCTCCCAAAGTGCTGGGATTGCAGGTGTGAGCCAACATGCCTGGTCAAATTGTTGGTTTTGACACAAAATCATATTGATAATTTATGTACTGAAATAACATGCCAGAGAATAGTAATTAAGCTGGGGATGTATGCTAGTGAAAAAAAAAATATTACAGTGAAGTTTATTTTGGGAAAGGATTAGCTAATTGGCTAGGCATGACATTTGAAGGCCATGTACTGTTATGTATTCAATAGTAGGCCTGTATCTTGAATTGGAGGAAGGCTGAAATTTCTTTTTGCAAGGGAAGAACCTCATCAGCGATGTATATAAGTATAAATTTAGAGACAATGACAATCCTAGAAATGCAAAATACCACTTTAGGGAGCAGTAAGTGATTGCTGAGCAGTGTGTCAGACTCAGTGTCTGAGAGCAGCAAATCAGAACATATTTGTTGGCTGTGTGAGCTCTGGCCTTGACTACTGTCTTCCAGCAGGAACAAGTCATATACAACTGTGACTCAGCCTCAATTAGAATACTAGTAATGCCCTAAATCTATCTCATGTACAGTTTCTCTTCCTAGGAACCTTGTGTGCCTCATATTCTATTTGTCCCTACAACATCCCTGTGAAGCATACACACCTTTGTTTTACAGGTGGGATAACAGGTCCATAAAGGAATAGTTTAATTCTTTGTCTTCAAATGTGAAATGATTGATAATCAGTATACTGACCCAGCTCATTGTAATGTTTTTCACATTATTTCAGGTTTCCTAGGCAAAGGACATATTTTATCTTCTCATTATTATTTTTAATTAGTTTTCAGAAAAGGTGAGATAAAAACAGAATCTAACAAATATCCCATAGAGATATTTGGTGTTCTCTTTTCTTTCAAGAATAAATTAAGACCTTCTCTGCTCCTCTCTGCTGGCTCTCTCGGCAGATAGTCAAAATCCCATGCCAATTTTCAAATGAATAAGGGATCATTCTAATAGCTGATCACAGTCCCCTCTGTTGAGGAAACAGCCTTTAAAATTCATGTCTGGACCCTGAATAAGTTACTCTTGGTTATAAACTTTTAACAGTTTGACCTGAAGGTTTTTAAACTGTACTAATATATAACCTGCTTGTGAGTTCAGCAATAAATTTATCCCCAGTATGTGAAGGGCCAAAGAGAAAACTAGTGTCTTTTATTCTCTCCAGTGACCTTCACTAAATATTGCATATTTACTTTGTAAATGAGGACACCCAGTGGCCACCAAGAGAAAATATTCTAAACAATCCTTGACACTACTGTTAATGTACATATAAATACCCTGTTATCAATGCTGATTGATAGATATTTCTGTAACATCTGTTACCAAGCAGGTTAGCTTCCCTAACATAGGCAAAAGTGATCGGAGTTTGGCCTGATCATTTTTCTATCACATCATAGATTGGTCATCTCTTCTTATTTTTTATTACAAAGTATGGCTTAGCTTTGGGTTCCACTGAATCCTCTGTTGACAGGGGGACCCAGTGAGCTGTCTCTCTGGGGAAATGGAATCAGGGAGACAGAGACAGCATGGCATGTATCAGAAATCATAAATGAATGAGCAGAGTTTGTGGGCAACTCAGTGAACACATAAAACAATTGCTTGGACTTTAAATTCTATTGAAAATAGAACTGTGGGTAGGTAGGGAAATAAAGGACAAGAAGAAGAGCATTACACAGAACTTCAGGGGCAAAAAAGCCCTGTCAGGACCATATCACATAGACATATCTCAGAGTAAATGTGCGCCCTGAGGTTCCCACTTGTTTGTGAAGTGTAGCGAAGAGCTGACCAAACAAGCACTCACATAGAACCCACACATTATAAAGAAACATGCTGGGCACAATGAGGGATCCAGTTACATATTTGTAGTTGTCATTGTAGTTGTGGTTATAACAAGACAAGATACTAGCCTTTGGGAGGCTTTGAGTCTTAGAGAGATAAGACAGACACAAATGAAAAAAGAAACAATAATATATTGGTAAGAACTAACTTAGGTGCTACATGTATAGGAAGTTCAGGTGAACTTCCCCAACACTCCTCAACATTCAGGTACAAAAAAATTCCCGTATTTTTCTAAAGAAAATTAAACCTGAGGCCCCTGTCACCAAATTCGCAAGAAATACAGACAAGTTTTGGGGCTCCCTTCTCATCCCTAGATTGGTACAAGACTCATTAAATCTAAGTCCTTAGTCCATGATGGTCTCCAACATTGACATTGCTTGACCACCCCACAAAGATGCCATTGAGCCTCGTCCTTCTGACTGCCAGCACTACTGCACTAGCTGGGTTTACAGATGCCCTCCACAGTGGTCCTTGCTGTTGACCATTGGCCCAGCCCCCAGATGATCACTGTTCCTCTCAAAGTGGTGCCTTTTTATGTCCAGCCTCCAGAAGTGTGCCAAGCAATTACCCCAACTGGAGCTGTATGCAAGTAGAGACCTTGCTACCTTCTGCATTTGAGGGAAAGTGGATTGTTTTTCTCTCCAGTAATGCTATCCAATTCTCTAACTCCAAAGCATCAATCAGCCTCACTCTCCTTACCCATTCTGGGTTAATAATTCATTTTAGAGAACAGACATTAGGAAAGAAAACTCTTTGTTTTATGGTTTATTCTTTAGGGCTTAATGGGCTCTGAAACCACAACTCCCTGAGGCAAAGGAGCCTATAAAGTATACAAAAACCTGGCCATTCATTCCTACAGGTGGAGGAAAGGGGAGATACCTTCTCATTAAGAAAGTTTTCTAATTCAGTGAGAACAAGCCAAAAATGAATGTCTTAGTTTATTACCTCACCAACCAGTGGAAACCAAGAAAAGTGAACTCTAGTAATCACAGAAGGCTTCACAGAAAAGGAAAAAGTTTGAATAAGGTTCATGGGGATGATAAGAATTGGTGAGGAGAGAAACCACAATAACTTCAGAACTGCGGAAAATTCAGCAGAAGAGAAGTAAAAATGAATGTAATCCACACACAGGAAAGCAAAATGGCCAACCTTTTGGATTAGCACAGAGATTTTATTTTAGAGAAAATCAAATCCAACCAAATCAGTGAAGTGAAATCAGATAATTTGAATGTTAGCTATAGCTATAGGAGACTTCTATAGCTCAATGTCTTTTTTGACAATATGTAAATAATATAATAAATATTATACAAAAGACTATATAAAGAATATCATAAAGATAAAATGCCTACTTGTGATTAAAATAATTATAAAGTATGCCTTCTACTTTACTTATTTACCAGAACCTCCCAAGGTTTTGAGTTCTATCTGACAGCACTTATTCTTCATCTCAGTATGAGCCAAAAAGGAACTTAGGTCCTATTCTTTTTTTTAATGATTTCCCGTGCCTGGTTCTATACCCTAGGTGCGCAGATGAATTTCAGCTACTCTCTTAACCTAGCCCACACAAATCATCTCAGTGCTTCCATTTTAACCAGTCATCCAACAAAACAGATTTACTTTTTTCCTTGGCTTTTCCCTGTTGCTTTGGGATAGAAGGTCTTTACTCCTCAGTGAACTTATCTATCATGGCTCAAGTCCATAGAGAAATTGGCCGGGCACAGTGGCTCACGCCTGTAATCCCAGCACTTTGGGAGGCCAAGGTGGGCAGATCACAAGGTAAGGAGTTCGAGACCAGCCTGACCAACTTAGTGAAAACCGTCTCTACTAAAAATACCAAAAAAAAAAAAAAATTAGCCGAGTTTGGTAGCACGCTTGTAATCCCAGCTACTCAGGAGGCTGAGGCAGGAGAATCACTTGAACCCAGGAGGCAGAGGTTGCAGTGAGCTGGAGATCGCGCCACTGCACTCCAGCCTAGGGGACAGAACAAGACTCCGTCTCAAAAAAAAAAAAAAAAAGAAAATCTTGCATTCCCCTCCTACCAACAAACAGAGATACTCTTGAAAAACAGCGGTCTCATTGGAAGCAACTTTTTTTTATTTGTTAGAAAGACCCAAGGGAAGAGAACATTTGAGCATGAATTTGAAGACCTGCTTCAAAAGCAGTTTCAGAACAGCACAGCAACAGAGGACTAAAGGAAGTTCTATGAATTGGGAACTCAATGATATTTTTTGCCAGAAAGCTTTTTTTTTTTTTAATGACACTATTGAGTTCTGTTTTCTCACTCGTTTAAGTCCAGAGAAAAGTTTTCCCAAAGTCAAAAAATCAGTTTCTTACCTAACTATAATTCATCAGTGTGTGATGATATTCTTTAAAGAAATGCCATACCTGAGAGTTATACTGAATCTTTGAACTCACTGAATTTATAAATCTGTTTTTTCTATAAAATAAGTATATGATTATGTAGAGACCACAAGAACAGATTATCAAGTAAGAAGATGCTGGTTTTCATATACTCAATTTTTAAATTTGTGATTGCTTCTTAAGCAAAACAAAAGACCTAACTTATTAACTGTACAATTGAATATACAGATCCTTCTTTAAGGTCTATTCAAAGCCAAGTTCAAACAGCACAAATTTGTGAATTTAAGTAGATCCTTTGGTTCATTTTTGTATACCACCCACGGATGTAGCATCTCTGTATTTTTGTTCCCCAGATTTAGTGAACAAAGGAAAAGGTTACAATAGGGCAGTAGCTAAATTTGTAAGGAAAGCGCTTTAGAGAGAGAAAAAATGAAACTCCTAAAAGGTGTCTCAAAAGGTTTACAATATAAGAGGATTTAAAGGCATCAACCTCAGATTTCATTGACTTTTTTCCTTAGTCCCAGCAAGTCTTCTCCCCCTCATTTCATTTCAACTTTGGAATGACGGCGTAAGTGTCTTTCAGAATGTTGTCTGGAATTATCTATCCAATTCTTTATTCACAGAGTAAAACTTAATTTTCACAAACTGTACTGTAAAGTAAATTTCAACAGTTTACCTCATTGGAATCAGATGCTCAAAGTATAAAAAATTCATAAAGCATATAGTGTGATAATACTCAAGACTGAAGTTTTAACTTATGGTTGGAATTGGTTTCATAAAGTGGATGCTCAATTACTTGTTGATTGATTGATTATGCCCTCACCTCATAAGTAAGGGATTTGAGGTAGCTTAAATTAATATTCAATTGTTAATAAATATGTAGGAAATGTATTTCTATATAACTACAAAAAAAAAGAAATCAGAGTAGAGGTAAAATAAAGAATGGATAATATAATGAGGCTGGTGAAAATTTTACATAGAAAAGCATACCATGAGGTCCTACATAGTTGCTAAAAGGGGGCCTAAATTTTTATTCTGAGCTCCCTAGTGAACAGAGCCAAGAGGGAAACATGATCAGTTATGATATTCACAGGCTCCACAAAGAAAAGCAAAACACAGCTTTTCCTGAGCACTGAGGTCTGGGAGAAGTTGATTGATTAATATATGTTTCCAATATCAAAGATCCTTATGGATAAATTTCTTCTATTGATTTAGATTTAAGATCCTTTGTATCCTTATGGTTCCATTTATACTGGGGTATTCTCAGTAAATGTTTCACTAATGAATTGGTGAAAATTCAAGTGACCCCCAAAGCAGCTTCATTCATAAGTCAGTTGTATTTACAGTTTTACAATATGGATAGGCATGCCCTCATCCTTTCTTAGAGAGAACAGCAGACTTAACATAAAATCAGGCAAGCCAAAGGCCTGGGCTAACCAAGGGAGACTGTGAGACCTCTAAGGCCAAGTAAAAAGACTTTTCTGGAATTACTTTCTCCTTTGGACCTGTAAAATCCCACTAGTACTGTAAATCTATTCTCAGCCTTAGATAAAGTATAAAGCTCTTATTTTTTGGTGGAGTGAAGAGAGGAAAAAGAAGTCAGGAATGGAAGATAAGTCAAGATTTGGGGATGGGCCTGAAAATCACAGAGCAAATGTTTTTCTAGTTCTCAATTTTGCCTCTTTGTTCCCCATACTTCAAACTTAGTAAAACTTCGTGGTATGACAGCAAAAAGGAAGAAAGGGAAGGAGGAAAATAGAAAGAAAGGCAGTCTCCCCATTACAAGTGCTATAGATCTTGCAAGTAAACTATTTTTTTGGCTGATTAGATGTGTATATTGAGTTTATATTTATTTTTTATTCAAATTATACCACAATATCTAATTTTTAACAGTCAAAAGATGTTAAAGGGTGTTTTCTAATTCTTCTGTGGATTTGTCTTAACTGTCAAAAGGGACTTACTCTGAGTAAAACAAAGTTTGCTAAATAATAGTTAGCTTCAACAGTTGTAAACTATATGTCTGTCATAATCCAGATTTCTGCTAATATTAGTAGTTACCTACATTTCTCTCTTCCCTTTCAATCTTTTTAAAAAATATTTCTCTTCTGAAAAGTAACTTTTCTCATTTTGGCCAAGATTGTTTGCTTTCTCATACAAAATAGTATCAGCTCAACTTAAGTAAATGGAAAATATCAGTTCAACAGACCTTATGCATCAGAGTAATGCAATCACAAAGTTTGCATCAGTTTTAGAAGCTTTGATTATGGAAAGTAGTTACAAGTATTTTAAAGAGGGATGCCTGAATCTCAATCCACAGCTCTTAATTTGGGGAAAACACAGACCCCTTTGAGATTTTGATGAAAGCCACTGACCTTATTCCTATAAAAGTATAAACATGTCCATTTATAAAAACTATACATACCCCCCAAAACCCAAACATAAAACCAAGGACCTTTAAATACTTTTAAGTATTCTCTAGAAATGTTCTATGAATGAATAAAAATTCAGGTAATATTAAAGGCATACCCAATTACAGTATTGGGATCATAAATAGAATGGTGTTGTAAATACTGTAAACAAGTTAGTAATTTTTAATCTTTGTCTAGATAAAATAATAAGTAGTGACTAAAAAAGCACATCCAGCTAGTCCCCAACTTTCATAGGTAGCCATTCCTGCAAACATGTTTGAAAGTCAAATTTCTGCAAGTTCGAAGTCAAATTTCTGCAAATTTCAACAATTGATATATGTTTTATGTGAAGAATTCTGTTACCAATGGCTAAAAAAACGTGCTGAAATCCTTGATGGTTCCTCCACACTGGGCTTAGACAATCTGGAAGATAGAGGAGAACCTTTATTGGGAGATGGCCCAAAACACCCCCCTTTTCACCCAAGAATGGGTAAGTAAAACTGTACAGCTCGCCCTCCCATAGGCTGATGACCCTCCCTAGTCTCACTACAGAGGTAATAGCAGCTGGGATATGCTAGGTATATAGAGCCAAGATAGGAGAAAGAGATCTTGTCTGCTTGCTGCCTTCCACTTGCATGTGTGATTTCTCCAGTGCTCCCAGCCACCTCCCAAGACTGTGATGATACTAATGAGATAGAAAGAGAGAGTGGGGTGGTGCAGAGTCATTTGCTGTGGATGGAACCTGTTAGCAAGAAACTACTATACCTCCTATAGTGCAGGGATTCAGCAGGACTCCCTTGGCATATATGAGGAGGTAAAGTACATGTAACTGAAGTCTTACCCCAGGCAGGGGGTTTGGAGAATAAGGGGGCTCAGTCACCAAAATACATCCCCCCTTTCTCCAGAGATGACTGGCTCTTTCCTAGTGTGACTAACTTGGCAAGCTGCACCCTGTTTCATGTGCAAGACCCACTAACCTCATCTGGTGCCCCAAATTGAAAGCTCAAGGGCTTTCTGGCCCTGCCACTTGACTTAGGCTTATTAACTGGACCGAAATTTATATTGGTTTTCATTTGAGAGCTGATGTTTCCTTCCAAGTCCAGAGACTTCAAATCCCCATCCCCCTCTGTAGCATCTTACCCTTGCACTAGTCTCATTTTATATATCCTTTTGCTCTCCTGATTGAGAAAGAACTGGATTTCACACCTAATTAAAAGAGATTGTATTGCCTGCTGTTTCCTTTCTTGCTCATTTTCTCTTGTGAGCAGGCAGCTTTTTATTCTCATGCTAAGTCCTATCCCTGGACCCCTGCAGCTTAAGGGACAGGCAGGAGCAACGTTCCTGCAAAACAGAGAGTCAGGCCCTCTATCCCCAATTCCCCACAGGCAGATTTTCCCTTCGGTACTCACCCCTGCTTTAGCCCCGTCTGTGTTGTGCTCTCGCAGAACAGTCTCTTAGAATACATGATGACTTTCATTACTGCAATTCCTTCCATGTTTTGAGGGAATGCCATCACAAGCTGACTCTGTATTTTTACTCTAGTAAAAAGGAGGTAAGTTATTATTTTAAAACACAGAGAACTATTTTTATCACTATTTCATTTTGCCATCAGTTTTGTGTTCATAACACTGTGCATTTTTTATTTTGGGTGGGGAAGAATCCCCAAATACACATGATCACATAATCTATGTAAAGTTTTGTGGTTTTGTACAGTTGATAGGGTTGGGGTTTGGGTGTGTGTGTGTGTGTTTTTTTTTTCTTGAATAGCCCAAATGCCTATTCAGTGCCAATCTAAGAAAGAATAGAGTTAGCATTTTCACACCATTCCTTCCTATACACTCCCTGAATAACCATCTAATCAAGATTTGTTTTCAATGGGGGACAAATCTTCTACAGTAGAGTATTTCAGATTTATTCCATTGGAATCTATACATTAATGCCCATTGGATGAAAAGGACATGCTCACAAAAGCCTGGACTTTGCCTTGCTGTGGCAGAAACTTTTTCCCACTGTATTAGTGTTAAAAATAAAAGAAAGCCTGGGAAAGGAATTGCCTCAGCATTGTGTGCTGGAGGAATGAGGCATGCTTGAATGGGGAGGCAGGGTCCCCCTTCGCATCTGTACTCATATCAGCAAAAACGATTCAGCTTTTCATGGCTGTTCACTGCAGTGTGGGGCCAGTGTACTCAGGGAGATATTTAAGAATTGTGTGTATAAAATTCAACCAGGCATGTCAGATCAGGTTGTGTACGTGTGCAGGTTTAGGTTTGTCTCTGTGGTTTTTAATGAAGTTGGTGGCAATATTATCGCAAGAGTCTTAACTCAGACTATTCAGTAGATAACTTGATTGTTTAGATGAACAAAATTTGCAATCCAATCTGGTCAAACAGTTTGGATTTTTCTCATGGAATTGTGTGTGTGTGTGTGATTATCTGTGTTCATTTCTTATCTCTAAAGCAACCTTCATCATTACTTTCAGTGTCTTTCTTTTTTCTCTGCTGAGAATTAAGATAACTCTCGATCTTTGGGCACTTCAAGTTCCATTCCTCAGTGATCCACTGTTATGCAGTGGAAAAAGCTTTAAGAGGCATAGTTTCTAATCCCAACACTGCCATGTGCTACTGTGCAAAACTTTGGGCAAGTCATTTAGACATTTTGAGAGCCTCGACTTTCTCTTATATGAAATAGCAATAATAAGACTTGTCCTGAAGGGCTGGGCACAGTGGCTCATGCCTGTAATCCCAGCACTTTGGGAGGCCGAGGCGGGCAGATCACCTGAGGTCAGGAGTTTGAGACCAGCCTGGCCAACATGGTGAAAACTCATCTACTAAAAATACAAAAATTAGCCAGGTGTGGTGGTGCATGCCTGTAATCCCAGCTACTCGAGAGGCTGAGGCACAAGAATCGCTTAAACCCAGGAGTTGAAGGTTGCAGTGAGCTGAGATTGTGCCACTGCACTCCAGCCTGGGCAACAGAGCAAGACTCTGTCAAAAAAAAAAAAAACAAACAAAACAAAACAAAAAAAAACCTGTTCAGAACACACATAGGATTGTTGTAAGGAATAAATGAGATGTTACATGTAAAAAAGTTGTATACACAGTCAAACACTACATGGATACTAATTATTGTGATAATTGTGATAGGGCTACTTCCCAGAATTATCTGAAAGAAAACTGTCATATATGACATCTCTAGTGTTATTGTTGTAACTAATGTTATGAGCAAATGTATGTTTAAAGAGTGTTTTCACTTGTGTAGAAAAAAATGTTGTAATAAATCCATCCTACACAGAGATGATCACAGACACAACCAGTTTTACTGCTTATTGTTTTACTTAAATGAAAGAGACCTTGGTTATAGTAAAATTGTATATAGAAAATCCTAAACCATAGTGCCAGTTAGTTGTCTTACTTCTTGCACTGTGACATCTAAAAAAATAAGTCCTTTAAGTTACACAACTGAGGCTATGTCAAAGCATCACAGCCTAAAAACATAAAAGCCACACTAAATCACGGATAGGTATAGAAGTAGCTGGAGGTAGTAGTGGACAAAGCCTTTCACACAGCTTTACAACAGAGCCGTGGATCCCTAAGGGCCAGACCTCAGTAAAGGGCAAACTATGCAATATAATGAAGCAGTTAAGAGGGTGAACTCTAGAGCCAGACTGCCTGGGTTTAAATGCCAGTCTACCAGCAATTGCCTGTGTGTACTTGAGCAAGTTTCTTAGTTTCTCTGGCCTCAGTTTCCTCATCTGTAAAATGGGAATAATATCATCTACTTCCCATGGTTGCTGTAAGATTAAATGAAATCATATACAGAAAGCAGTTAGAACTGTAACCCCTAAAAAATGTTATCTTGTGATTACTATCATGGTATGTATGTATGGCGAACTCAGCAAGAACTTGAAATTTGGTCTGCTGCTGATTGAGCTCCTGAACAGCCCTTCCTGGGTTATTTGTGCCTTCTTTTGGGGCCATATTTTGTGTTCACATGGTTACAGGGGATTTACCTTAATTCTTTAATCTGGCAAAGAGAACTTGTCTTATATAAGTAAAAACGATGGAATCTGTAGCCTAATACAATATTTTAGGCACATAACAGACCTGATAGAGTCAGAACGAGAAAGAATGCTCTTATACAAATTAGTGCAAATTGTATTATTGAACATTTATTAAGTTAAGCTCATACCATGTGAGGGTGATTGAGTGAAGCAAGGTAGAAACGCTCATTGAACTCAGAGTTTCCTGAACAAGTCTTCTATCGCAAGGTAGAGCGGAAAGAGTTTGAGGAGGTAGGCCTTCTTCCTATCTGCAGGCTGTTACCTCTCAGGTGGCTTCTCACAAGACAGAGAGATTTGGGTCCAGGCCAACAATCAGTGCTTGGGCCATTTGGTTTTGAAAGCCCACTTATTTCACTTTCCCAAGCTGATTGTTCAGTTGTAAAGGCAAGAATGGGGAATCTGATTGAAGAATTATTTGGAGGGGGATTCTCTAGAGCCATCTGAGAGATGAGCTAGAAAAATAGAAAAGCCCTAAGATCTACTGCTGTAGCCACCTGTTTTCTTTCTCATTCTGAATCCAAATCTTATCAATAGTATCCCTTGCCATAACAGCCTACGTTATAGGGTGGCGCTGGGTCAGGCTATCCGCAGCCTCCACATAGCTGTTGCCTTCCTCCTGGGAGCTGTTTAATACTTCCCTGTGGCAAGTACATAAAGCACCCTATTACCCAAGGAGATCATATATCCCACTTCTGGCTTACTCCTGCTATCCTGGCCTAATTATTAACAATGCTCTCTTTCACTCTTGAAAGTGCCCTGTTTGCATAATAAATATGATCACCAATGTACTGTAGTCTCCTGGGTCAGAACTGCCATCTCTGACCTTTTTAACATTCCTCCTTCATTAAGCCTCAGAAAATTCAGAAAACCTTCCATATCACATGCAACCACCCTAGAAAGTGCTCAAACAGGTTGTCAGAGATGACAAGAAGAATGAGTAGATACAGAAAGCAGCCATGGAGTGCCCCTTTAGCTAGCAGATTGCTTTCTGTAGCCCATCCATCATCCGGAAAGCATGATCATGACTGTTTGGTAGATATCTTAGTCTGGGTTGAATTTTCCAATAATTTTTGCATACATGGTGTGGGTTTTGATAATATGCCATATGACTTAATAGGAAGGGGGTTTATTTGTTAACTATGAATATGGTCACTGTGTATGAATAAAATAAGGGACTTTGATAAGTTGGGGGAAATGTAAACTTTCCCAAAGAATCTGGGCTTAGGCCTGTCTAAAGTGAAGGCAAAGTAAATAAATACATAAATAAAAATAAAGTGGAGGTTTAGTGTTCCATAAGAACAAGTCTTCCATTTGCCTTTCAGTTCTTTGCTGAAGCTGTAGGAATAGCAGGCAAACAAATCATCTGGTTATTAGGCCACTCTACCTCAGCCGAAGCTCTGGGGAGTTAATATGGATACCCAAAATGGCTGCGGCACTAAAGGCCGGAATTGGAGCAAAATTCAAGGTCCTTTTCCCTCAGGTCATCGTACCTACAGCTTGTATGCCGCAGCCTGTCCATCTCCCCACTTGCGTATGTAAGGGCAGTGCTTCTAGGAGCCATGAGCATTACTCACCTGAAACCTAGGTGTTAGGAATGCAACCAGCTAGATCTGACCCATGCCCTGTTTTGTGTCTGCGTTGACATGCTGCAGGTGACATCAGTTGCAAGGGGATGACCGAGCGCATTCACAGCATCAACCTTCACAACTTCAGCAATTCCGTGCTCGAGACCCTCAACGAGCAGCGCAACCGTGGCCACTTCTGTGACGTAACGGTGCGCATCCACGGGAGCATGCTGCGCGCACACCGCTGCGTGCTGGCAGCCGGCAGCCCCTTCTTCCAGGACAAACTGCTGCTTGGCTACAGCGACATCGAGATCCCGTCGGTGGTGTCAGTGCAGTCAGTGCAAAAGCTCATTGACTTCATGTACAGCGGCGTGCTACGGGTCTCGCAGTCGGAAGCTCTGCAGATCCTCACGGCCGCCAGCATCCTGCAGATCAAAACAGTCATCGACGAGTGCACGCGCATCGTGTCACAGAACGTGGGCGATGTGTTCCCGGGGATCCAGGACTCGGGCCAGGACACGCCGCGGGGCACTCCCGAGTCAGGCACGTCAGGCCAGAGCAGCGACACGGAGTCGGGCTACCTGCAGAGCCACCCACAGCACAGCGTGGACAGGATCTACTCGGCACTCTACGCGTGCTCCATGCAGAATGGCAGCGGCGAGCGCTCTTTTTACAGCGGCGCAGTGGTCAGCCACCACGAGACTGCGCTCGGCCTGCCCCGCGACCACCACATGGAAGACCCCAGCTGGATCACACGCATCCATGAGCGCTCGCAGCAGATGGAGCGCTACCTGTCCACCACCCCCGAGACCACGCACTGCCGCAAGCAGCCCCGGCCTGTGCGCATCCAGACCCTAGTGGGCAACATCCACATCAAGCAGGAGATGGAGGACGATTACGACTACTACGGGCAGCAAAGGGTGCAGATCCTGGAACGCAACGAATCCGAGGAGTGCACGGAAGACACAGACCAGGCCGAGGGCACCGAGAGTGAGCCCAAAGGTGAAAGCTTCGACTCGGGCGTCAGCTCCTCCATAGGCACCGAGCCTGACTCGGTGGAGCAGCAGTTTGGGCCTGGGGCGGCGCGGGACAGCCAGGCTGAACCCACCCAACCCGAGCAGGCTGCAGAAGCCCCCGCTGAGGGTGGTCCGCAGACAAACCAGCTAGAAACAGGTGCTTCCTCTCCGGAGAGAAGCAATGAAGTGGAGATGGACAGCACTGTTATCACTGTCAGCAACAGCTCCGACAAGAGCGTCCTACAACAGCCTTCGGTCAACACGTCCATCGGGCAGCCATTGCCAAGTACCCAGCTCTACTTACGCCAGACAGAAACCCTCACCAGCAACCTGAGGATGCCTCTGACCTTGACCAGCAACACGCAGGTCATTGGCACAGCTGGCAACACCTACCTGCCAGCCCTCTTCACTACCCAGCCCGCGGGCAGTGGCCCCAAGCCTTTCCTCTTCAGCCTGCCACAGCCCCTGGCAGGCCAGCAGACCCAGTTTGTGACAGTGTCCCAGCCCGGTCTGTCGACCTTTACTGCACAGCTGCCAGCGCCACAGCCCCTGGCCTCATCCGCAGGCCACAGCACAGCCAGTGGGCAAGGCGAAAAAAAGCCTTATGAGTGCACTCTCTGCAACAAGACTTTCACCGCCAAACAGAACTACGTCAAGCACATGTTCGTACACACAGGTGAGTGTCACCCCACCTGGAGGCCTGGCAGCAGGGGCTGAGGGGGCTGTGGGAAGGCAAGGTAAGAGAGCAGGTAGAAGGGAAGGTTTGGGATCATCTTTCAGATTTTAAACAGACCCCACCACAAGCCTCTTCTAGAAACCCCAACTGTGTTCCTCCCATCATAAGAACAAAGCACCCTGCCACCAAGAGACACCGTCACAGGAACCCTTTATGGAGAAGGGATGTCCTAGGGATGTCCAGACTGCAGAAGAGAAGACTCAGGTCATTATATAAGCCATATTCAAGTATTTGTGTTTCAGAGGCAGCATACTGTAGTCAGGAAGAGCTTGAGCTCTTACACCCAGCCAGATGGCCTGGGTGTAAATTCAGGCTTAGCTACTACTAAACCTTGTCGCCTTGGAAAAATTACTTAACTTGTCTATACTTCAGTTTCCTTGTGTATAAAATGAGAATAATCGTGATACGCCTTCCTTATAGTGCTGTTTTGAGAATAAATTAATACATGTGAAGTCTTTAGAGTACTTCCAAGCATATAATAAGTGCTCTATAAGTGGTAGCTATTATTAAGATGGTTAAGAGGAGGAGACATTCAGTTTGTATAGTTTGGCTCCAAAAGGTGGAACTAGACCAATGATTGGATGCTATCAGGAGATCCTTTCCACAAAATAAAAGAAAAATTTTGTTAACAATCAGATCTGCTCTAATATCAGATAGACTGCCTTTAAATGGAGTGAGTTTCTGTAATTAGACGCATTCAAGGAGAGAATGGATGAACATTTTTAGGGATTTTGTACACAGGATTCAGTCATCAAGATGGGCAAGATCATGTTTCATCCCTGGATTCTATGATTCCAGAGCTAAGATCTTCTGATCTCTCAGCCAATCCTTTTTCATAGCTCCATAGTGGTACAGAGATATGGAATTCCCATAGAATTGGGCATTCCATGGATGTGCCTCCATATAAGTGAGCACATAAGCGATTGTGATGTCACCTAGATTCTCTTGGACCTAAGAATACCTATAACAGTGATGATCATTATATTTGAAATTCTTTTTTTTTTTTTTTTTTTTGAGACAGGGTCTCACTCTGTCGCCCAGGCTGGAGTGCAGTAGCATGATCTCGGCTCACTGCAGCCTCAACCTCCCGGACTGAAGCAATCCTCCCACTTCAGCCTCCCAAGTAGCTGGGTCTACAGGCACATGCCACCACGCTCATTTAACTTTTTTATTTTTTGTAGAGACAGGGTCTTACCATGTTGCCTAAGATGGTCTCAAACTCCTGAGCTCAAGCCATCTGCCTGCCTCAGCCTCCCAAAGTTATGAGATTACAGGCATGAGCCACTGTGCCTGGCCTCAGAATACCCTTATTAAATGACAAATAATTTACCAGGGAAAAGTTACATACTCGAATTCTGATACATGAAAACAAATTAGTTTCTCAAAACAACCTTGTTTCTCAGATCAGCTAGTAGGAATCCAAGAGAGAAGACATAAAACAGTGAAGTTTAGATTGGGGACTGAAGGGAAGGAAAGCAACAGAGATAGAGGCAAGGCATCAAACATGGAATTGTACAACTGAAACAGAACGTTGCTTAAGATGAACTTTGCCTTCTTTGCAGGGTAATGTAAGTCAGGACATTATGTAAATTAATGTATGTACTTTTATGAGAATCAGTTTTTAAAGATCACAGTATTCACACTTCCAAATAAACAGAGTGACTCACTACTGAATTTATGAAGAAACTTGGGTAGTGGTGAGTTGCTTTGTTTACTTGGGATAAATGTGAATGTACTAATAACCAGAGGTAAATCACAAGAAATTTTCCATATGGTATGGATATCACCATTATTAGGTGAATTAATCAAATAGTAATGTTTTTATTTTGTAGCATCTTATGATTTATAGAGTGCTGTCACATAGTTTATATCCTTTCCTCCCCTGGATAGCTGATTTATAAGCCATTAAATTAAGGAACATGGGGGAGGGGTGCAGGAAGGACCATCTGTGAAAGTATCTCCTTAACCAAAGTTGACTTTGCTGGTCTTGGATCCATAAACATATCTGCTCTCCCCTCTGTACATCTCTTCAAGTAGACCTATCAGATGTAAAATTCACACATTCTGTTAGATCACATAATAAAATAAGTCTTTAAATTTGCAACATAAAATTTTCAATGTACTACCAAAAAGTATCTTCGTGATGTATAAATACATTTCTCCAATGGATTCACTGAAGGATTCTGTGGTTAACCGAGATAACTAGATTTGGACATAAGAAAACCAGCAAAGGATTTGTGCACTCAGACACAGATGCAAAAGCTATAGGTAGAGTCATTTTATAAATCTGAGTTATGCTTAAAATGTGGACTTCAGTTTTCTAGTAAATTATGAACATCCTCAGTAAATTATGAATGTTATTGTAATGGTGTGTATAATATAGCCCCATCTGAAAATAATAATGTGCATATATCAATCAGGCACCTAATTTAAAAGAAGTAATGCTCTTCCCTTTCATTCCAGAATTATTTGGCAGTGGCAGTTTGGAAATCCTATCAGTCTTTCAAGACTATTGTCTAACTGAAGGATCCCCTAACCTAACAAAGTTTTAGAACAATTGGTCTAGATTTCAAAAAGCAAGACAGCCGGAACATGTGGAAATAATTCAAGACCTGGGTTCATTGTAGCTCGCATTTCCAAACAAAGTTCTTTTCAATTTCTAGGGAAAACATAAAAAAATGGAGCCTCAAAACTTTCCAAGAGCCCAGTGGAAGTGATAAAAATTCAAAGCAAAAAGTCCAAATGTTAGTATAAAAAGATTCTAGAAAGCACGGGGATACTTGTAAGAGTAGAGTTGGACTCTGTGTTCCCACCCATACTCTAACCAAAAAGAGTCCTAAAAAAAAAGAATAGCTTGACAAAGTTAAAAAGAAATTTGAGTTCTCTCCATTACAGCTGCTATGCAAACCAATAGACCTGCAGAGTAACTGTCTTAGCAATTCAGTAACTCCAAAGTTTAATATAGATGGTAGTTGCTTTCAACAACTGCAGATATAAATTGTGTGTGATGGTACACACCAATAGTCCCAGATACTCAGGAGGCTGAGGCGGGAAGATCACTTGAGCCCAGGAGTTTCGAGGCCAACCTGGGTACCTATCTCTTAAAAAAAAAAAAAAAAAAAAAAAAAAAAAAAAACCTGAAGAGAATAAATTATAAGATTCATATTCCAATTAAAATCTTGTACTGCTCTATGTTAATGATCCACATTCATGAAAGAAAGTGTTTGGGGCCAGGCATGGTGGCTCACGCCTGTAATCCCAGGACTTTGGGAGGTAAAGGTGGGTGGATCACTTGAGCCGAGGAGTTTGAGACCAGCCTGGACAACTTGGCAAGACCCCAGCTCTACAAAAACTATAAAAATTAACCAGGCATGGTGCTGCATGCCTATAGTTCCAGCTACTTGGGACGCTGAAATGGGAAGATCACTTGAGCCCAGAAGGCAGAGGTTACAGTGAGCGGAGATCACACCACTGCACTCCACCCCGGGCAACATAGCAGGACTCTGTATCAAAAAAAAAAAAAAAAAAAATCTGTTTGAGACAAAGAAGTAGTCCATCATATTGGCTTTGGAGCTAAGCTCTACCTTTAAGAATCAAGGAAGCTTTAGTTGTAAAGCATATTTCATAGTGATTATAACCCAAAAATTTAAAGTAGAGGCATAAATGAAAGACGATTGTACTGTAATTAGATGATTTGGATCCAGTTTTGTTTCCTCTAAATGCCTGTGTGTCCTTCAACAAATCAGTTAATTTCACAACTGTCTATTTCTTTGAGTTTAAAATAAAAATGATTTTTTCTGCCTTTTGATGTAAACGTATGATGCATGTGAGAGCTTTTCAGAAGAGGCAAAGTGTTACTTAATTAGAAAAATTAAAAATCCTCATCATTATTACTTTTCGCCCCTACTACCCAGGAGACACTTAGTTTCTTTGCTCTATTTCCTGTCTCTGAATAATACATGCTTGACATGTGTCCTTCCTCTTTGGAATTTAAACTCTGAAACTCCTTTATACTCCTTAGATTGCTCTTGAATATTCTTCATAACAAGAATTT
This sequence comes from Homo sapiens, assembly GCF_000001405.40. NCBI lineage: Eukaryota > Metazoa > Chordata > Mammalia > Primates > Hominidae > Homo > Homo sapiens. The sequence continues at coordinate 114,346,159 of NC_000003.12, read as the reverse complement.
TTTTATTTCTTAACAATTTTTATAACAGTAAAAGAAAATTGCTCACCTAACCACTCTTTATCCACTGCTAAACAAACCACGGAGGACTTCCTTATCTCTAGGAGTTTCTTTCATTCACTTACTGCAGCTTCATAAAAGTTGTGAGAAAGGAAACTAAGAGTTAAGGGCATGTTTGAAAGCAACAGAATTAGAGAGAAAAAAACAAAGATAATACAAACCATCCTGTCAGGGAAGAAAGCAGTGCTCCCCTCTACCCCCTTCATCAAGAGAAAAAAGCAGAAGTCAAATAAAGGAATGGAAATGAAAGGGAAAGACAGAGAATACAAGAAGGATAAGCCTTGGTGTCAACATGGATGTGGAAGGCAAGCAATAGGGCAAATTCAAAGATAACCCTGGAGCAGTGTGATCCCTACACTAGCAGCATGCAAATTATGTTCCCCCACCCTTCACCCCCACCCCAGACATCCTAAATCAGAAACTCAGGCAATGGAGCCTAGAAATCTGTGTAACAAGCCCTGGTTCATGCTGAAGTTGAGAATCAATTCCCTAGAGAGGTGAGCCTGGGTAATTAGAAGAATGGCATCAGGTTGCTTTTGTTACATAACATTTTTTAAAATTCCACTAATAAGAATCTGTTTAGAAAAAGTAAATCAAAATTATGGATCAAAGCTTGATTTTGTAGTGGATAAATTATATCACAGAAACTAATCACTCACATATGAGGTAAGTTGAGTCTTCCAAATTACATAGGTCACATGGCAAATGTATCCCTTCTGGTATTTAGCAGGACTGACTTGTATTATTCATATCATCATGTATTATCTTTACACCTTCCCTTTAGAATGTAAACTCTGTGAGAGCGGAAACACACACACACAGAGACATACATTTCACACACGTATATATACATGTATATCACACTTTCACATGCCCATTCATTTGGTCAATGTGCACATTCACCGAAAACCACCTGATCTCCAAAAACTATTGAAATAAAATAAATAAAAGAAAATTTTAAAATGTGAACACGCTTTCCAGGAGAATTTAATTCAAGGGACTTATACACAGATACATTCTTTTCACAGCAAGAGTTTTAAATTTCTTTGTTTTTTCTCTTTTTTTATTTGCTATAGAATATATTGTACACATATCTGTGTTCACACTTTCGTGTTTTTTTTTTACCCACAAGAGATAAATATTTTGGCGTTTTCTGAATCATATTATCAACAGCCCGTTCACTGGTGACTGTTTTTAGCCCATTGGTATCCTCTGCACATACGGTAATTTTGCTTATTACTTTGAGAAGTTCAGCTATTTCAGCCATGAATTCAGTGTAAATAGACATAGTAACAATAGTAGCATAACAATGTTGGTGATTGGGCCATAATAGTCATATGAAGATAATGTGTTAATCCTCATATGGAGCTTGGACTATTAATTATATCAAGCCAGTGGGTGTAAAGTAACAAGTATAAGGCTTGGAGTGAGAAGGCCATGATATTACCACTTTCTGGCTGAGTCACTTTGGCTAAGTTCTGTAACTGACCTAAGCCTCAGTTTTTCAGATCTGTAGTACTTACTTTACATGATTGCTCTTTGAATTGAATAACATAATTTATGTGAAAACACTTAATTATGAATGCTGTAAAACTATCAAAGCCATTAATATGTGTTATAGTAGCATCATACATTTTGCAGCATAATCCAGAGAACAAGGAGTTGTTAACAAGGGAGAGGAAGATAATCTGGTTGGGCTAGTATTATACTCTCAGGTGCTACTGACTTCTTAGATGACCTTCAAGATGTTAGTACAACTCTCTACTTGGAGATGCTATTTTCTGGGGATGTTAATATCCACTCTATTCACAAAATTTTAAGAAAAGTCAAGTAGCATGGATGAAACTCTCCAAAGTTCTGCTTAAAACTAAAATATCTTAGTTGTCACTGAAGCCACAGATATTTTGTGAATGCAGCATGTTCCCAATAGGCAGTCCCTCTTAGCCTCACAGTCCAAGCTGGCAACAGGATCACATCCCAGGGAATGAACAGAAAGGCTGGCAGGCAATCACACCGCTGATATCTCAGGTGTGTGGGCCCCCCATTTTTTTTTTGAGATGGAGTCTCACTCTGTTGCCCAGGCTGGAGTGCAGTGGTGCCATCTCTGCTCACTTCAACCTCCACCTCCCGGGTTCAAGTGATTCTCCTGCCTCAGCCTCCTGAGTAGCTGGGATTACAGGCGCCCACCACCATGCCCAGCTAATTTTTTGTATTTTTAGTAGAGATGTGGTTTCACCATGTTGGTCAGGCCGGTCTCGGCCTCCTGACCTCAGGTGATCCACCTGCCTCAGCCTCCCAAGTTACAGGGATTACAGGCGTGAGCCACGGTGCCCAGCCGTGTGGGCCCCCTTTTAAACAGACGTCTCTTGACGGAGACTAGACTCTGCAGCCAGTAAAAGCTCCATATGATTCCATCTGAATGTACTTCCATTGTTAATATGGAACCTTCCCCATTTTCTGGTCGTGTCTTGATGTTCCCCATTCAGAGGACCTGGACTTTCAAGTGTTCCTTCTGCTTTCCTCACCAGTGGCCACCTTCTGCTACCCACCTTCTCCTCTTTCTCCTCCTTCCTTGCTGCCTGCTGTCTCATCAAGCACCCTGTCTTGGTTTTTTGACCCATCACTGTACTCACGAAAGAGGAGGGCATTGTACTAGGGCAGATGATGGGGAGGCAGAGAGAACAGGAGAGTCAGGTAGGAACAGTGCTTCTGAAAAATCTCCTGATAACAGCATTCATTGTCTTTTTCACAGCTCAGGAGAAGCCTTGGTTAAAATGAGGGGAAAAAAATCAGTAGAATAAGTGGGTTCTTGCTGAGCCCCCAGTGCAAGAGGTTCCTATTCAAAATTGGGGTGTCTTTACCCATTAGGATGGCTTTTACTTGAACTTTGTGAGCTTCAGGCAGAACCCTCTGCATCTTCTAACCTAAGCAGGATCTTTCTTCCTTTTTTTTTTTTTTTCACTTTTCAGTCATGGTAGAGTTAAGTGTCAGAGCTGGTCCTTGAGAAGAAGGTGATGAGCAGGCATTGAAAAATTGAGAAAAACGTATACTTTTACCACGCCCAACACCCTTGGCAAGGCAGTAAAGGGCACTGCCTCCCCCTCAGTTTCTTCCCTTGCTGTTTGGTTTCTGTGCCTCCAGTGCTCAGTCACGGGTTTCCTAGGAAATCCTCTGTCTGTGCTCTGTGCTGACATTTTATCCATATACCACTTCTTGCCATTCGCATATGTAATTGAGAGAGTAGACGATACCTTTAACTCTGAATTACATAGCTGCAATATAATCACTTGTTTTACTGATTATCTGAAATAATTTTTTAAAAATTCAGGATTGACTTCCATATGCCATGCAAGTCATTTTGCAGTTGGTTTCATTTATCCTTGGTTCCTTTGTGATGAATGGAACAGTTTAATTTTTCTTAAAATGACCACATGCTCTGTACTAAGTGCTTTATCTCTTCAATTTTCAAAACGCCTTCACGAGACAGGTACTTACTATATTATTCTCAAGTTATAGATAAGGAAACTGAGGCTTATAGAGGTTAAATGACATGCCCAAGTCACTCAGCCAAGGAAATGGAATTCATATCTGACTCCTACATCTGTATAGGCCCAAAATGGATCATTTAAAGTGAAGGAACTTATATGACCTTCCCCTTGATGTTATAATTCAATTATCCACTTTTTACTTTGTGTCCCCTTCTGACAAATCAGACTTGCCATTCCTGACCATAGGCTTAAACCTGGAAAACCATCTCTGACCATTTATCTTCACTTTTTGTTTCTTTACTTGGAGAGCAACAATCGACAGACCTCATCCATTTTATGCATAATGTCTAAAACCATTTTGGGATTGCTGTAAGTAATATGCAAGAAAATAGTGGGAAAAAAAATTTTCTTAAAACACAATCATTCATTCCTGCTGAGTGACTGCGTTTCAAATTCATACAGAAATGAAAGTTGTGAGCACCTCACTAATCTGAAAATATACCCCATTTAGTAAGACAGTTTCTGAAATACCTACACTTCACCATCACAGCACCTTAATAATTATAGAGAGCACCTTCCTTTAAGGAGCTCCCAAGTTCTTTGCAAACATTTCTCTTTATTAAGTAACATACCATTGTTCTGTGGCAGGGAAGGGAACAGGATACTTTGTCTTATTTAAAATGTGAGACTGTTAATGCATTCAGTGACTAAGTAGGTTGCCCTTGGGTCATTCACTGACAAGGCCAGGACTAGAGTCCTCAGGGGTTGCAGTCCACCACGGACTCAGGACCACTAAATCCACAAAGGACCATGTGCAACTGCCTGGTCCAACTCTTCACATACAGAAAATGAAATAAACCCAGAGAAATGAAAACACTTAAAAAGCCCAGGGTCACATGGATAATTAATGGTAGAACCAATACTACATGCACACAAACAACATACCTATATATGCTATAGAGAGAAACATGACAACTATGAGGAATCAATTTATAGACAGATTAGAAGAGTGTGAAAATAAAGTCTTCATCAGTGACCTTGCCTCGAGGAAAAACACACAGAAGGTGAAAGTTTCAAACAGCAGAGCATTTTAACATAGGTGAAGTTTCAACTTCTTAGCAGCCAAAATACCATCTGGAATTTAAGGCACGCTTCCCATAAAAGGTGACAGGTGGACATGTTTTAAATGATAGTTGGCCAGCCTATCATAGCCTCTATAAATCGTCTGAAAGCATGAGGATAGCAAAGACCAGCTGACTTCCAGGCATGTTTACAGCTGACAGAAATGTTTCAGCTAAAAACATGCATGACTGTCTCTCTTAGGGAATCTCTTACTTCAAAAAAAAAAAAGGTACCAATGTAAACACTATGCATAGACTGAAGTCTTCAGCAAATTGAGATTATTAGCAATGAGGCTTCCCTAACCTTTCCTGTTTTAATCTAAAAGTAAAATTATCTTCTAACCATGTGATCTTACGCAGCATACTGTCTGGTCAGTGTGCTTCAAAACATATCTGTTTATGTTTGAAAACACAATAACAACAAATTCCTGATGAGAGAAAGTTTAATAAAATGGATCATGAACATACAGCACTTAATACCAACCCTGCTACATAGTCAGCACTTAATACCAACCTTGCTTCATAGTAAGCACTCAATACATGGTGATTGTTTTCATTGCTGCTATTACCATAATACATCAAAGCTCTCCTATTTCATAATGGGAAAAAATGAAAAACAGTCAAGGCATATATTTTAAGTGGAAGTTAGCTCAAATTTTAAAAGACTTCTTACCTTGATGCATAGTCCAAATGTTGAAATATTATCCTAAGGAGTTTCAGAGGCTTTCAGTTTTAGTTTGGATCATGGAAGGACTTTTTTCTCTGAGGTGAGGGCCTACACTGGGCAGTCAGGAATGAGGTGGTAGAGATGGACCAAACACGCAGTTCATCTCACCTGTCAGGAGCAGAGCTGAGAACAAACAGCACAAAGAAAACAAGTCTTTAAGTAATCATCTTAAAGAGATGTCACGGACCCATGGACTTTAAGAATACCTCATGCACTGAGTATTATTATTTACCTTACTGTTTGTAACAAACTTGATCATTTGGTTTCTAAGCCAAACCAAAGCAGTAAACTGAGGAAAAACAAGGGTTTCCGCCAACAGGCTGAGAGCAAAGGAGGACGCAGGAAAACTATTTTAAAAATTGACCCAAGAGTTCAAAAGGCATATGGAAGCATTTAATGGGGGTGGGAGGTATCCTTGTAATAAGAATACCATGCATGTATTCCCACACTGCTCTTGGTGGTCTGCAAAGTGATTTCATATGTATTTTATGTCAACACCAGCACAATGAGGTAAGTAGGACTGTATACCTCAGAGGCATTTGGTGATTTGTCAGAGTGGAGTGTAGTGTGTTGGTGCCCAGATTTGAATAGGATCATTTGAGTCTGATATCATCATGTTGCCCACCGCCTACTCAGCCTCTACACCCGATGAGGCCAATCTGCAGCTCACTACAGTCAATAGAGAACAGGCAATTAACCCTTAAGTTATATTTTAGAAAGATTTCTGTCTAAAATAGATAAACTTGAAAGTATAGCTCTTCAAAATAACGTATTCCTGTGTTGGCAAATATTTTCCAAACTCACAATCAACACATAGGTGTATTTCTTAGACTACTAGAAGTGGGGACTTACCCCAAGGAACCAAGCTATAGTGACCAATATCCTTAGTTCTCAAGGATTCTAGAGCACCCCATGTCTCCAACGATCTTTCTTCTCTCTTATTTCTTCTATTTGTTTGATAATGTTAATGGGAAACACTAAATCCCCTAATCAGGACACTGAAAGTGACCCCCTTCAAAAGTAGCCCTCCCTTTTCCACGGAGTGACCTTGAAGACTTTTAGTGGGGAATATCTGGTAGCTTTCCAAGAAAGCCGTTTTATGGCACAGGGAAATGGAAAACAAAACTGTCCTGGCATCACCATAAAGCAAAATTTCTCTGCACATGAGAGGCTAGGAGGGCCTGGATTTTTCCAAACGAGGATGATCCATTAAGCAATCAAATTTTATTTTTTAATTGTTTTATTTTTCTTTTTTGTTGTCTTGTTTTTCCTGTCCTTCATTCTCTATCCCTTGCTATGTCTCGCTCTGTCCTGCTTGCTGTCTCTTCCTACATCAACAGGTGAGAAGCCCCACCAATGCAGCATCTGTTGGCGCTCCTTCTCCTTAAAGGATTACCTTATCAAGCACATGGTGACACACACAGGAGTGAGGGCATACCAGTGTAGTATCTGCAACAAGCGCTTCACCCAGAAGAGCTCCCTCAACGTGCACATGCGCCTCCACCGGGGAGAGAAGTCCTACGAGTGCTACATCTGCAAAAAGAAGTTCTCTCACAAGACCCTCCTGGAGCGACACGTGGCCCTGCACAGTGCCAGCAATGGGACCCCCCCTGCAGGCACACCCCCAGGTGCCCGCGCTGGCCCCCCAGGCGTGGTGGCCTGCACGGAGGGGACCACTTACGTCTGCTCCGTCTGCCCAGCAAAGTTTGACCAAATCGAGCAGTTCAACGACCACATGAGGATGCATGTGTCTGACGGATAAGTAGTATCTTTCTCTCTTTCTTATGAACAAAACAAAACAACAACAAAAAACAAACAAACAAAAAAGCTATGGCACTAGAATTTAAGAAATGTTTTGGTTTCATTTTTACTTTCTGTTTTTGTTTTTGTTTCGTTTCATTTTGTACTACATGAAGAACTGTTTTTTGCCTGCTGGTACATTACATTTCCGGAGGCTTGGGTGAATAATAGTTTTCCCAGTCTCCCTCGGATGGTGGCCTTAAGGCCTGGTAGTGCTTCAAGAGGTCCACTGGTTGGATCTCTAGCTACTGGCCTCTAAATACAACCCTTCTTTACAAAAAAATCTTTTAAAAAAAAGTAAAAAAAAAAAAAAAATTTCCACTTGTGAAGAGCACTACAAAAAATATATAACAAAATCTAAAAGGCCTACTGTCTTTAAGTACACCGCTTGCAGTGTTTCAGTGGACATTTTCACAATTCTGGCCGCTTGGACTTCACAGTAACCAGTTAAAACTGTGGAATATCACTTCTGGTTGAAAACCCAGAGGAAAGGCCCTGCTGTTTTCCACCTACCACGTTGTCTGATTTCATAAAAGGGCTGTGGGGGTGGGAAGGGCAGTGGGTTCGGTGGTGTGGGAAAGAAAGACGAATGGCAGGCTTCTTCCCCAGATTCTGCCCGGGTCCACACACCCTGGCCCACCTTCTCCATATCCCCCTCTTGCAGCAGAAGCCAGGAAGACTTGGACAAGCAACAAGCAACAGTGGCTATCGTATTTATTCAGTGTCTTCGCTGAGCCACAGCCTCAGCACAATCAAGAGGGACTTTCATGAAAGGCAGGAATGCAGATAAAACAAAGATATCAGAAATTTGCACCTATGTTTCTAGGTACAAGAGAAGGATTATTTCCAACAATCTTTGCAAAAAAAAAAAAAGTGTCAGGATATATTCTTGTGGAAGAGAAAAAGAAAAAGAAATGGAGGGTGGGGGGAACAATAAAAAGTTCTTGAGGCTTTTTTAATTCAAAATTTTATAGAGGGGCAAAAGTGACGTTTACCAGATAGAATGCTGATTTTTTTAATATATTTACAACAGTATTTGTGTAAAAAAAAAAACAAAAAAAGTGAAATTGTTAAAAGTAATTTTTTTCATTTTGGTTTTGCATACACTGCCACCAATTCCTTCTCTTTTATTTTATTTCACACACATATATATATTTTTTGGTAAGTCAAGACTGTTAAGGTTAGCGATACTGCTTCCAGATAGAAAGAATAAAAGGCAACTAAAGTTATATTTGAAAGAGAGGAAGGATATTTTCTTCATATTTTTTTTAATTTTTCTTAATTTTTATTATTTTAAGTATTGCCTGGGTTGATGAGGGCCTCTGTGGCCAGCCCATCCCTGCTGTAATTTGAATTGCTGCTTTGTATTTTGATATGTAGTTCTTTGACTTTAGCAAGCTTAAGTTGCCCCACTGAATAATTTTTTCAACTGATTCATCTAGAATTCTGTTCTTTTTCATGGAAGAGACTTTATCTTTCAGAAAGAGATTGCTTGCTTCTCCAAAATTTCATTGAGATCTTACAATTCTAGAATTTCTATTGACTTTACTTTTTTTCTTAGTGAAACACTAATAGTCTAGAAGTCTTGATAAATGGGGTCTTTTCTTTTGTGATCAGCCAGGAAGAGGAGTTCACAAAACTCTGCCATAGCTCCTCACCCTTCCCAACTACAAAGAGCATCATTATGAGAAGCCTGTTATAGATCAAGATGCATTGATGCCAAAATTACTTTTTTCCTTCCAAATATCACCTTCTGACTGTTTCCACCATGGTTAAGAGGGCTGAATAAGATGATCATTCTTTAGATGACGAATTAACCCTTGCTTCTTCGAAAGGTTTTAGGGAAATTAACAAAAAAATTCCCAGATGCCAACAGCCACCATTCAAAAGACCACCAATCTATTGCATCATACCAGATGCCACTCTCTCTTCCTAGTAGGGATTTCTCTCCTCGGTCCTGATCAAGGTGTTATAATAGAGACATTTTCATTATAGACAGTGTCCTGAAGGGATTCCAGCTCAAATATAGGAATTCTTAAACCTAGCTGAAACTCCCAAAGTGATTTCATTGCTGGGCATATTTTAACATACTTAGGGGAAAGCAAATCTTTAAACAAAGCAAAACACCAAACTACAGTTTTAAAAAGAAGAAAGGAGAGCGTATTTTAGTTTCAAAATTACATTACATTTTAATTTAATTTTCCTTCTAATTTTCCTGTCAGCATTTTATTTACAAAAACTGTGCAGCAAACGAGGGAAAATCTTCCAACACAAACAACTCTGTAATGACTAAATTGGTTTTATTCATATATTTTAGACATTTGGTTAACTTGGATCTTTTTCATAAGTTCTTTGTGATGCTTTGTAAGGTTAGTGTAACTGAAGTGTTTGTGAGTTTGATTTGGTCCCACAGTGCTTAATTCAGTGGATATTTTGCTAGAAGTTTTAATGTAAACTTGGGTGGTTAACTGACTATTAAGTGTAACCTATTGTGATTTCTAAGAGGAGTCCTGCCAAGAACTGTATGTCCAAAACTGATCTGTTTTAACAGTTAGTGAGGAACAGCTTCCGAGATAAAGTAAGTTCATTTTTCTATTGCTAATTTTGCTTTTTAAAATAGCAGTGTTGTAAGACTAATATTTCCACTTACCACCAATAGAGGGAGCATTAATTAACTATGTCATGGAATTGTTTTGATATTTTGGAAAACAAGTGATTCCACCCATAAAATGAAAAGAGAAGATTGACCTTAAGAAAAAAACTCTTAAAGCTAGGAGACAATGACATGAAATCACTCAATACATGTTACAAATGAAAGAAGGCCAAAAGCCACTTTAAAATATTTTAAACTGTTTCACAGTAGATTTGAAAGTGTCTTTGTTCAAATTTAGCAAAGTAGGAAGAATTTTCACTAATACCGCCTGAAAAGTTGATCTTAGGTGCCATTATGGGCCACGTGTAGCTTTCTGTTTCTCAAATCTGAGAGAGACCCATTTGCCTTAATGCTGATTTGCCATGTAAAATGCTAAGCAATTGGGTTAGAATCCACCTTTTCTTTTGGTAGAACATGTAGAGAAAAAGCTGCAGGTGACTTGAAACCCTGAGGAGTCTATCATCCTTTCCCTGTAAAGGAAGTGTCTCTTAAAAAAAAGGGAGTGGGGGAGGAGGTGGAGGATCCCTAAAGAATTCTTAATGAGGTGATATAATCATTGTAGTCCATGACAAAATGGACCAGCCAGGTTTGCATAGCAGTAGACATATTCCTACTGTACATTTATCCTTCCCAAATATGTCACATTCTAAAATAGTTGACAAATTATTTTGTGGAAAGAGGAAGAAGCTGGATTGGAGTGGGAGATCTAATCTGGAGGAGCAAAGAGGTAGTTGTTTATTGCTATGTTCCTGGCCCATCAAATGGCCACTTTCCAAACTGACCCACATTTTAGGAAATAAACCAATCTGGACCTGTTTCAAAAGGATAGAGATGCTTTTAGATTGTCAATTCTCACTTTTAAGTTAAACAATCACAAATATCTTTAGAAATAGGGAAAGACATTTGCTTCAAAATCAAAGAATGAGTGTGGATCTTTTTAATTTTTTTTTGTTTCAAGTCCTACAGTCATCTTACATTTAGACCTTCATGGTAGGGTGATATGAGTGCTAAAAAAATTTCTTTCTAGTAGCCAGGAAACAGATAGATAAGATAAAAGCAAATGTTCCAGATTTAAGACTTCTTAGGATGAGTACAAGGAAGAGAGAAATAGTATGGAAAGGACATTTTTTAGCAATTTATAATTTTAAAATGGAATTTGCCAAACAAGGGAGAGGAAAAAAAGTCAAAGGGGAATTTTTATCTCAAGATATTTAGATATGGTTTATAAAAAAATAATATTTTCTACCACTAAAAACACTGGTATTATCTCAGCATCATGGGCAATTTTTCCTTATTACATGCCAATATTTGTACAAAAAAGGCCCCCAAATGTGTGAAATATAATCCTAAAAAAGAAAATAATTGGAACACATGGATCTGTTACAATTCTACACAGGGGGAAACAAGCTAAGCAAAGAAAAAAAATCTGAAATGAAAATCTCTGTATCAAAATGGTTTCCTGTATCTTTTAATTGAGAGGTAAACTTTAGCTCCTAATAACAGTTTTATAGACCGTTCTCTTCCCAAATTCCTAATGCTTTGAATCTATTTGTGCCATGATTAAGTGTGCTGGATAATTTCCTGCTCATATTCTAGCCTCAGTTCATTCCTAGTCATCTTAGAGATCATAGTAGCTCTTGGCCTTAGAAAGACTTGGGTTTGCTGTGTTTAAAAGTCATAAGGGTTTTATTTTGTATCATCAAAATATTCTATAAGGTCCCAAATACTCTTTTTCAACCCATGAACAGTAAGAATTTGTGAATTCTGATAATGAAAAAAGTTTTCCTCCAGGTATGTTTGTTTCACATTCAGTCCTAAAGCCTTGAGCTATGTGTACTTCCCTCACACAGGAACACCAGCTGTCCTGTCTGTGCTCTGCCTGCGCCCAAAACTCAATATTTTCTCTCAGCACAGAAGTCAAAAATGAGATATGCCCCTTATAAAACCCCTTCGATTCCTGAGAAAACATAATAAAGCCATATGTTGCTTCCTTGTTGGGGCTCCTCCACAATGCTCCCAACACCTGTGACCCCTAGGAAGACAGGGAGCAAGGTGGATCTGGCCAGGAGTCACAGGATATACACCCATTCTGGAGCTTTCCTCTGTTGTTCTAGAAGATGTTATTTGATTAGTTGGGGCTGGGAGCAGGGGATATATGATTTTGTGGAAAAGGTATCAGATAATCAAATCAGGTCTGCCTCTGCTATAGCCAGTGTGCTGCTGCATTAAAAGGGAACAAAAGGAAGGTGCAACGTAAGAGCAGACACAACCTGAGATGCCCTTGAGATTTAGGAGAACAGGAGGGCGCCCTTTCTGTTGTGACCTGACTCTTAAAAGAAATCTTCTAAAAGAATTCTTTAATTTGGTAATGAGTTGAAGTCCAGGGTAATGGAAGCTCTAGGGCAGAGAACAAAAGAATTGCAAAATGTATTCAGCACCAAACAATGCTAAACCAAGAAACATCCAATCACAAAACTAGGAAGTTTGGCAAGAAGTGGTTAGAGAAATCTCTGGGCTTTTCCATGGGCAGGGTCGACAGACTCTCTTTTCAGTGATTTCTGGCTCTGAGAAACCTCTTTACTCACTAGAAAAGAACTTTATTTAAATGGCCAATTTTGTTCCTCAGAAAAAGAAATTAAAAAAAAAGAAAAATAGGATACTGAAGACAGAACCATGTGACTTGGTGACAAACAAAAGGAGGGGTGCACTAGAATTTCAATAGGCTCCCTAATTCCATAGAAAAAGCAAAGCAACCCAATGCCTCCTGAGCCTGCAGTGCATGAAGAGAGTGCTTGAGCTGACCCAGCCACCAGGCCTTCTGGGGCTAGACATAACTTCCCACTGGAACAGCAGCAGCCTCTTTCCCCTCTTTGTGTTTTCATGAAGAAAACGGCTGTTCTCTTAGGTAGCCAGGAAATAGATTACATGGGGCAAACTTTCAAAAGCAATCTCTACCCTGGTGCTCAGGCTACATACAGAGGCAGAAAAGGGGCACGGAAGAGCCCTTGCTCTTGAGAGAGAGTATTTTCATATTCCCAAGGGCTTTCCGTGTAGAGTTGCTATTTCTGATATCACTTAAACCTTTACAAGAAAAAAGGCTGTGGTGACTCAGTGTTCCTATAAATTCAGAATGTGGAAACTACTAATCCAAAGCATCATTTCTAGCACTGAGTATCAAGACGATCAGCCTGACCAAAATATTGCAAAGAGTTTTCTAAGTCTCTGAAGATTTTTTTCTCCTTGAACACTGAGTCTATAGCAGTCAGCAATGTACCTTAGCCGATCCCTGGGAATGGTTATGGAACAGTAGGGCTTGTTTCCATCCTTTTTAGAGTGAAGAGATAGAAAATTAGGGCTACCTAGTGTGGGTTCTTTTTCAGAACTATGTATTTTCTCCTCACTGCATGATGGGTAAAAATGCCCTGGGTTGAAACAAGAAACATTATCTTTCCACACCACTGACTAAAACACCTGCCAGTGGTTTCTTTAGGCTCCACCTTTTGCTCCGTAAACTGTAGACTTTCAGACTGAAATCTAATCTTAAGTGACCTCAATTAAGGTATTTTCACAAAAGGCTACTTATAGTGTAGCATTATTGCCTTAAATCAGAAAGCCCTGGGAAGAGGATAAAAGATATAGAAATGAGAAGGCTCTGAAGTTATAGGCATTTCTTGCTGTTTAATAGTTACATTATCACAAAAACAAGCCCTATTCATGATTGAGGACTATGGAAATAGTGACTTCTTGAGGAGGCACCAAACTTTCCTAGAACTGGGTACTCTCAGATAGTGGCTGCTATTTCCTATTCTATTTCAGTGACGTAGGTTGGGGCTGAATGTAAAATAGACATCATATTACTAAATAGAATCCTATAAAATGCAATCACAGGTGCCCGGGAGTACTAGTTTTAAACATTTCCTTAACAAGGAGAACAATCCAGCAAAAAGCTTTCTTTCTCTATACAGTGTATATCTCTAAACTTTTTTTCCTCAGTTTTAGAGAACATCTGTTTTATCTGGTGGTTCTTTGTTTGAATGCAAACTCATAACTTTCAAGTCTCCGGTGCAAGAGCATAATCTACAGATCATGGGCAAAATCTAGCCACAGTCCTGAGAGTCCAGGCTTCTGGGATGCCCAGCTGGGTATAAAAGTCCCTACTAACCCTGTTTCAAATTCAGAGGTTTCTTTGGTTTAGAATGCCTCAATGAGATTTTGATACATCCAAGAGAGAAAAAAAAAAAAAAAAAAAAAAAAACCTTGGGGGCATCTGTTTCTACTAGTGTTGCAACAGTTGTTTTTACCCAGCAAACTCATTGCAATTTATATGTAGATTCTAATAATGAAAGAGTCTTAACCCATCCAGTATGTCACCGCTGCTGTCCAAAATGTCTATAAATGAGTATACATTATTTATACATGTGCACACACAGTGTGAGCTTCCCTCAGCACAAAACTGTTTCACATTCATATTGCCCAGTGACAACAAGATACATTTTTGAACTTCTGGTTAGAAGTCGAAGGTCTGACATATCTCACGTATCTGCTTATGCTTTGTTGCCTTAGTTGGGTGCATCAGTATCTGTGATGAGACTTTAGGGCATTCTGAAGGAGCCCAACCATCAGTAATTTCTATGTATCCGTTTCATGAGAAACTTGAATATGCTTATGTGGAGTAGAGTGCATTTAACAAACTCTACAGTTCTATTGGATTTATTGACATGTGTGCACATGTGTGTGTTTGTGTATATACTTATTGTCATCTGGAAGTGTGTGTGCCCCCCAAAGGAAGCACACACAGGCAGAGGTCCTCGTGCATAGATACAGTTGCCTCTTCCCACCATTGTGTTTAAGACTTGTGGCTCCCTTCCCAGGAAGCAGTCACCTGCCCACTCTGTTGCTTTTTGTAATGTTTCAGAATTGGGAGAAACAAATGCAGCTTGTTGAATCCACAGCAAACCCACAGGGACAGGCTGTTTTCCTCCATAATAAGGTATAACAGAAGTCTTCAACTGGTGAGCAGACAAGAGGGAGCAGCAGTCCAGGGCGTCTCCCCAGGTCTCCTGGAGGTGGCAGGGGTGGGGACCAATGCCAGGCAGGCAAAGCCCACACAAACTTTGGCCTGAGCCATCCCATAGCTCAAAGGTCTTCATTCCTTTCCTCTATGCAATGCAGTGTGCACACACACACACACACACACACACACACACATAAATTTTATTCTCAAACTAAAGCTTCCTAATTCTGCCTGTACTCACAAGATATCATCGTAATTCACAAACTGTGTCTCCTGAAACCAATGTGGCCTTTGCCAAAGTCTTTCCAGGAGTGGGTTGTTTACCATGTCTAGCAAACCAATAGACTGTTGGGGGGAATGTTTTTTGGTAATCTGTAGGAATTGATTGCTCTTGCCCATCTCAAGCATTGAAGTAGAATGCCACTCTAGTATAATATACTGAATGAATGGACTCTGAGGGTTTGGTGGCCTGGAATTCAGGATTCAGTTTTCTCACTCCCATGCCCTTCTTTTACTAGATGGTTTGTTATTTTTTATGATTTGTACATTATTTCTGTTTTACAGAAGTCAGAGGACATTTTCTTTCCTCTTCTATTCTGGTGACTTTTCCCCTTCCCCTGTTAAGTAAGGCTACTTACAGTTGCAACTTTTTTGTCGTTATTACTTTTTAAAATGTATATTGTCTTTCTATATCCAAAAGAAGTCTGTAACTGTAACCATAGGTATTTCTTTTTACTGGAAAAACAATTAGTTGTTTCGGTTTTATTTTTTCCTTTAATTAACAGTACTAGTGACTTTGTGAAAGAATATGAGTTACTATTTAGGTATGCTTACTTAACTACAATACACTACATTGCAGTATTTCTGAAACCTAGGACATACACATTATATATAACAACTCTATATTGAAATATATATTACATTATATTCATTTTAACTTTTGAATCTGCCTATGATCATGAGTTGATTGAAATATTATGTCTTTGCTTATATCACCCATCACCAACCTGCTGCAGTTAATCTGGTGCATCTAGTAATAATCATTAGTGCTCTAATTTGCTTTTTATATTATCAGCTTCAGTATTGTCTTTAGAGGATTTTAGAATTTTTTAAAGCTCAGACTTAGCAAATGTAGGAAAGTGAAAACTTTTTTTGAAACTTTTTTGTTGGTGTGACTAATACAAAGAGGTTCATATTCAAAGTGATCTTGTTTAGCTGACCCACTCAATATCTGAAGAACAAAAGAGGTGCATATGAATGTATCTGTGATTTTCCCCTGTAGGACTGTCACTGTCTATATTTGCTTTTAAAAATATGACCAAGGGGCTACTTAAGTGCCACATGATCTGACCAACAATAACAGGCT
Organism: Homo sapiens; assembly: GCF_000001405.40. Taxonomy (NCBI): domain Eukaryota; kingdom Metazoa; phylum Chordata; class Mammalia; order Primates; family Hominidae; genus Homo; species Homo sapiens. Next base: position 114,329,933 of record NC_000003.12, on the reverse strand, counting down.
GCGTTTCAAAGGGCCAGTCTTCTGAAAAGCGTAAGACAGTGAATTACCTAGTTGTCCCCACTGTATTCTCAAACATTCATTTTAATACTGGATCTTTACACTTTCTTTTTTCAATACGCTTAGAATTATTTTAACTAGTCTTCAACCTTTCCCTGGAGGCAGCTTGGCAATATAGTGTTCATTTTCCTGGGAGTTGTTTTTTTTTTTTTTTTTTTTTTTTTTTTCCAAAAAAAGTAAAACCAGAGTTTCAGGAACTCTTTATCCACAGAGGCTAATAGAAATAGAATTTGGAAATATCTATCTGAGACATTTTTAAATCTGAGGAATCCGTAAAATGGTGGCTCTTGGGTATCCAGCCCTCAGGATCTCCATTTACCTGTTAAAGTGAGGATTTGGTGCCTTTCTTCTTTAGTTGGGCCATCAAGAAAACTTCAGAAATCAGGCATTCTGTCTTCCTATACAATAAATATTTTCAGATCATATTTTCAGATAAGAGTCTTCAGCTTCCCTCAGCTATTCAACCCAATGCATGGAAAGCCTCAGTTGAATAAACTTTTCCACCATCCCAGGTGCCTGAAACTAGTGTCCTTCTTCACTTCTACATTCAGGACAAAATGAAGTCAGGTTTTTAAAACCTCAGTATAAAAGACCCCCTCACACTGGTCCAATATGAAGACTTCTCAGCGTGAACACTGGGGAATTCCTTCCTTTCATCTTTCCTAATAGATTGTTGTTTTCTAATCCCATCCCATTCTGCTGTACCTCTCCAGCAAGTCCCTTTTCACCTTAGCCAAGCTCCCTGCAATGCTCTTCAGTTGTGAAGCCTTGTATTCACTAAGGAACTACGTACTCTTAGTCTGCTTTGAAAGGGCTAATGTCTAGTGTAATGGCAAAATTACCAATCTGTTCTCCAAAGTGTTCCAGCAGATATATTTCTACTAGACAAACATAATTGTGAATTGACTGTTAGTGAGGCTGTTTCTTCTCTAATGATCACATAATATCCAAATTATATCAACTTCATTATTTCCCTCTTTCCTTTTCCTAACCCTTTCCCTTTATTTCTTGTTTCTCTTGAAGACTACTTCAAATTACCTATTTGTCTTCATTACTGCCCCCAAAACTCTAATAATTGTGACCCCTAACTGTTCATTTCTCTTCCTTTCTCCACCCCATTCTGAACATCCTTCTTTAAGTTTTATTTAATGAAAGAACACTAAAGTGAGTGAGTTCATAAACTTGAGACTCGTAGGCAGAGTGAAGCATGTCTTCATTTTAGCTTCAGAGTTTAAAAGTTATCAATATTCTTTTGAGAGTGGGAGGACCTGAGTCACAGTTTTAAATGTCAACTGTACTAGCTGAGGTCATTAATTCCCCTTACCTTCACGTTTGGCCAAAAATGAAGAGAAAAATATTTTCTGTTTTTTTTTTAAATACCACAGTGTTCAGGTTCTTCATATGAGTAAATCACTTTTGACGGAGAAAAAAAGAATCATTAATGTTGACTGTTTCCACTAGTCAAATTACTTGTTTATCAGACTTTAGATTATAGGAATCTAAAGAAAAGAGTAACATTTCAAAATAATTTTGATAACTGTTCAAGCCTTAGTGAGCTCTTCTCAAACAAGAAAAGCCACATCCACTTGAACACATTGTAGGAAAAATTAGGAAGAGTTTTTTTATTTATTGCCTTTTTGAAAAAAAAATCATTGATTTGTTTAGAACTTTGAGCAGTAACTTACTAATGGATGAAAAGATCCATAAAGTTTTGAAAGTGTCTGTTTTTGCAACCAGAGATTGCCTAAACATAAACTTAATATATACTTAAATAAAATAATAACAGAGCTAAATGGATACCTAAAGAGCCATGCAGTGCACTCCCCAGCACCTAAATACGCCCCATATAATTTGGTTGTCATGCTAGATCTCCCTGCAGTGGATTACAACTGTCTGGTCACCAGAGCATTGCCCAAAAGACTGACTGATACCATTCTGGGTGTATCCTTTTCAGGATGCTTATAATATCACATTCACAACAACTTCGTAACACAGTCTTTCCTGACTTCTGGTCCAATATTCTTGCCATGATACCACATCGCCTCTCAGCTTTAATGAAGACAAGTCCTGTGACATTTAGAGTACTATGTGGTTTTGAGTGCATAGGCGGTATGCTTTCAGTTCTTGCTTTACCCTTTGACAAAAAGAATCAACATTTAATATCAGAAATGTATTTTTATTTGACTTGAGATTTGACCCAGCTTTTATCTTAATCAAACCAGTTTATAACATCAACTCACACCATAGAGAACAATGAAATAAATAGCAGTTTTGAAAGCCTTTATGAGGCATGCATCTAGTAGGAAAACAACATCTCTTAAAGGCAATATTTACATTGCTTAGGACTATGATCTTCACTTGGAATGTTCTCCCAATCAATCCTATATCCTTCTTTTTCTTTGTCCATTCTAACTCCTGGTATTTTTTTTTTCTTAAAGTACTCTTTATCTAAAGTAATCCTCTCCTTAGGCACTGGCTTCCAAAGGAAGAAAGACTCTTTTAAATCCTAAAATGCTGTCATTTAAAGTATAATATGGAGGAGGAGAGGCTCTGGTTCTGATAGATCTTACTTGGTCCTCAATCTGGGATGCCTTCTTGATGCTGTTCTTTCTAGTTCCCCAAGAAGTATTCCAACCCCAAGACCCAGAATTTCTCACCACAACCTCTGTGTTAGTCTCAGATTAATGTCTAAATCCTGTTTGATATTCTAGAGACTCCAGGGTGTGAATTTATTATTGCTTATGAGCCTCCTGTCTTTCCAAGCTGACACCTGTCAGGAGCATCAATAGCCCTAACAGTAACTAATGCATCAAAATAATAGACAGAAACACTATAGTATATATTCGTGAGGATAGGAAGATTTTTTTTTCTTCTTTTCTCCAGGAAAAGCTTGCTTTGCTCCCCTCTCCCTCTGCAACACACACACATACAATGCATTTCAGAAAGTCTGCATCTTATTTTACAGATATGTAGCTCTAGAATTTACAAATATAGCTTAGGAAATGTTCTGAGATTGAGGCTGGTAGCAAACAAGTTTATTTTCTGCACTGGACTTCAGGATAAGTGTGCATAGATGCAATTCCTTCAAAGAAAGTGAAACATGGTAGAGCAAAGGGATAATACTTTCACACATTCAAACAGTTGTTTGCTATCTATAAACCTTGATTTAAGCATAATTATTACTTTTTAGAAATCTGAAACTGGAGGAATGTGTATTTTAGTAAGGTTTTTTTGTTGATTTATTTGTTTCCCTTTCTTTCTTCTCAAGATAGTAAAGGATTTTTATTTCTTAATTTGTTACTGTCCATGGACAGTCAAATAACTGCTCACCCTTACTGTATTATTTTCCCCTTAGAAAGAAAAGCCTTCCATCCTACCATGAAGGAATTTTTCCTCCAAAAAATCTTATCTTCCATTTCAAATAGCACTCATGAGCTTTTAAGAGAGAAATTCTCTCTTTACTTTGAGGATAGAACAGTTAAAACAAAAACCTGTTCCTTGAGAAAGAAACCGTATTTACCTAAACTAACAGGTCTGGGGCCAAAGAATAGATTTTTTTATTGATTGCAGATGAAGACCATGCATTTTGTACTACAAATCCTTATTGCCTCCTCAAATCCTTTTTGGAATAAGGCTGGGAATAAATTAGTTTAATTAAATTCTTTGGGTATTTCTAATTAATATCTACTGCAAGATACCCAGGAAAGAAAAGGAAGGGGTGCTGCCGAAATGCCAAAATCAATTGATCTGTTGATTTTTATCATTGTAGTTGTTGCTTTTCTAGCCATTTCAAGACTGTATGTGTTCATGAAGTCTTAAGTAGAGAAACACCTGTTTCCCCATTGCTTCTCTCTCCTTCCCCACACCCCTGCACCTGCCCCAACCCCAGGCACTAGAGGGAACAGTAACAGAGGGAGATTGGCACTGCATTGCCAGTACTTCACCCATCTATACCCCTCCACCACAAAAGAAGGAAAAAACAAATTAGAAACTATTTTTTTAAAAAAGGAAATTGTAGTACTTCATTTGAAAGCATACTGTTTTCAACTCAACTCGATTAACAGATAGCCTGACAACGTTTTTGTAACCTTTCTTTTGTGCTATAATTGACATTCTTGGCTCAATCTTTAAAATAATTGCAATTTCAATTAAGTGAACAGAGAAAAACAAAGAGAGGGAACAGGACAATGTGATGGGACCAAATTTGATACAGGTCTGGATTCCTAAAGCCAGTTGTCAAGGTTACCGGAGAAAGTTAGCACTACTCACCCCTTGTTGTTCTTGCCTATCTCTCATTATTACAATTCAAAGAATTAGTAAGTTAACTATACTTCTTTGTGATTAAAGATTTCTCTTCATGCTGCCAAACACTTCTAGAGAAATTGTAGAAACTCCTGACTTCTATACCTAATGTGCTATCCGGGCCCGAGAGGAGTGTACAGAGAGATCACTGAAAATAAAATAATAGTTCAAATTTGAGATAAGATTTTCCTGTAGTTCAAAGTGCTTTATGCATGTTCACAACTAGGGGAATCTTTGAAAACAAAGGCTAGTTACTCTGCTCTTGCTCTCCTTGGGACAAACTTTAATTTGGAACCAGCTGTAGATTTACAGGAGAAAATTCTCAAAGGTATTTTCAGCTGCTAAACTTCTTCTTTAGGCCCGTTGATTTGAACCTCAGTTTTCCTGAGGAGCCTATTGAGATATAAATTAAGGGTAATTTGCATATATCTAATTAAAATTGTTCCTACACTATTGTTGAAAGAATTATGGTTTTCAGAGTAGATGAAAGCAGGGTGTCTTAGTAATCTTCATCATGGCAAACAAAGGTGAGAAGCTGATATGATAGAGAAAATCTATGGTAACTTGATATTTTAAGGTAATTTGAGTGTGCTGACCCCACTATGCTTAATTCCTTTCCCACAATCTATTTTAAACTACACTTTGATTCTCTTGAGACTTACAGCATGCATGTGTGGGTATGAGCAGACAAGCAGACTTACCTTTGGAGGGTGAAGACCCAGACAAACTGAAGAAACGGATTCCTGAGGATGATCAAATACAAATCATTTTTCCAGAATCACTCAATATTGCCACATCCCAAACTAATTCTAGACTAATCTTTAGAAAGAAGTAAGCTCCTTAAGAAATCCTACTATGAATGTTTTTTCTTCTTATGGAATAACACAAGAAGAGGTACAATGCAGACTCTTAATTTTGCTGTAATAATTCACTTTTGTATTTAATAATTGTACTTCTGTGTGAGTGTGTCACTGAGCTATTTGTACCAATTTTCAATTGATCATTCTGAGAGGGGCCTTGAGAATTTCTGTGTATGTGTATGTATATCTGTATTTATGTGTAGTCAGAAAAAAAAAAGAATAGGAGACTAATGAGGTGAGGGAAAAAGTGATCAATGTAGAAAAGTGAGTGCTCCTAGTGTACCTATTTATGTTATGTTAGGTGGCTGCTGCCTGTAGCCCTTGAGGAATAGCTGATTGCACTATTCAAAAATAAAAGCCCAGCACTGTTAAATTTAGGACCGTGTTTCAAGAAACAGGAAAGCTTTATCTTTTTCTGAACCCATTCCCCTTAGCATTAGAGCCATCTGACATGATGAAAACTATTAAGTAAAAACCACTACTGACCTTTACATTAAATAGCTGTTTTCCTCTTCTAAATAATACCCTTGATTTTAACTAGACTACTTCCTTTTATTTTCTGCCTATTGGCTTAATGTTTTACAGAAAATACATAGGTGCATGCTAGTTTCTCTACTTTGAGCTGAAACAAACAGGAGCAACAAAAGAGATGACTCACATAAGTGTGAGATAGACTGAATTTCCCACCTTCGTAGCACTGGTAACCTTTGTAAGAGCTGTTTAGAGTTGAGCTTTGGGTTATAATAGGGCTTTTTTTTGCACTAAATATGACTGCACTGCATTGCACTACTGAAATGTACTTACTTGTGCTGGGAGAGAGTGTGTTACGTATGGGAAAGAAAAAGGCAAATTATGGAAGTAGGAGCATCACTAAAATGCAGAGTTATTTTCATCATGCTTGATCTTAGCAGGGTTGGCGAGAATCTGTGGAATCTCTGTCAACTCTTGATCAGGCCTAGGAACCACCATGCTGATAGGATCTGTTTTCTTACTGTAAAGAAGCTGAGTTAGTACAGCAATTAAGAACATTTAAGAAAAAGTTTACCCAATCTTGTTTCTGACTGAGCTCTCAGTAAGAGTTTTAACAGTGAAGAAGCCAATTGATATGATGTAGAAGTCTTTGCCTTGGCCTCCTCCACAAAGCCCCTTGCTTGTGCACATTTTAGTGTGGCAGAGGGCAGTAGGATGTGCTCCTTTCAAAAACACATAGCCTTGTCCATATTGGAATTACTTTTCAGCCTGATTATGCTTCTCCATCCCTGGGTGAAACCTAGATCAGGCTAACCAAAGAGGAAGGCTATGCATGTGGTAAAGTCCTTTAAGATGACAGATAGGGAACAGTGCAATAAACACTGAAAACCAGTGAAGTGAAAGGTTTATTTTGAAACAAGCTAGGCCAACTTGGACATTGGAGGATGGATTAGAACATACTAGCTGCTCCATCATAGACTATCCTTACTAAGCAGAAGACCTTAATAGTGCCTAAAAGTTTAGTTTTGAAATTGGTTTTTTCCTAACTTTTCTTTGTTAAATTTATTTTTATTATCTTTTTTAATCTTAGAAGTAATCAGAGTTTGACAGCTCTTTAGTAACTGTTAATAAAAGAATCTTTCATCACAGGATAAGCAATAGATTGTGTGGGAAATAATAACACAAGAGTAAAGATGCTGAAGGACTCTTCTGGAACTCAAAGTGACAGTTTTGAAGGTTCTGGCACAGTAGGAAAGGATCACAACCCATATAAATGGCTAATGTTGAATTTCTCTGAACACTGTCACATATGGGGCATCAATTTGGAAAATTCTCAATTGAGGCCCCTTCCCTAAGATTACAACATTGATAACCTGTCTTTTTCTCTCTCTTCTTTACTATCCGTCCAAGTCTACTATTCCAAGTTTAAATATTGTTCAGAAAGTTGTCAGCCTTGTTAGTCAGAAAAACTCCATTTAGAGCCATCCAAACTAGCATAAGAAATTCCTTAAGCACTCAAAGCATTATCTCTGTTTTAAGTAAGAAACTAAATCCAGAGCTTTTAACAGGTACTTAGAAATAAGTATTGGGTAATCACTAAGAGGACATTGACTGCACCAAACCAAAGCTATAGAAAGAAATGATTGACTTTTTAAAATATATTCACATTAACTGTCCTAGGATACTTCTCTTGAGGCTTTGGAAAACTTCTTCCTTGAAATTTGCATATCCACTCCAGTTCTGTCACCAAAGATTTTAATCTTCAGATCGCAATTTCCTCTCTCCCAGAAAAAAGTACTACAACAGGCTCAAGGGATATGCTTTGGTGGTCAAGGGATTACACTATGGTTTTCCTTCTGTTCACAATGGTATTTACAGGAGACCTTGTCATCAGAGGACGTACTGAACTATCTTTATGACTTTGGATTTGATCAGAGGTTTAAAAAATAGAAAAAAATAAACAACACTACTTGACACTGTAAATGATCTTTAATAGAGTCATGACCTGGAGACTGATGGAGAGAAAGAAACTTCCATGGAAGAGAGTGAGCTAAATCATTTAGAACCAAACAAAGGTCACTGGTGAAACATAGGGCAGCATGTACACAGTGCAGATCAGGGTTCTGTATGGCCAGAGCCAACAGCAGTGACCGGTGGGAGAGTCAGACAACTGGCCAATGAATTCAAGTGTTGAAAAAGCCACAGTCTGGATTTTGTTGTGATTTCTGGAGTGGTTGAAACGCCCATGCCCATGGCAAGGAAAATGCTTGGAGGCTGATCTGTTGTGATAGTGCCTTTCTTGTCGTAGTGAGTACTAGATTAATAATTTATTCAGTTACGCTTTTCTGTACCATTGCCTCCAGTCTTCTGAGGAGGTTTGAAGGGACAGTATCCACTTAGGATGAAGGGACAGGATATTGCTCTGGAATGCTGTGATTTGATGATATTTGCACTAGATTCTAAACTCTCCTTTAAACTGGAGCAACTGACTGAGAGAAAAACCAAGGACAGCTCAAAGTTAAAAGAAACCAAAAGCAGTATTTTCTGACAGATACCATTTCTTTTTCTCCTTCTTTTTTTCCTGGAAGAAAACTTCACACTAGTTGGCTACCGAGCTCAACTCTTACCAGTTCTTTCTCTTTATTTTTTGTTTCCATATGGAACCATCTGTGTGAATTAGTCATCAGTTAGGTATAGTTAACGTAAAGAGCCCCTGCCATTGAAACTTTGCACACCTTCTCTGCTTTATTGAAGGCAAGGGCCAGTGGGCAGTGATAGCAGGGGAGGGACCCTCCAGAACCACCCAGCCCTCCAGGAGGCCAATAAGCATGGATATCATGTCAGGAGCTGAGCTGACATATATTTACTCAGAGGACATTGGGGTCTGTAGCTAATCCTAAAGAATGCTCCGCAACAGAAGGAAACCAATGCATTGTAGAAAACAAAGGGAGATGGTGCCCGAAGTCTGCCTGTTTCTCTTCTCTTTTCTTTCCCATCTCACCACCATGTCCTCTCTAACAGAATTATATTTCATCTCATATATTATATGTTACTAGAAAAGTCATTTGGTTCCTTGGTTTCTCTCTTTATCAGTGGGCTGGAAATTCCTCCAAATTAAATATAAATACCAGTAGCAGCTCCCCTGTGTCCAGCCAGTTTCTCAAATGCTGTCCACCTGGTCTTACTGTCCACCTAACATAACTTGGAGGCTTTGGCTGGCTCAACCACCTGTTCACTTTATTTTGTTTTCATTTCCATTTGAACTTGAAGTGAGGCTATGGAAAGGTGGAAATCATGGGCAAGGTTTGGAGGCTGCAATTCTAGGGCATAGCTTGTCAGGAGTTTATATTATCTAAAATATATCTTTCTATACCCCTTTTCATTTTAATCTGTTGCCCTGATTATAATTTCTTTATATTTGTGGTTATTTTTATAAGAATAGAGTCCATTTGCTATGTCTATTTGAGTACTTTTTTTCTATTGTCCCCACATGGATGCAGTACCAACCTGTTAATGAAATATCTTTTTATTATATTATTAATATGTAATTCTACTGTAGACCAAAAATATAAAAACAAATTTGTTCATTTTAAAGATATAAAGAACTAGGGAGTAAAAGATTAAAAGTTGAAGGAAAAGACAGAAGAGCAGTGGTTAACTATGTTGAGTTAGAAATCTAAGAGTAGCCTTACCTGTTTTTTAACCAGTGCTTGCCAATCATACCATAGTTGGAATTATGTAATCTTGGCTCCTTCATACTTATGTTCTATAATTCTTGTTTGTCTATTTGTTTTCTTTGATATAATTGAGGTTGCACATCATGCTATTCTTGGCAATGCCTGATTCTATTGTATTGTACTTTTGTTAGTCATTTCCTTTAGAAAGATGGGGGGAAACGTTTATTTCTTCTTTTAATTTAAAATTTGTTTAATGCACTGGAAATAAAATTGGACATATTTCACTGTTTAAAAAATCAGAAACAAAACAAAGCAAAACCATGAGGGAAAAAAACAGCAAATAAGCAACAGGGGAAAACAGCTATGAAAAAAATATATTTGTACTGAATACACATACAAACTACATCCCACATGAAAGATTAATATCATCAAGTAAGAAAAATACATAGTTTAAACTACAATGCTGAAAATATAAAAGGAACCTGGTAGTTCAATGGGGATGGAGAAAACAGAGCATTCCTCTGAGAGCAGAGATCTTGTCATTATTGCAATTAATGCCCAAACAGGTTAAATGTGGAAGAAAGTATGGAGGAAATAACCCCAGCCTTCCTCATACCACTGGATTTCCACATCACCTTTTAACTTATGCTTGAGCTCCCTTTTGAGAAAAAATATTTAAAAACAAATTGGCTATGTAACAAATTTGTGTGTGTGTGTGTATATATATATGTATATGCTTATATATATATATATATGTATATGCTTGAGAAAGTGGTTTTTCAAGATGTATGTGTACAGTACACACATGGACACGCTTCAGTCCTCTGACTTCCCATGTGCTACCTCATGTGTTTCTCTTCTCATGAGGATTTGCAATGGATAGTTGTACAACCTGGGGACTGTCAGTGACTCATTGGTATCAGCATATGCTAAAGAAGCTCTTGAATCCAATCTTGAAACCTGATCTCCCTTCGTCAACATTCCCCAATACCAAACTGGCCCGTTTACCCATACAAATGCACAGTAAAGGGAAGAACAGCGGTATTTTTCCTAGCCAACTGACTCTATCATTTGTTTAATGTTTGCTGGTTTTTTTCTGGTTTTGTTTTGTTTTAGAGCAGGGGTGGGAGTGGCTGTAACTTCACAATCCTAATACAGTAAATGTTTTGCATCTTCCATGTTTTATGCAAAAACAGACATTTAAATCAATAAATAATTGTGCCCTAGACTGAAGGTTAATGTTTAGGAGAGGAAAAAAATTGTTGGAATTTTTTCTACATTTTTTTGTGAAGAATCTTTTTTGGAAAGGAAGGATACATATTTTTGTTGTGTAATATTTTCTATTTTTGAATGCATTTTATTGGTACAAGACTGTTTTTTTGGTGAAGACATTATTTAAAAAAAAAAAAAGAAAAAAACTAATCGAAAAGTTTGCCCTTAAGGATATGCTGCAGTTTTGAGGTTAAAAAAAAATTACTGATTCAAGATGCGTGTTAAAAGTTGGGATTATATTGTTGTTTTTTGTAATTGTTACAAGAAGAAGTTTGTACCCACTGCTGTTTATTTTGTTTCAGATGAGTAAGTAAAGGGATTGTTCTTGTTTTATTCTTTTTTTAGAGAAAAAAAGCTATTTATGAAATGTCAAAAACACTGGACTGTGAGTTTAAGTGTGGAAGCATTTTACCACCCTGTGTCTTCAACCAATTATGGGAAACCCCTTTTCTCTTCCCCCTACCCCCTGCCTTAGCCTTGCCAAATGAGAAAAATATAACAGCTGTCAGATTATCAAAGCCACCGAAGCCCTGCTTTAATTTTTATGGTTTGAAAAAGTTGGAAAACCAAAGTTAAATTTGTTTCTGAAATCCTGCTGTGCGTTGCCCTTTTTTGTATGACACAGCCGGGCTCTGCCTCTCTATCTCAAATCATTGCCTTCTTAGGGACTGGGGGCCAACCTGATGCAAAGAGAGGCATAAAGGTGGTGAGCCTGAGAGTTGAGGTCTCACGAAGTAAAATGTGAGTGGGACTTCACCCTCTCAGTGGGCAACCACACTTTCCCATCCTGAGATGAGGCTGCCAAGAGAGCACACTGCTAACACTGCCTGAGGAGAGCACGCCTCCTGTCTCCTTCACCCTCTGCTTCTGAGACCCTCCTGTTACTGTTATCATCGTTCCCTAGCCTGGCTCTGCCTTTCTCAGCAGCCCACATTCCATGGATGGGAGCAGGGGGGCAGGGACCCAAAGGAGGGAAATGGCTGTGGGTGGTGTGAAGGCCCCCCAGCCCTCAGGAAGGTGGGGCAAGAGACCACTGAGCACAAGGGATCTTGCCCACCTCCTCTTTGACTCTGTGGATTATCCATCCATCTGCTCACTGTGAAGATGGAGAGGCAGTGCCCTAAGGCTGTTCAATAGCTTTTCCATATTTTTTCAACATTGAAAAAATAATTTTTAAAAACTGTGATTTTTTTAAAAAATCATTTGGCTGGAGGGAAGGGAAAAGGGAAACACCAAAAGCTGTACCATGATGAACTGGAGATATTTAACTGGGGCACTTTCCAGACCAAGACAAACAAATTCCTTTCTGGACTCTAAAGCAGCCGAATCTTGAGACTGTCAATGACAGAAAGCTGAAGAGAGGCCTCTATTTCTTCCTTTTTCCTTTCTTCTGTCTAAAAACTCTCTCTTGTTCCCCTTTTCCAGCTTCCCTTGGACTACTGCCCCAATGGCCCCTTGGACTCGCGTTTCATGTATGCGAGCACACACACACACAAACTTGCAAAATACCGTTTTTCTTAAGGATTGTGGGACCGAATAATATCACGTGCCTTCATCTTTTCCTTTTATAGTTAGATGAACCTCTTCCTCTTTACAATTTTTTTAAAAAGTGATAGGGGAGGTTGATGTGTTAGTGGAAGATTTGGGCATCGTTTGAGAAGTAACTTTTGTTTAACACATTCCCCCTAAACATTGAACACAAACATTTCAACCCCTTCATGACACTCTTTGGACATTTAAAGCATTGAGTAACCATGTACATGACAGCCTAAATCCGTTTGATTTCAGAGCATTTCCTGAACATTGTATTTCATAGACTTCTCTGATTTTTTCAAAAATGAGGTGAGCAATGGCAAGCAGCCTTGTTCTCCCAATTTGGTGCTTTTGCTTTTGGTGTGGGGTGGGCATGGGGGGTTGGGGGTGGTGTGGGTGTGTTTAGAAAAAAGATGCATTCCTGAAGATCTCTGGTGCTGAAGGGCCTCGAGTTCCTTTCAGAGACTGTATTTGACACACTTTAGGTACACACAAACGAATGGTATCACATGCAATATTTTAATGGAGCAATGGGAGAGGCTCTTTGAAATGGGGTTTGCATCTTTTTGTAACATTTTGATTTCTCTGGTGCCTTATTCCTACTTGATGCTGGCACTCACATACCCACAAGAAGCTGACACAGAAGTCAGCCTTAGGCGTGGGGACATATGGGTGATGTTTGAGCATGCAGGGGCCATGGGGAGTTTGGTGTCAGTTGGTGGAGAAGGGACTAGATGGCATCTCTTAGCCGAGGCCAACAGGAACTGCACAAGTCCATTATAGTCAAAGTTAGCAATTTTGATACGTAAACACAATACTTCATTCTTCCTCATCTGAGCTTTCCTTCCTTCTTCCTTTTCTATCTCTACCTTCTCATAAAGGTGCTGCTGCTGCTGCTAAGGTGCCCGGAGTCCAGAATGTCCATTAATCACTCAGGCACGAGCCTGGCACTGCCACGTCAGCCCCCAGCATGACCAAACCCAGGTTTCTCTTGCTTGGGGCTGAGAACTGTCAGATTTTTCTCATCAAAAATGTTTTCCAAGGAATCAGTGGATTACAGTTTTTCTGCATTGAAAATGCACTTTAAAAAATAAATTAAAGCTCCAGACTGTTTAAAATATACAGAGGGAGCAGGGGAAAGTTAAGCATGTGCTAGTGTCTGAACCCAGTTCAGTTTATCTCCAGTTGAAACGATATACACTATATTATGTATAAATGTATACACACTTCCTATATGTATCCACATATATATAGTGTATATATTATACATGTATAGGTGTGTATATGTGCATATATACACACATGCACATAACAAAATCAGATGCTCATTACAAATCCAGATGCTCATTACAAAACCAGATGCTACACAAACAGCAGCAGAGGAAACAAGGTTGGACTCTTGCAACAGATCACAAAAAATAAAAACAGCTACTTGCAGTGACTTTGGTCATTTCTGTATGTTCATAAAGAATGGATTGTAACAAGGAAAAAAAGGAACAGTGTTAGTGAAAAAGGAAAAATGGGCGAAACCATCTTGATCCGATGCGAATGCAGTAATGTTCTATATACCATTTCATCAGTTATTTCTTTTAGTCATGTTGATTTGATTTCAGTTTCTGGCTATGAAAAACATTTTTAAACTCGTCACCCACAACAAACTGAACAAAACTACTACAGTGAAAGCCCTTTTCAGTGAAAGATGTCAGAAACCTCAAAACCTTTGGCCTGACTCAGAACTACCATGTGAAAATCAGTACTCTCTTAATGTTTGAAATAAAAACTGAAAAAAAAAACAAAAAAACAAAAAACCTTTTTTGAAGCACCTTAACGTGGCCATCCATTTGAGAAGTGGGTGCCACTTTTTTCTTTGAGCACCTTATTGATGTGTTTGCTATCTGCTGTCTTTCTGTTACCTGTTGGCTGAATGGCTAGCTGTTAACATATACATGTGCACAGAAGAGATATCTGGGCATGTATGTTCTCAATGAAGTTTACTGTGGTGACTGCTGAAAGGTGAACCCATTTCCTGATTTTCCCGCCGCAGTGTTGTGATAAGATTCGAAGAAACCTTTTTCCCTGCACAGAAATGTTTCTTATCACATTGTATCTTAGTATGGAAAGGAATATGGTCCCTTTTTTGCAATTGCTACTGTGTACACACACACACACACACACACACACACACACACACACTGTATGTTTAGACCTAAAATACACACACCCACGCACACACTGTATGTTTATGTGACCTAAAACATACACACATGCACACACACATACATATCCATTCATTCATTCATTCAAGTGGTGTTTCCAGTGTCTGTGTGTCACTGTTTATGCAGTTTCCATTTCCCAGTGAATTATGAGTGGAGGGCAACTTTTCTAACCAGATTGTCTTTTCAGAACAAAGACCTGGGAATTGAGGAAGAGTTTGGAAAGAGGGAGAGGCAAGGAAAGAGAGCTTTAAATTGAAAGGTTAATTTCCTAAGAGGAACCTGGGCTGAATGACTGCAGTGTTATACCCTCCAATCTTTGCAGGTGGGCATGGAACACTGCTTGTATCACTCTGTGCACGGTATAAATCCATATATCCACAAAAACACACATCCATCCATCAACATATACATGGTTTGGGATGAGCAGGTCAATAGTTTTGAGAGGGAGTTTGTTCCTTTTTTTTTCTCATTATACTCTTAAATTGTTGTCAGTTATCAAACAAACAAACAGAAAAATTGTTTGGAAAAACCTTGCATACGCCTTTTCTATCAAGTGCTTTAAAATATAGACTAAATACACACATCCTGCCAGTTTTTTCTTACAGTGACAGTATCCTTACCTGCCATTTAATATTAGCCTCGTATTTTTCTCACGTATATTTACCTGTGACTTGTATTTGTTATTTAAACAGGAAAAAAAACATTCAAAAAAAGAAAAATTAACTGTAGCGCTTCATTATACTATTATATTATTATTATTATTGTGACATTTTGGAATACTGTGAAGTTTTATCTCTTGCATATACTTTATACGGAAGTATTACGCCTTAAAAATACGAAAATAAATTTTACAAGGTTTCTGTTTTGTGTGGAAGAGTAATTGATGTTGCTAAGAATGATGTTTGTTTTTTTGGGGTTTTTGTTGTTTTTTTTTTAAATGTTACCAGCACTTTTTTTGTAAGTTTCACTTTCCGAGGTATTGTACAAGTTCACACTGTTTGTGAAGTTTGAATATGAAGGAATAATTAAAAAAAAAAAAACTCTTCTCTTGGTTTCCTATTGTGTCTTCTTTATACTGTAGTTTCTGTTTTAGGCAGTTCTCCACATTCTTTCACACATTGTATTCTATGTCTAATCTGAGATTATTTATCCAAACTGAGGACTCTACCTACAAGGCCAGAAAAACTCTGAGTATATTAGTCTTCTCAATACAAGAAGTAGGAACTACAGACAGGATTGGTGATGTCGAAGTCACTTTGAGGAAATATAAAGCAAATTGGTGTATTGTCTTATACATATTCAAACCTCAAAAATGACAAGGATCACTTATTGCTCTACAAATTGATTCACATTTTTTCCTTTTCCACATGCAAATCACAGTCTGCCTGCTGTGGAAATAATCAATCCCATATTATAACACTATGCCCACCTATTCTTGTTTCCACCCATCTCTGTTATCCATGAATCTATCACTGAGTCTCCTTTTTAACTTTTGGGTTTCTCAGCTCCATATGCAAAAAAGGAAAGTTCATGGCACAAAACATGCCCCTCTTTAATGACTTTGGAGACTCATAAGGGACTCCTATTTGGCCCATAGATTCTTTGTTATAGTGACCCTGGCCATAAAGAGCTCTCTGATCTCATCATTCTTACAGAAAGTGCTAATATGGTGAAGAAAACTTATATCTTGTTTGTCCTTGGTGAAGTCAACACAAATTAAATTCACAATGTCTTCTGTATTTCAGTCAGCACTGTGCAATGTATGAATAAAAGAGAGGAAATTATTTCAGCCATGAGAAGGCTTAAAATCTAACAACTAGACATGAAGAGAGGTTTGTATAAAATCAAGAGCTAGATTGTGCCATTCAGACTCTCAATGCCAAGGGAGTTTCTAAACTAACAGGAAGTTGATAATGGCTAGAGTGAGTCAAGAAAGGGTCCAAAGAATAAGCGGTCTAGTTTGGGGACTCGCAAGAACACTAAGCTTTGAGTTGGAGAAGCTGAGTGTGGACAGACATTTCCACCAGTGTGAGGAGCACAAAAATATCCAGGCATGAGCTTGGGATGGGGAGAGTCATCAAGAGACCTCTAGACTGAAAGGATGTCAATAAATTCCTGAGATTTCAACATTACCACTGTGAATTTAAATATTTACTTCTTGCAACTCAATTGCTGAACTTCTAAGTCAACCTGATTGATAGTCTAGAAGTATAAAGAGGAAGAAAATATTTTCATGATGCATAATTTGTCTCTATATCATTTCTGTGAACCAACATCTTCTTAACAATGCCAGCCAGCTTCACCCAAAGTCTTGGATCTCTCTTTGCACTATCCACACACTCTTAAGTTTTCTTCTGTACCTGTTAAAAACATTGTGGTGCGATTTATATACAGGCTGTAATAATTGTAAATGACACATACGCTACTCATATGGTACTTCACAGTTTACAAAGTTTCTCCTTAATATCCTTCATCTTCACAGTTATACTGTAAATATTGTGATGTAGCTATGATTGCACTAATTTATAAAAACACAGGTTCAGAAATATGTGTTTTTCCAATAAAAAACAATAAACTAGTGCCTGAGGTCAGGTTTTCTGAAATCCAATAATATTTATACCATACCATTATTCTCAAACTTGAGTAATGTGTGTATGCCCATATGAAGGAAAAAAAATAGTTTCACAGACCTCCTCAATGGGAGGCGATAATAATAAAATAATTATTCTTATTATAATATCTAGTAATAAATTCATAATATGCATAATTATTTTATTATAGACATTCTTAAATAGGCTCAAACACAACGACAAGTGAACTTACTATGCTTATATCCCTTGTAGAATTATAAAACTACAAGTTACTAATTAAGTACAAGTAAAACTATAAAATTAGTAATGTCTACAATAACAATGAGTGCATAGAATGATGCTTTCCTGAATCTAAGTCATGGCTCACAAAGTTAAGTGTACTGCACACACCCTTCTGAATACAACATCCCTACACTACAGTGTGCAAAGTAAAGCAATTATCGCTTCACTTTCCTGTTAGTTCAATACTGCAAAGTCTTCCACTTCTCCACCCATCTGGGAGTAAATGAATCATTTATAAATTAAGCTTCTGTGCCTTTAAATAAACTTGATTATAATCAAGTTTATATGTATAAACACAAACATAGAGGCTAAAACCAATGACAACACTCTGTTTTAAGAAGGCTATCAACATCCAGATATAGATGACTTCTTTGAAGATTATCATTTCACTTAAAACACACAATGTTTAAACGCTTGCAGAGAACTTGTGGACCCCAAGGCTGTATCTGCAACTCTTAGCTTTCCTTATATCTCAGTTTTTAAGAACATTGATTGATAGATAATTTCAGATACCTCAGTTGCTCCAAGCCAGTTTTGTTGCCTCCATGAAAACTTCTGTGGCATCATTAGCATTACCTGGTGCACGTGTTCCTGGGGCAGAACACAATAATATTAACCCAGCATCTTGCAGCTCACAAAGCAGTCAGCCACGTTCCTGCCTCATCTTCTTAAGAATCTTAGAAAGATAGTAATATTACCATTTTATAAATGAGGAAATATTTATGAGTCTTTGATAGGTTAAGTGGCTTATCCAAAGTCGTGAAACTAATTGCAGAGCTCAGCACTTGGACCAAGTTTCTAAATTCCCTGTCCACTACACTCCATGATTACTTCTTTTTTGATCTCTGTGAAGTCCATCAGAGTTTTAGTCCCAGAGAAGGTGCTCTTCACAGCCTACATGAAGTCAGAATGAATATAGTCTATGGTAAGTCCTGTGATGACAGTCTATTTCTGCATAACCCCTATGAGTTGCAAATTTCTTGACAATTTTGGCCCTATTTACATGAACTGGACCACTTAGCTGCCTCAGATTTTTTT